>NC_000018.10:20257978-20561439 GCF_000001405.40 Homo sapiens
TAACACAGTTGAACATTTCTTTAGACAGAACAGTTTTGAAACACTCTTTTTGTGGAATCTGCAAGTGGCTATTTGGCTAGATTTGAGGATTTCGTTGGAAACGGGATTACATATAAAAAGCAGTCAGCAGCATTCTCAGAAAGTTCTTTGTGATGATTGCATTCAAGTCACAGAATTGAACATTCCCTTTCACAGAGCAGGTTTGAAACACTCTTTTTGTAGTGTGTGTAAGTGGACATTTGGAGCGCTTTCCGGCCTAAGGTGAAAAAGGAAATATCTTCCCATAAAAACTAGACAGAAGCATTCTCAGAAACTTACTCGTGATGTGTGTCCTCAACTAAAGGAGTAGAACCTTTCTATTCGTAGAGAAGTTTTCAAATGCTCTTTTTGTGGAATCTCCAAGTGGATATTTGGCTAGTTTTGAGGATTTCGTTGGAAGCGGGAATTCATACAAATTGCAGACTGCAGCGTTCTGAGAAACATCTTTGTGATGTTTGTATTCAGGACACAGAGAGGAACATTCCCTATCATAGAGCAGGTTGGAATCACTCCTTTTGTAGTATCTGGAAGTGGACATTTGGAGCGCTTTCAGGCCTATGTTGAAAAAGGAAATATCTTCCCATAACAACTAGACACAAGCATTCTCAGAAACTTGTTTGTGATGTGTGCCCTCTACTGACAGAGTTGAACCTTTCTTTTCATAGAGCAGTTTTGAAACACTCTTTTTGTAGAATCTGCAAGAGGATATTTGCATAGCTTTGAGGATTTCGTGGGAAACGGGATTGTCTTCAGGTAAAATCTAGACAGAAGCATTCTCAGAAACTTCTTTGGGATGTTTGCATTCAAGTCACAGAGTAGAACATTCCCTTTGGTAGAGCAGGTTTGAAACACTCTTTTTGTAGTATCTGGAAGTGGACATTTGGAGCGCTTTCAGGCCCATGATGGAAAGGGAAATATCTTCCCGTAACAACTAGGCAGAAGCATTCTCAGAAACTTATTTGAGATGTGTGTACTCAACTAAGAGAATTGAACCACCGTTTTGAAGGAGCAGTTTTGAAACACTCTTTTTCTGGAATCTGCAAGAGTATATCTTCCTAGCTTTGTGGATTTCGTTGGAAACGGGATTGTCTTCAGATAAAATGCTAGACAGAAGTATTCTCAGAAACTTCTTTGGGATGTTTGCATTCAAGTCACAGAGTAGAACATTCCCTTTGGTAGAGCAGGTTTGAAACACTCTTTTTGTAGTATCTGGAAGTGGACATTTGGAGCGCTTTCAGGCCTACGTTGGAAAAGGAAATATCTTCCCATAACAACTAGACAGAAGCATTCTCAGAAACTAGTTTCTGATGTGTGTTCTCAACTAACACAGTTGAACATTTCTTTAGACAGAACAGTTTTGAAACACTCTTTTTGTGGAATCTGCAAGTGGCTATTTGGCTAGATTTGAGGATTTCGTTGGAAACGGGATTACATATAAAAAGCAGTCAGCGGCATTCTCAGAAAGTTCTTTGTGATGATTGCATTCAAGTCACAGAATTGAACATTCCCTTTCACAGAGCAGGTTTGAAACACTCTTTTTGTAGTGTGTGTAAGTGGACATTTGGAGCACTTACCGGCCTAAGGTGAAAAAGGAAATAATCTTCCCATAAAAACTAGACAGAAGCATTCTCAGAAACTTACTCGTGATGTGTGTCCTCAACTAAAGGAGTAGAACCTTTCTTTTCATAGAGAAGTTTTGAAACGCTCTTTTTGTGGAATCTGCAAGTGGATATTTGGCTAGTTTGGAGGATTTCGTTGGAAGCGGGAATTCATACAAATTGCAGACTGCAGCATTCTCAGAAACTTGTTTATGCTGTATCTACTCAACTAACAAAGTTGAACCTTTCTTTTGATAGAGCAGTTTTGAAATGCTCTTTTTGTGGAATCTGCAAGTGGATATTTGTCTAGGTTTGAGGATTTCGTTGGAAGCGGGAATTCATACAAATTGCAGACTGCAGCATTCTCAGAAACTTATTTGAGATGTGTGTACTCAACTAAGAGAATTGAACCACCGTTTTGAAGGAGCAGTTTTGAAACACTCTTTTTCTGGAATCTGCAAGTGGATATTTGGCTAGCTTTGGGGATTTCGCTGGAAGCGGGAATACATATAAAAAGCACACAGCAGCGTTCTGAGAAACTGCTTTCTGATGTTTGCATTCAAGTCAAAAGTTGAACACTCCCTTTCATAGAGCAGTCTTGAAACACCCCTTTTGTAGTATCTGGAACTGGACTTTTGGAGCGATTTCAGGGCTAAGGTGAAAAAGGAAATATCTTCCCATAAAAACTGGACAGAAGCATTCTCAGAAACTTGTTTATGCTGTATCTACTCAACTAACAAAGTTGAACCTTTCTTTTGATAGAGCAGTTTTGAAATGGTCTTTTTGTGGAATCTGCAAGTGGATATTTGGCTAGTTTTGAGGATTTCGTTGGAAGCGGGAATTCATACAAATTGCAGACTGCAGCGTTCTGAGAAACATCTTTGTGATGTTTGTATTCAGGACACAGAGATGAACATTCCCTATCATAGAGCAGGTTGGAATCACTCCTTTTGTAGTATCTGGAAGTGGACATTTGGAGCGCTTTCAGGCCTATGTTGAAAAAGGAAATATCTTCCCATAACAACTAGACACAAGCATTCTCAGAAACTTCTTTGTGATGTGTGCCCTCTACTGACAGAGTTGAACCTTTCTTTTCATAGAGCAGTTTTGAAACACTCTTTTTGTAGAATCTGCAAGAGGATATTTGCATAGCTTTGAGGATTTCGTGGGAAACGGGATTGTCTTCAGGTAAAATCTAGACAGAAGCATTCTCAGAAACTTCTTTGGGATGTTTGCATTCAAGTCACAGAGTAGAACATTCCCTTTGGTAGAGCAGGTTTGAAACACTCTTTTTGTAGTATCTGGAAGTGGACATTTGGAGCGCTTTCAGGCCCATGTTGGAAAGGGAAATATCTTCCCGTAACAACTAGGCAGAAGCATTCTCAGAAACTTATTTGAGATGTGTGTACTCAATTAAGAGAATTGAACCACCGTTTTAAAGGAGCAGTTTTGAAACACTCTTTTTCTGGAATCTGCAAGAGGATATTTGCCTAGCCTTGAGGATATCGTTGGAAACGGGATTGTCTTCAGATAAAATCTAGACGGAAGCATTCTCAGAAACTTCTTTGGGATGTTTGCATTCAAGTCACAGAGTAGAACATTCCCTTTGGTAGAGCAGGTTTGAAACACTCTTTTTTTAGCATATGGAAGTGGACATTTGGAGCGCTTTCAGGCCTACGTTGGAAAATGAAATATCTTCCCATAACAACTAGACAGAAGCATTCTCAGAAACTAGTTTCTGATGTGTGTCCTCAACTAACACAGTTGAACTTTTCTTTAGACAGAACAGTTTTGAAACACTCTTTTTGTGGAATCTGCAAGTGGATATTTGGCTAGATTTGAGGATTTCGTTGGAAACGGGATTACATATAAAAAGCAGACAGCAGCATTCTCAGAAAGTTCTTTGTGATGATTGCATTCAAGTCACAGAATTGAACATTCCCTTTCACAGAGCAGGTTTGAAACACTCTTTTTGTAGTGTGTGTAAGTGGACATTTGGAGCACTTTCCGGCCTAAGGTGAAAAAGGAAATATCTTCCCACAAAAACTAGACAGAAGCATTCTCAGAAACTTACTCGTGATGTGTGTCCTCAACTAAAGGAGTAGAACCTTTCTTTTCATAGAGAAGTTTTGAAACGCTCTTTTTGTGGAATCTGCAAGTGGATATTTGGCTAGTTTGGAGGATTTCGTTGGAAGCGGGAATTCATACAAATTGCAGACTGCAGCATTCTCAGAAACTTATTTGAGATGTGTGTACTCAACTAAGAGAATTGAACCACCGTTTTGAAGGAGCAGTTTTGAAACTCTCTTTTTCTGGAATCTGCAAGTGGATATTTGGCTAGCTTTGGGGATTTCGCTGGAAGCGGGAATACATATAAAAAGCACACAGCAGCGTTCTGAGAAACTGCTTTCTGATGTTTGCATTCAAGTCAAAAGTTGAACACTCCCTTTCATAGAGCAGTCTTGAAACACCCCTTTTGTAGTATCTGGAACTGGACTTTTGGAGCGATTTCAGGGCTAAGGTGAAAAAGGAAATATCTTCCCATAAAAACTGGACAGAAGCATTCTCAGAAACTTGGTTATGCTGTATCTACTCAACTAACAAAGTTGAACCTTTCTTTTGATAGAGCAGTTTTGAAATGGTCTTTTTGTGGAATCTGCAAGTGGATATTTGGCTAGTTTTGAGGATTTCGTTGGAAGCGGGAATTCATACAAATTGCAGACTGCAGCGTTCTGAGAAACATCTTTGTGATGTTTGTATTCAGGACACAGAGTTGAACATTCCCTATCATAGAGCAGGTTGGAATCACTCCTTTTGTAGTATCTGGAAGTGGACATTTGGAGCGCTTTCAGGCCTATGTTGGAAAAGGAAATATCTTCCCATAACAACTAGACAGAAGCATTCTCAGAAACTTGTTTGTGATGTGTGCCCTCTACTGACAGAGTTGAACCTTTCTTTTCATAGAGCAGTTTTGAAACACTCTTTTTGTAGAATCTGCAAGAGGATATTTGCATAGCTTTGAGGATTTCGTGGGAAACGGGATTGTCTTCAGGTAAAATCTAGACAGAAGCATTCTCAGAAACTTCTTTGGGATGTTTGCATTCAAGTCACAGAGTAGAACATTCCCTTTGGTAGAGCAGGTTTGAAACACTCTTTTTGTAGTATCTGGAAGTGGACATTTGGAGCGCTTTCAGGCCTATGTTGGAAAGGGAAATATCTTCCCGTAACAACTAGGCAGAAGCATTCTCAGAAACTTATTTGAGATGTGTGTACTCAACTAAGAGAATTGAACCACCGTTTTGAAGGAGCAGTTTTGAAACACTCTTTTTCTGGAATCTGCAAGAGTATATTTGCCTAGCCTTGAGGATTTCGTTGGAAACGGGATTGTCTTCAGAGAAAATCTAGACAGAAGCATTCTCAGAAACTTCTTTGGGATGTTTGCATTCAAGTCACAGAGTAGAACATTCCCTTTGGTAGAGCAGGTTTGAAACACTCTTTTTTTAGTATATGGAAGTGGACATTTGGAGCGCTTTCAGGCCTACGTTGGAAAAGGAAATATCTTCCCATAACAACTAGACAGAAGCATTCTCAGAAACTAGTTTCTGATGTGTGTCCTCAACTAACACAGTTGAACATTTCTTTAGACAGAACAGTTTTGAAACACTCTTTTTGTGGAATCTGCAAGTGGCTATTTGGCTAGATTTGAGGATTTCGTTGGAAACGGGATTACATATAAAAAGCAGCCAGCAGCATTCTCAGAAAGTTCTTTGTGATGATTGCATTCAAGTCACAGAATTGAACATTCCCTTTCACAGAGCAGGTTTGAAAGACTCTTTTTGTAGTGTGTGTAAGTGGACATTTGGAGCACTTACCGGCCTAAGGTGAAAAAGGAAATATCTTCCCATAAAAACTAGACAGAAGCATTCTAAGAAACTTACTCGTGATGTGTGTCCTCAACTAAAGGAGTAGAACCTTTCTTTTCATAGAGAAGTTTTGAAACGCTCTTTTTGTGGAATCTGCAAGTGGATATTTGGCTAGTTTTGAGGATTTCGTTGGAAGCGGGAATTCATACAAATTGCAGACTGCAGCGTTCTGAGAAACATCTTTGTGATGTTTGTATTCAGGACACAGAGTTGAACATTCCCTATCATAGAGCAGGTTTGAATCATTCCTTTTGTAGTATCTGGAAGTGGACATTTGGAGCGCTTTCAGGCCTATGTTGGAAAAGGAAATATCTTCCCATATCAACTAGACAGAAGCATTCTCAGAAACTTATTTGAGATGTGTGTACTCAACTAAGAGAATTGAACCACCGTTTTGAAGGAGCAGTTTTGAAACTCTCTTTTTCTGGAATCTGCAAGTGGATATTTGGCTAGCTTTGGGGATTTCGCTGGAAGCGGGAATACATATAAAAAGCACACAGCAGCGTTCTGAGAAACTGCTTTCTGATGTTTGCATTCAAGTCAAAAGTTGAACACTCCCTTTCATAGAGCAGTCTTGAAACACCCCTTTTGTAGTATCTGGAACTGGACTTTTGGAGCGATTTCAGGGCTAAGGTGAAAAAGGAAATATCTTCCCATAAAAACTGGACAGAAGCATTCTCAGAAACTTGTTTATGCTGTATCTACTCAACTAACAAAGTTGAACCTTTCTTTTGATAGAGCAGTTTTGAAATGCTCTTTTTGTGGAATCTGCAAGTGGATATTTGGCTAGTTTTGAGGATTTCGTTGGAAGCGGGAATTCATACAAATTGCAGACTGCAGCGTTCTGAGAAACATCTTTGTGATGTTTGTATTCAGGACACAGAGTTGAACATTCCCTATCATAGAGCAGGTTTGAATCACTCCTTTTGTAGTATCTGGAAGTGGACATTTGGAGCGCTTTCAGGCCTATGTTGGAAGAGGAAATATCTTCCCATAACAACTAGACAGAAGCATTCCCAGAAACTTATTTGAGATGTGTGTACTCAACTAAGAGAATTGAACCACCGTTTTGAAGGAGCAGTTTGGAAACACTCTTTTTCTGGAATCTGCAAGTGGATATTTGGCTAGCTTTGGGGATTTCGCTGGAAGCGGGAATACATATAAAAAGCACACAGCAGCATTCTCAGAAACTTATTTGAGATGTGTGTACTCAACTAAGAGAATTGAACCACCGTTTTGAAGGAGCAGTTTTGAAACTCTCTTTTTCTGGAATCTGCAAGTGGATATTTGGCTAGCTTTGGGGATTTCGCTGGAAGCGGGAATACATATAAAAAGCACACAGCAGCGTTCTGAGAAACTGCTTTCTGATGTTTGCATTCAAGTCAAAAGTTGAACACTCCCTTTCATAGAGCAGTCCTGAAACACCCCTTTTGTAGTATCTGGAACTGGACTTTTGGAGCGATTTCAGGGCTAAGGTGAAAAAGGAAATATCTTCCCATAAAAACTGGACAGAAGCATTCTCAGAAACTTGTTTATGCTGTATCTACTCAACTAACAAAGTTGAACCTTTCTTTTGATAGAGCAGTTTTGAAATGGTCTTTTTGTGGAATCTGCAAGTGGATATTTGGCTAGTTTTGAGGATTTCGTTGGAAGCGGGAATTCATACAAATTGCAGACTGCAGCGTTCTGAGAAACATCTTTGTGATGTTTGTATTCAGGACAGAGAGTTGAACATTCCCTATCATAGAGCAGGTTGGAATCACTCCTTTTGTAGTATCTGGAAGTGGACATTTGGAGCGCTTTCAGGCCTATGTTGAAAAAGGAAATATCTTCCCATAACAACTAGACACAAGCATTCTCAGAAACTTGTTGGTGATGTGTTTCCTCTACTGACAGAGTTGAACCTTTCTTTTCATAGAGCAGTTTCGAAACACTCTTTTTGTAGAATCTGCAAGAGGATATTTGCATAGCTCTGAGGATTTCGTGGGAAACGGGATTGTCTTCAGGTAAAATCTAGACAGAAGCATTCTCAGAAACTTCTTTGGGATGTTTGCATTCAAGTCACAGAGTAGAACATTCCCTTTGGTAGAGCAGGTTTCAAACACTCTTTTTGTAGTATCTGGAAGTGGACATTTGGAGCGCTTTCAGGCCTATGTTGGAAAGGGAATTATCTTCCCGTAACAACTAGGCAGAAGCATTCTCAGAAACTTATTTGAGATGTGTGTACTCAACTAAGAGAATTGAACCACCGTTTTGAAGGAGCAGTTTTGAAACACTCTTTTTCTGGAATCTGCAAGAGGATATTTGCCTAGCCTTGAGGATTTCGTTGGAAACAGGATTGTCTTCAGATCAAATCTAGACAGAAGCATTCTCAGAAACTTCTTTGGGATGTTTGCATTCAAGTCACAGAGTAGAACATTCCCTTTGGTAGAGCAGGTTTGAAACACTCTTTTTTTAGTATATGGAAGTGGACATTTGGAGCGCTTTCAGGCCTACGTTGGAAAAGGAAATATCTTCCCATAACAACTAGACAGAAGCATTCTCAGAAACTAGTTTCTGATGTGTTTCCTCAACTAACACAGTTGAACATTTCTTTAGACAGAACAGTTTTGAAACTCTCTTTTTGTGGAATCTGCAAGTGGCTATTTGGCTAGATTTGAGGATTTCCTTGGAAACGGGATTACATATAAAAAGCAGACAGCAGCATTCTCAGAAAGTTCTTTGTGATGATTGCATTCAAGTCACAGAATTGAACATTCCCTTTCACAGAGCAGGTTTGAAACACTCTTTTTGTAGTGTGTGTAAGTGGACATTTGGAGCGCTTTCCGGCCTAAGGTGAAAAAGGACATATCTTCCCATAAAAATTAGACAGAAGCATTCTCAGAAACTTACTCGTGATATGTGTCCTCAACTAAAGGAGTAGAACCTTTCTATTCATAGAGAAGTTTTCAAACGCTCTTTTTGTGGAATCTCCAAGTGGATATTTGGCTAGTTTTGAGGATTTCGTTGGAAGCGGGAATTCATACAAATTGCAGACTGCAGCGTTATGAGAAACATCTTTGTGATGTTTGTATTCAGGACACAGAGATGAACATTCCCTATCATAGAGCAGGTTGGAATCACTCCTTTTGTAGTATCTGGAAGTGGACATTTGGAGCGCTTTCAGGCCTATGTTGAAAAAGGAAATATCTTCCCATAACAACTAGACACAAGCATTCTCAGAAACTTATTTGAGATGTGTGTACTCAACTAAGAGAATTGAACCACCGTTTTGAAGGAGCAGTTTTGAAACACTCTTTTTCTGGAATCTGCAAGTGGCTATTTGGCTAGCTTTGGGGATTTCGCTGGAAGCGGGAATACATATAAAAAGCACACAGCAGCGTTCTGAGAAACTGCTTTCTGATGTTTGCATTCAAGTCAAAAGTTGAACACTCCCTTTCATAGAGCAGTCTTGAAACACCCCTTTTGTAGTATCTGGAACTGGACATTTGGAGCGCTTTCAGGGCTAAGGTGAAAAAGGAAATATCTTCCCATAAAAACTGGACAGAAGCATTCTCAGAAACTTGTTTATGCTGTATCTACTCAACTAACAAAGTTGAACCTTTCTTTTGATAGAGCAGTTTTGAAATGGTCTTTTTGTGGAATCTGCAAGTGGATATTTGGCTAGTTTTGAGGATTTCGTTGGAAGCGGGAATTCATACAAATTGCAGACTGCAGCGTTCTGAGAAACATCTTTGTGATGTTTGTATTCAGGACACAGAGTTGAACATTCCCTATCATAGAGCAGGTTGGAATCACTCCTTTTGTAGTATCTGGAAGTGGACATTTGGAGCGCTTTCAGGCCTATTTTGGAAAGGGAAATATCTTCCCGTAACAACTATGCAGAAGCATTCTCAGAAACTTGTTTGTGATGTGTGCCCTCTACTGACAGAGTTGAACCTTTCTTTTCATAGAGCAGTTTTGAAACACTCTTTTTGTAGAATCTGCAAGAGGATATTTGCATAGCTTTGAGGATTTCGTGGGAAACGGGATTGTCTTCAGGTAAAATCTAGACAGAAGCATTCTCAGAAACTTCTTTGGGATGTTTGCATTCAAGTCACAGAGCAGAACATTCCCTTTGGTAGAGCAGGTTTGAAACACTCTTTTTGTAGTATCTGGAAGTGGACATTTGGAGCGCTTTCAGGCCTATGTTGGAAAGGGAAATATCTTCCCGTAACAACTAGGCAGAAGCATTCTCAGAAACTTATTTGAGATGTGTGTACTCAACTAAGAGAATTGAACCACCGTTTTGAAGGAGCAGTTTTGAAACACTCTTTTTCTGGAATCTGCAAGAGGATATTTGCCTAGCCTTGAGGATTTCGTTGGAAACGGGATTGTCTTCAGATCAAATCTAGACAGAAGCATTCTCAGAAACTTCTTTGGGATGCTTGCATTCCAGTCACAGAGTAGAACATTCCCTTTGGTAGAGCAGGTTTGAAACACTCTTTTTTTAGTATCTGGAAGTGGACATTTGGAGCGCTTTCAGGCCTACGTTGGAAAAGGAAATATCTTCCCATAACAACTAGACAGAAGCATTCTCAGAAACTAGTTTCTGATGTGTGTCCTCAACTAACACAGTTGAACATTTCTTTAGACAGAACAGTTTTGAAACACTCTTTTTGTGGAATCTGCAAGTGGCTATTTGGCTAGATTTGAGGATTTCGTTGGAAACGGGATTACATATAAAAAGCAGTCAGCAGCATTCTCAGAACGTTCTTTGTGATGATTGCATTCAAGTCACAGAATTGAACATTCCCTTTCACAGAGCAGGTTTGAAACACTCTTTTTGTAGTGTGTGTAAGTGGACATTTGGAGCACTTTCCGGCCTAAGGTGAAAAAGGTAATATCTTCCCATAAAAACTAGACAGAAGCATTCTCAGAAACTTACTCGTGATGTGTGTCCTCAACTAAAGGAGTAGAAACTTTCTATTCATAGAGAAGTTTTGAAACGCTCTTTTTGTGGAATCTCCAAGTGGATATTTGGCTAGTTTTGAGGATTTCGTTGGAAGCGGGAATTCATACAAATTGCAGACTGCAGCGTTCTGAGAAACTGCTTTCTGATGTTTGCATTCAAGTCAAAAGTTGAACACTCCCTTTCATAGAGCAGTCTTGAAACACCCCTTTTGTAGTATCTGGAACTGGACTTTTGGAGCGATTTCAGGGCTAAGGTGAAAAAGGAAATATCTTCCCATAAAAACTGGACAGAAGCATTCTCAGAAACTTGTTTATGCTGTATCTACTCAACTAACAAAGTTGAACCTTTCTTTTGATAGAGCAGTTTTGAAATGCTCTTTTTGTGGAATCTGCAAGTGGATATTTGGCTAGTTTTGAGGATTTCGTTGGAAGCGGGAATTCATACAAATTGCAGACTGCAGCGTTCTGAGAAACATCTTTGTGATGTTTGTATTCAGGACACAGAGTTGAACATTCCCTATCATAGAGCAGGTTGGAATCACTCCTTTTGTAGTATCTGGAAGTGGACATTTGGAGCGCTTTCAGGCCTATGTTGAAAAAGGAAATGTCTTCCCATAACAACTAGACACAAGCATTCTCAGAAACTTGTTTGTGATGTGTGCCCTCTACTGACAGAGTTGAACCTTTCTTTTCATAGAGCAGTTTTGAAACACTCTTTTTGTAGAATCTGCAAGAGGATATTTGCATAGCTTTGAGGATTTCGTGGGAAACGGGATTGTCTTCAGGTAAAATCTAGACAGAAGCATTCTCAGAAACTTTTTTGGGATGTTTGCATTCAAGTCACAGAGTAGAACATTCCCTTTGGTAGAGCAGGTTTGAAACACTCTTTTTGTAGTATCTGGAAGTGGACATTTGGAGCACTATCAGGCCCATGTTGGAAAGGGAAATATCTTCCCGTAACAACTAGGCAGAAGCATTCTCAGAAACTTATTTGAGATGTGTGTACTCAACTAAGAGAATTGAACCACCGTTTTGAAGGAGCAGTTTTGAAACCCTCTTTTTCTGGAATCTGCAAGAGTATATTTGCCTAGCCTTGAGGATTTCGTTGGAAACGGGATTGTCTTCAGATAAAATCTAGACAGAAGCATTCTCAGAAACTTCTTTGGGATGTTTGCATTCAAGTCACAGAGTAGAACATTCCCTTTGGTAGAGCAGGTTTGAAACACTCTTTTTTTAGTATATGGAAGTGGACATTTGCAGCGCTTTCAGCCCACGTTGGAAAAGGAAATATCTTCCCATAACAACTAGACAGAAGCATTCTCAGAAACTAGTTTCTGATGTGTGTCCTCAACTAACACAGTTGAACATTTCTTTAGACAGAACAGTTTTGAAACACTCTTTTTGTGGAATCTGCAAGTGGCTATTTGGCTAGATTTGAGGATTTCGTTGGAAACGGGATTACATATAAAAAGCAGTCAGCAGCATTCTCAGAAACTTCTTTGTGGTGATTGCATTCAAGTCACAGAATTGAACATTCCCTTTCACAGAGCAGGTTTGAAACACTCTTTTGTAGTGTCTGTAAGTGGACATTTGGAGCGCTTTCCGGCCTCAGGTGAAAAAGGAAATATCTTCCCATAAAAACTAGACAGAAGCATTCTCAGAAACTTACTCGTGATGTGTGTCCTCAACTAAAGGAGTAGAACCTTTCTTTTCATAGAGAAGTTTTGAAACGCTCTTTTTGTGGAATCTGCAAGTGGATATTTGGCTAGTTTTGAGGATTTCGTTGGAAGCGGGAATTCATACAAATTGCAGACTGCAGCGTTCTGAGAAACATCTTTGTGATGTTTGTATTCAGGACACAGAGTTGAACATTCCCTATCATAGAGCAGGTTGGAATCACTCCTTTTGTAGTATCTGGAAGTGGACATTTGGAGCGCTTTCAGGCCTATGTTGGAAAAGGAAATATCTTCCCATAACAACTAGACAGAAGCATTCTCAGAAACTTATTTGAGATGTGTGTACTCAACTAAGAGAATTGAACCACCGTTTTGAAGGAGCAGTTTTGAAACACTCTTTTTCTGGAATCTGCAAGTGGATATTTGGCTAGCTTTGGGGATTTCGCTGGAAGCGGGAATACATATAAAAAGCACACAGCAGCGTTCTGAGAAACTGCTTTCTGATGTTTGCATTCAAGTCAAAAGTTGAACACTCCCTTTCATAGAGCAGTCCTGAAACACCCCTTTTGTAGTATCTGGAACTGGACTTTTGGAGCGATTTCAGGGCTAAGGTGAAAAAGGAAATATCTTCCCATAAAAACTGGACAGAAGCATTCTCAGAAACTTGTTTATGCTGTATCTACTCTACTAACAAAGTTGAACCTTTCTTTTGATAGAGCAGTTTTGAAATGCTCTTTTTGTGGAATCTGCAAGTGGATATTTGGCTAGTTTTGAGGATTTCGTTGGAAGCTGGAATTCATGCAAATTGCAGACTGCAGCGTTCTGAGAAACATCTTTGTGATGTTTGTATTCAGGACACAGAGTTGAACATTCCCTATCATAGAGCAGGTTGGAATCACTCCTTTTGTAGTATCTGGAAGTGGACATTTGGAGCGCTTTCAGGCCTATGTTGAAAAAGGAAATATCTTCCCATAACAACTAGGCAGAAGCATTCTCAGAAACTTGTTTGTGATGTGTGCCCTCTACTGACACAGTTGATCCTTTCTTTTCATAGAGCAGTTTCGAAACACTCTTTTTGTAGAATCTGCAAGAGGATATTTGCATAGCTTTGAGGATTTCGTGGGAAACGGGATTGTCTTCAGATCAAATCTAGACAGAAGCATTCTCAGAAACTTCTTTGGGATGTTTGCATTCAAGTCACAGAGTAGAACATTCCCTTTGGTAGAGCAGGTTTGAAACCCTCTTTTTGTAGTATCTGGAAGTGGACATTTGGAGCGCTTTCAGGCCCATGTTGGAAAGGGAAATATCTTCCCGTAACAACTAGGCAGAAGCATTCTCAGAAACATATTTGAGATGTGTGTACTCAACTAAGAGAATTGAACCACCGTTTCGAAGGAGCAGTTTTGAAACACCCTTTTTCTGGAATCTGCAAGAGTATATTTGCCTAGCCTTGAGGATTTCGTTGGAAACGGGATTGTCTTCAGATCAAATCTAGACAGAAGCATTCTCAGAAACTTCTTTGGGATGTTTGCATTCAAGTCACAGAGTAGAACATTCCCTTTGGTAGAGCAGGTTTGAAACACTCTTTTTTTAGTATATGGAAGTGGACATTTGGAGCGCTTTCCGGCCTACGTTGGAAAAGGAAATATCTTCCCATAACAACTAGACAGAAGCATTCTCAGAAACTAGTTTCTGATGTGTGTCCTCAACTAACACAGTTGAACATTTCTTTAGACAGAACAGTTTTGAAACACTCTTTTTGTGGAATCTGCAAGTGGCTATTTGGCTAGATTTGAGGATTTCGTTGGAAACGGGATTACATATAAAAAGCAGACAGCAGCATTCTCAGAAAGTTCTTTGTGATGATTGCATTCAAGTCACAGAATTGAACATTCCCTTTCACAGAGCAGGTTTGAAACACTCTTTTTGTAGTGTGTGTAAGTGGACATTTGGAGCACTTACCGGCCTAAGGTGAAAAAGGAAATAATCTTCCCATAAAAACTAGACAGAAGCATTCTCAGAAACTTACTCGTGATGTGTGTCCTCAACTAAAGGAGTAGAACCTTTCTTTTCATAGAGAAGTTTTGAAACGCTCTTTTTGTGGAATCTGCAAGTGGATATTTGGCTAGTTTTGAGGATTTCGTTGGAAGCGGGAATTCATACAAATTGCAGACTGCAGCGTTCTGAGAAACTGCTTTCTGATGTTTGCATTCAAGTCAAAAGTTGAACACTCCCTTTCATAGAGCAGTCTTGAAACACCCCTTTTGTAGTATCTGGAACTGGACATTTGGAGCGCTTTCAGGGCTAAGGTGAAAAAGGAAATATCTTCCCATAAAAACTGGACAGGAAGCATTCTCAGAAACTTGTTTATGCTGTATCTAATCAACTAACAAAGTTGAACCTTTCTTTTGATAGAGCAGTTTTGAAATGCTCTTTTTGTGGAATCTGCAAGTGGATATTTGGCTAGTTTTGAGGATTTCGTTGGAAGCGGGAATTCATACAAATTGCAGACTGCAGCGTTCTGAGAAACATCTTTGTGATGTTTGTATTCAGGACACAGAGTTGAACATACCCTATCATAGAGCAGGTTGGAACCATTCCTTTTGTAGTATCTGGAAGTGGACATTTGGAGCGCTTTCAGGCCTACGTTGAAAAAGGAAATATCTTCCCATAACAAATAGACACAAGCATTCTCAGAAACTTATTTGAGATGTGTGTACTCAACTAAGAGAATTGAACCACCGTTTTGAAGGAGCAGTTTTGAAACACTCTTTTTCTGGAATCTGCAAGTGGATATTTGGCTAGCTTTGGGGATTTCGCTGGAAGCGGGAATACATATAAAAAGCACACAGCAGCGTTCTGAGAAACTGCTTTCTGATGTTTGCATTCAAGTCAAAAGTTGAACACTCCCTTTCATAGAGCAGTCTTGAAACACCCCTTTTGTAGTATCTGGAACTGGACTTTTGGAGCGATTTCAGGGCTAAGGTGAAAAAGGAAATATCTTCCCATAAAAACTGGACAGAAGCATTCTCAGAAACTTGGTTATGCTGTATCTACTCAACTAACAAAGTTGAACCTTTCTTTTGATAGAGCAGTTTTGAAATGGTCTTTTTGTGGAATCTGCAAGTGGATATTTGGCTAGTTTTGAGGATTTCGTTGGAAGCGGGAATTCATACAAATTGCAGACTGCAGCGTTCTGAGAAACATCTTTGTGATGTTTGTATTCAGGACACAGAGTTGAACATTCCCTATCATAGAGCAGGTTGGAATCACTCCTTTTGTAGTATCTGGAAGTGGACATTTGGAGCGCTTTCAGGCCTATTTTGGAAAGGGAAATATCTTCCCGTAACAACTATGCAGAAGCATTCTCAGAAACTTGTTTGTGATGTGTGCCCTCTACTGACAGAGTTGAACCTTTCTTTTCATAGAGCAGTTTTGAAACACTCTTTTTGTAGAATCTGCAAGAGGATATTTGCATAGCTTTGAGGATTTCGTGGGAAACGGGATTGTCTTCAGGTAAAATCTAGACAGAAGCATTCTCAGAAACTTCTTTGGGATGTTTGCATTCAAGTCACAGAGTAGAACATTCCCTTTGGTAGAGCAGGTTTGAAACACTCTTTTTGTAGTATCTGGAAGTGGACATTTGGAGCGCTTTCAGGCCTATGTTGGAAAGGGAAATATCTTCCCGTAACAACTAGGCAGAAGCATTCTCAGAAACTTATTTGAGATGTGTGTACTCAACTAAGAGAATTGAACCACCGTTTTGAAGGAGCAGTTTTGAAACACTCTTTTTCTGGAATCTGCAAGAGGATATTTGCCTAGCTTTGAGGATTTCGTTGGAAACGGGATTGTGTTCAGATCAAATCTAGACAGAAGCATTCTCAGAAACTTCTTTGGGATGCTTGCATTCAAGTCACAGAGTAGAACATTCCCTTTGGTAGAGCAGGTTTGAAACACTCTTTTTGTAGTATCTGGAAGTGGACATTTGGAGCGCTTTCAGGCCTACGTTGGAAAAGGAAATATCTTCCCATAACAACTAGACAGAAGCATTCTCAGAAACTAGTTTCTGATGTGTGTCCTCAACTAACACAGTTGAACATTTCTTTAGACAGAACAGTTTTGAAACACTCTTTTTGTGGAATCTGCAAGTGGCTATTTGGCTAGATTTGAGGATTTCGTTGGAAACGGGATTACATATAAAAAGCAGACAGCAGCATTCTCAGGAAAGTTCTTTGTGATGATTGCATTCAAGTCACAGAATTGAACATTCCCTTTCACAGAGCAGGTTTGAAACACTCTTTTTGTAGTGTGTGTAAGTGGACATTTGGAGCACTTACCGGCCTAAGGTGAAAAAGGAAATATCTTCCCATAAAAACTAGACAGAAGCATTCTCAGAAACTTACTCGTGATGTGTGTCCTCAACTAAAGGAGTAGAACCTTTCTTTTCATAGAGAAGTTTTGAAACGCTCTTTTTGTGGAATCTGCAAGTGGATATTTGGCTAGTTTTGAGGATTTCGTTGGAAGCGGGAATTCATACAAATTGCAGACTGCAGCGTTCTGAGAAACATCTTTGTGATGTTAGTATTCAGGACACAGAGTTGAACATTCCCTATCATAGAGCAGGTTTGAATCACTCCTT
The DNA here is from genome assembly GCF_000001405.40 of Homo sapiens. Taxonomy (NCBI): domain Eukaryota; kingdom Metazoa; phylum Chordata; class Mammalia; order Primates; family Hominidae; genus Homo; species Homo sapiens. The sequence goes on from NC_000018.10 coordinate 20,274,807, forward strand.
TTGTAGTATCTGGAAGTGGACATTTGGAGCGCTTTCCGGCCTCAGGTGAAAAAGGAAATATCTTCCCATAAAAACTAGACAGAAGCATTCTCAGAAACTTATTTGAGATGTGTGTACTCAACTAAGAGAATTGAACCACCGTTTTGAAGGAGCAGTTTTGAAACACTCCTTTTCTGGAATCTGCAAGTGGATATTTAGCTAGATTTGAGGATTTCGTTGGAAACGGGATTACATATACAAAGCAGACAGCAGCAGTCTCAGAAAGTTCTTTGTGATGATTGCATTCAAGTCACAGAATTGAACATTCCCTTTCACAGAGCAGGTTTGAAACACTCATTTTGTAGTGTGTGTAAGTGGACATTTGGAGCACTTTCCGGCCTAAGGTGAAAAAGGAAATATCTTCCCATAAAAACTAGACAGAAGCATTCTCAGAAACTTACTCGTGATGTGTGTCCTCAACTAAAGGTGTAGAACCTTTCTTTTCATAGAGAAGTTTTGAAACGCTCTTTTTGTGGAATCTGCAAGTGGATATTTGGCTAGTTTTGAGGATTTCGTTGGAAGCGGGAATTCATACAAATTGCAGACTGCAGCGTTCTGAGAAATATCTTTGTGATGTTTGTATTCAGGACACAGAGTTGAACATTCCCTATCATAGAGCAGGTTGGAATCACTCCTTTTGTAGTATCTGGAAGTGTACATTTGGAGCGCTTTCAGGCCTATGTTGAAAAAGGAAATATCTTCCCATAACAACTAGACACAAGCATTCTCAGAAACTTGTTTGTGATGTGTGCCCTCTACTGACAGAGTTGAACCTTTCTTTTCATAGAGCAGTTTTGAAACACTCTTTTTGTAGAATCTGCAAGAGGATATTTGCATAGCTTTGAGGATTTCGTGGGAAACGGGATTGTCTTCAGGTAAAATCTAGACAGAAGCATTCTCAGAAACTTCTTTGGGATGTTTGCATTCAAGTCACAGAGTAGAACATTCCCTTTGGTAGAGCAGGTTTGAAACACTCTTTTTGTAGTATCTGGAAGTGGACATTTGGAGCGCTTTCAGGCCTATGTTGGAAAGGGAAATATCTTCCGGTAACAACTAGGCAGAAGCATTCTCAGAAACTTATTTGAGATGTGTGTACTCAACTAAGTAGAATTGAACCACCGTTTTCAAGGAGCAGTTTTGAAACACTCTTTTTCTGGAATCTGCAAGAGTATATTTGCCTAGCCTTGAGGATTTCGTTGGAAACGGGATTGTCTTCAGATGAAATCTAGACAGAAGCATTCTCAGAAACTTCTTTGGGATGTTTGCATTCAAGTCACAGAGTAGAACATTCCCTTTGGTAGAGCAGGTTTGAAACACTCTTTTTTTAGTATATGGAAGTGGACATTTGGAGCGCTTTCAGGCCTACGTTGGAAAAGGAAATATCTTCCCATAACAACTAGACAGAAGCATTCTCAGAAACTAGTTTCTGATGTGTGTCCTCAACTAACACAGTTGAACATTTCTTTAGACAGAACAGTTTTGAAACACTCTTTTTGTGGAATCTGCAAGTGGCTATTTGGCTAGATTTGAGGATTTCGTTGGAAACGGGATTACATATAAAAAGCAGTCAGCAGCATTCTCAGAAAGTTCTTTGTGATGATTGCATTCAAGTCACAGAATTGAACATTCCCTTTCACAGAGCAGGTTTGAAACACTCTTTTTGTAGTGTGTGTAAGTGGACATTTGGAGCGCTTTCCGGCCTAAGGTGAAAAAGGAAATATCTTCCCATAAAAACTAGACAGAAGCATTCTCAGAAACTTACTCGTGATGTGTGTCCTCAACTAAAGGAGTAGAACATTTCTATTCATAGAGAAGTTTTGAAACGCTCTTTTTGTGGAATCTCCAATTGGATATTTGGCTAGTTTTGAGGATTTCGTTGGAAGCGGGAATTCATACAAATTGCAGACTGCAGCGTTCTGAGAATCATCTTTGTGATGTTTGTATTCAGGACACAGAGATGAACATTCCCTATCATAGAGCAGGTTGGAATCACTCCTTTTGTAGTATCCGGAAGTGGACATTTGGAGCGCTTTCAGTCCTATGTTGAAAAAGGAAATATCTTCCCATAACAACTAGACACAAGCATTCTCAGAAACTTGTTTGTGATGTGTGCCCTCTACTGACAGAGTTGAACCTTTCTTTTCATAGAGCAGTTTTGAAACACTCTTTTTGTAGAATCTGCAAGAGGATATTTGCATAGCTTTGAGGATTTCGTGGGAAACGGGATTGTCTTCAGGTAAAATCTAGACAGAAGCATTCTCAGAAACTTCTTTGGGATGTTTGCATTCAAGTCACAGAGTAGAACATTCCCTTTGGTAGAGCAGGTTTGAAACACTCTTTTTGTAGTATCTGGAAGTGGACATTTGCAGCACTTTCAGGCCCATGTTGGAAAGGGAAATATCTTCCCGTAACAACTAGGCAGAAGCATTCTCAGAAACTTATTTGAGATGTGTGTACTCAACTAAGAGAATTGAACCACCGTTTTGAAGGAGCAGTTTTGAAACACTCTTTTTCTGGAATCTGCAAGAGGATATTTGCCTAGCCTTGAGGATTTCGTTGGAAACGGGATTGTCTTCAGATCAAATCTAGACAGAAGCATTCTCAGAAACTTCTTTGGGATGTTTGCATTCAAGTCACAGAGTAGAACATTCCCTTTGGTAGAGCAGGTTTGAAACACTCTTTTTTTAGTATATGGAAGTGGACATTTTGATCGCTTTCAGGCCTACGTTGGAAAAGGAAATATCTTCCCATAACAACTAGACAGACAAGCATTCTCAGAAACTAGTTTCTGATGTGTGTCCTCAACTAACACAGTTGTACATTTCTTTAGACAGAACAGTTTTGAAACACTCTTTTTGTGGAATCTGCAAGTGGATATTGGGCTAGATTTGAGGATTTCGTTGGAAACGGGATTACATATAAAAAGCAGACAGCAGCATTCTCAGAAAGTTCTTTGTGATGATTGCATTCAAGTCACAGAATTGAACATTCCCTTTCACAGAGCAGGTTTGAAACACTCTTTTTGTAGTGTGTGTAAGTGGACATTTGGAGCGCTTTCCGGCCTAAGGTGAAAAAGGAAATATCTTCCCATAAAAACTAGACAGAAGCATTCTCAGAAACTTACTCGTGATGTGTGTCCTCAACTAAAGGAGTAGAACCTTTCTTTCGTAGAGAAGTTTTGAAACGCTCTTTTTGTGGAATCTGCAAGTGGATATTTGGCTAGTTTGGAGGATTTCGTTGGAAGCGGGAATTCATACAAATTGCAGACTGCACCGTTCTCAGAAAAATCTTTGTGATGTCTGTATTCAGGACACAGAGTTGAACATTCCCTATCATAGAGCAGGTTGGAATCACTCCTTTTGTAGTATCTGGAAGTGGACATTTGGAGCGCTTTCAGGCCTATGTTGAAAAAGGAAATATCTTCCCATAACAACTAGGCAGAAGCATTCTCAGAAACTTATTTGAGATGTGTGTACTCAACTAAGAGAATTGAACCACCGTTTTGAAGGAGCAGTTTTGAAACTCTCTTTTTCTGGAATCTGCAAGTGGATATTTGGCTAGCTTTGGGGATTTCGCTGGAAGCGGGAATACATATAAAAAGCACACAGCAGCGTTCTGAGAAACTGCTTTCTGATGTTTGCATTCAAGTCAAAAGTTGAACACTCCCTTTCATAGAGCAGTCCTGAAACACCCCTTTTGTAGTATCTGGAACTGGACTTTTGGAGCGATTTCAGGGCTAAGGTGAAAAAGGAAATATCTTCCCATAAAAACTGGACAGAAGCATTCTCAGAAACTTGTTTATGCTGTATCTACTCAACTAACAAAGTTGAACCTTTCTTTTGATAGAGCAGTTTTGAAATGCTCTTTCTGTGGAATCTGCAAGTGGATATTTGGCTAGTTTTGAGGATTTCGTTGGAAGCGGGAATTCATACAAATTGCAGACTGCAGCGTTCTGAGAAACATCTTTGTGATGTTTGTATTCAGGACACAGAGTTGAACATTCCCTATCATAGAGCAGGTTGGAATCACTCCTTTTGTAGTATCTGGAAGTGGACATTTGGAGCGCTTTCAGGCCTATTTTGGAAAGGGAAATATCTTCCCGTAACAACTATGCAGAAGCATTCTCAGAAACTTATTTGAGATGTGTGTACTCAACTAAGAGAATTGAACCACCGTTTTGAAGGACCAGTTTTGAAACACTCTTTTTCTGGAATCTGCTAGAGGATATTTGCCTAGCTTTGAGGATTTCGTTGGAAACGGGATTGTCTTCAGATAAAATCTAGACAGAAGCATTCTCAGAAACTTCTTTGGGATGTTTGCATTCAAGTCACAGAGTAGAACATTCCCTTTGGTAGAGCAGGTTTGAAACACTCTTTTTGTAGTATCTGGAAGTGGACATTTGGAGCGCTTTCAGGCCTATGTTGGAAAGGGAAATATCTTCCCGTAACAACTAGGCAGAAGCATTCTCAGAAACTTATTTGAGATGTGTGGACTCAACTAAGAGAATTGAACCACCGTTTTGAAGGAGCAGTTTTGAAACACTCTTTTTCTGGAATCTGCAAGAGTATATTTGCCTAGCCTTGAGGATTTCGTTGGAAACGGGATTGTCTTCAGATAAAATCTAGACAGAAGCATTCTCAGAAACTTCTTTGGGATGTTTGCATTCAAGTCACAGAGTAGAACATTCCCTTTGGTACAGCAGGTTTGAAACACTCTTTTTTTTGGATATGGAAGGACATTTGGAGCGCTTTCAGGCCTACGTTGGAAAAGGAAATATCTTCCCATAACAACTAGACAGAAGCATTCTCAGAAACTAGTTTCTGATGTGTGTCCTCAACTAACACAGTTGAACTTTTCTTTAGACAGAACAGTTTTGAAACACTCTTTTTGTGGAATCTGCAAGTGGATATTTGGCTAGATTTGAGGATTTCGTTGGAAACGGGATTACATATAAAAAGCAGACAGCAGCATTCTCAGAAAGTTCTTTGTGATGATTGCATTCAAGTCACAGAATTGAACATTCCCTTTCACAGAGCAGGTTTGAAACACTCTTTTTGTAGTGTGTGTAAGTGGACATTTGGAGCACTTTCCGGCCTAAGGTGAAAAAGGAAATATCTTCCCATAAAAACTAGACAGAAGCATTCTCAGAAACTTACTCGTGATGTGTGTCCTCAACTAAAGGAGTAGAACCTTTCTATTCGTAGAGAAGTTTTGAAATGCTCTTTTTGTGGAATCTCCAAGTGGATATTTGGCTAGTTTTGAGGATTTCGTTGGAAGCGGGAATTCATACAAATTGCAGACTGCAGCGTTCTGAGAAACATCTTTGTGATGTTTGTATTCAGGACACAGAGTTGAACATTCCCTATCATAGAGCAGGTTGGAATCACTCCTTTTGTAGTATCTGGAAGTGGACATTTGGAGCGCTTTCAGGCCTATGTTGGAAAAGGAAATATCTTCCCATAACAACTAGACAGAAGCATTCCCAGAAACTTATTTGAGATGTGTGTACTCAACTAAGAGAATTGAACCACCGTTTTGAAGGAGCAGTTTGGAAACACTCTTTTTCTGGAATCTGCAAGTGGATATTTGGCTAGCTTTGGGGATTTCGCTGGAAGCGGGAATACATATAAAAAGCACACAGCAGCGTTCTGAGAAACTGCTTTCTGATGTTTGCATTCAAGTCAAAAGTTGAACACTCCCTTTCATAGAGCAGTCTTGAAACACCCCTTTTGTAGTATCTGGAACTGGACTTTTGGAGCGATTTCAGGGCTAAGGTGAAAAAGGAAATATCTTCCCATAAAAACTGGACAGAAGCATTCTCAGAAACTTGTTTATGCTGTATCTACTCAACTAACAAAGTTGAACCTTTCTTTTGATAGAGCAGTTTTGAAATGCTCTTTTTGTGGAATCTGCAAGTGGATATTTGGCTAGTTTTGAGGATTTCGTTGGAAGCGGGAATTCATACAAATTGCAGACTGCAGCGTTCTGAGAAACATCTTTGTGATGTTTGTATTCAGGACACAGAGTTGAACATTCCCTATCATAGAGCAGGTTGGAATCACTCCTTTTGTAGTATCTGGAAGTGGACATTTGGAGCGCTTTCAGGCCTATTTTGGAAAGGGAAATATCTTCCCGTAACAACTATGCAGAAGCATTCTCAGAAACTTGTTTGTGATGTGTGCCCTCTACTGACAGAGTTGAACCTTTCTTTTCATAGAGCAGTTTTGAAACACTCGTTTTGTAGAATCTGCAAGAGGATATTTGCATAGCTTTGAGGATTTCGTGGGAAACGGGATTGTCTTCAGGTAAAATCTAGACAGAAGCATTCTCAGAAACTTCTTTGGGATGTTTGCATTCAAGTCACAGAGTAGAACATTCCCTTTGGTAGAGCAGGTTTGAAACACTCTTTTTGTAGTATCTGGAAGTGGACATTTGGAGCGCTTTCAGGCCTATGTTGGAAAGGGAAATATCTTCCCGTAACAACTAGGCAGAAGCATTCTCAGAAACTTATTTGAGATGTGTGTACTCAACTAAGAGAATTGAACCACCGTTTTGAAGGAGCAGTTTTGAAACACTCTTTTTCTGGAATCTGCAAGAGTATATTTGCCTAGCCTTGAGGATTTCGTTGGAAACGGGATTGTCTTCAGAGAAAATCTAGACAGAAGCATTCTCAGAAACTTCTTTGGGATGTTTGCATTCAAGTCACAGAGTAGAACATTCCCTTTGGTAGAGCAGGTTTGAAACACTCTTTTTTTAGTATATGGAAGTGGACATTTGGAGCGCTTTCAGGCCTACGTTGGAAAAGGAAATATCTTCCCATAACAACTAGACAGAAGCATTCTCAGAAACTAGTTTCTGATGTGTGTCCTCAACTAACACAGTTGTACATTTCTTTAGACAGAACAGTTTTGAAACACTCTTTTTGTGGAATCTGCAAGTGGATATTGGGCTAGATTTGAGGATTTCGTTGGAAACGGGATTACATATAAAAAGCAGTCAGCAGCATTCTCAGAAAGTTCTTTATGATGATTGCATTCAAGTCACAGAATTGAACATTCCCTTTCACAGAGCAGGTTTGAAACACTCTTTTTGTAGTGTGTGTAAGTGGACATTTGGAGCGCTTTCCGGCCTAAGGTGAAAAAGGACGTATCTTCCCATAAAAACTAGACAGAAGCATTCTCAGAAACTTACTCGTGATATGTGTCCTCAACTAAAGGAGTAGAACCTTTCTATTCATAGAGAAGTTTTGAAACGCTCTTTTTGTGGAATCTCCAAGTGGATATTTGGCTAGTTTTGAGGATTTCGTTGGAAGCGGGAATTCATCCAAATTGCAGACTGCAGCGTTCTGAGGAACATCTTTGTGATGTTTGTATTCAGGACACAGAGATGAACATTCCCTATCATAGAGCAGGTTGGAATCACTCCTTTTGTACTATCTGGAAGTGGACATTTGGAGCGCTTTCAGGCCTATGTTGAAAAAGGAAATATCTTCCCATAACAACTAGACACAAGCATTCTCAGAAACTTATTTGAGATGTGTGTACTCAACTAAGAGAATTGAACCACCGTTTTGAAGGAGCAGTTTTGAAACTCTCTTTTTCTGGAATCTGCAAGTGGATATTTGGCTAGCTTTGGGGATTTCGCTGGAAGCGGGAATACATATAAAAAGCACACAGCAGCGTTCTGAGAAACTGCTTTCTGATGTTTGCATTCAAGTCAAAAGTTGAACACTCCCTTTCATAGAGCAGTCTTGAAACACCCCTTTTGTAGTATCTGGAACTGGACTTTTGGAGCGATTTCAGGGCTAAGGTGAAAAAGGAAATATCTTCCCATAAAAACTGGACAGAAGCATTCTCAGAAACTTGTTTATGCTGTATCTACTCAACTAACAAAGTTGAACCTTTCTTTTGATAGAGCAGTTTTGAAATGGTCTTTTTGTGGAATCTGCAAGTGGATATTTGGCTAGTTTTGAGGATTTCGTTGGAAGCGGGAATTCATACAAATTGCAGACTGCAGCGTTCTGAGAAACATCTTTGTGATGTTTGTATTCAGGACAGAGAGTTGAACATTCCCTATCATAGAGCAGGTTGGAATCACTCCTTTTGTAGTATCTGGAAGTGGACATTTGGAGCGCTTTCAGGCCTATGTTGAAAAAGGGAATATCTTCCCATAACAACTAGACACAAGCATTCTCAGAAACTTGTTTGTGATGTGTGCCCTCTACTGACACAGTTGAACCTTTCTTTTCATAGAGCACTTTCGAAACACTCTTTTTGTAGAATCTGCAAGAGGATATTTGCATAGCTTTGAGGATTTCGTGGGAAACGGGATTGTCTTCAGAAAAAATCTAGACAGAAGCATTCTCAGAAACTTCTTTGGGGATGTTTGCATTCAAGTCACAGAGTAGAACATTCCCTTTGGTAGAGCAGGTTTGAAACACTCTTTTTGTAGTATCTGGAAGTGGACATTTGGAGCGCTTTCAGGCCCATGTTGGAAAGGGAAATATCTTCCCGTAACAACTAGGCAGAAGCATTCTCAGAAACTTATTTGAGATGTGTGTACTCAACTAAGAGAATTGAACCACCGTTTTGAAGGAGCAGTTTTGAAACACTCTTTTTCTGGAATCTGCAAGAGTATATTTGCCTAGCCTTGAGGATTTCGTTGGAAACGGGATTGTCTTCAGAGAAAATCTAGACAGAAGCATTCTCAGAAACTTCTTTGGGATGTTTGCATTCAAGTCACAGAGTAGAACATTCCCTTTGGTAGAGCAGGTGTGAAACACTCTTTTTTTAGTATATGGAAGTGGACATTTGGAGCGCTTTCAGGCCTACGTTGGAAAAGGAAATATCTTCCCATAACAACTAGACAGAAGCATTCTCAGAAACTAGTTTGTGATGTGTGTCCTCAACTAACACAGTTGAACATTTCTTTAGACAGAACAGTTTTGAAACACTCTTTTTGTGGATTCTGCAAGTGGATATTTGGCTAGATTTGAGGATTTCGTTGGAAACGGGATTACATATAAAAAGCAGACAGCAGCATTCTCAGAAACTTCTTTGTGATGATTGCATTCAAGTCACAGAATTGAACATTCCCTTTCACAGAGCAGGTTTGAAACACTCTTTTTGTAGTGTGTGTAAGTGGACATTTGGAGCGCTTTCCGGCCTAAGGTGAAGAAGGAAATATCTTCCCATAAAAACTAGACAGAAGCATTCTCAGAAACTTACTCGTGATGTGTGTCCTCAACTAAAGGAGTAGAACCTTTCTTTTCATAGAGAAGTTTTGAAACGCTCTTTTTGTGGAATCTGCAAGTGGATATTTGGCTAGTTTTGAGGATTTCGTTGGAAGCGGGAATTCATACAAATTGCAGACTGCAGCGTTCTGAGAAACATCTTTGTGATGTTTGTATTCAGGACACAGAGTTGAACATTCCCTATCATAGAGCAGGTTTGAATCACTCCTTTTGTAGTATCTGGAAGTGGACATTTGGAGCGCTTTCAGGCCTATGTTGGAAAAGGAAATATCTTCCCATAACAACAGACAGACAAGCATTCTCAGTAAACTTGTTTGAGATGTATGTACTCAACTAAGAGAATTGAACCACCGTTTTGAAGGAGCAGTTTTGAAACACTCTTTTTCCGGAATCTGCAAGTGGATATTTGGCTAGCTTTGGGGATTTCGCTGGAAACGGGAATACATATAAAAAGGACACAGCAGCGTTCTGAGAAACTGCTTTCTGATGTTTGCATTCAAGTCAAAAGTTGAACACTCCCTTTCATAGAGCAGTCCTGAAACACCCCTTTTGTAGTATCTGGAACTGGACTTTTGGAGCGATTTCAGGGCTAAGGTGAAAAAGGAAATATCTTCCCATAAAAACTGGACAGAAGCATTCTCAGAAACTTGTTTATGCTGTATCTACTCAACTAACAAAGTTGAACCTTTCTTTTGATAGAGCAGTTTTGAAATGGTCTTTTTGTGGAATCTGCAAGTGGATATTTGGCTAGTTTTGAGGATTTCGTTGGAAGCGGGAATTCATACAAATTGCAGACTGCAGCGTTCTGAGAAACATCTTTGTGATGTTTGTATTCAAGACACAGAGATGAACATTCCCTATCATAGAGCATGTTGGAATCACTCCTTTTGTAGTATCTGGAAGTGGACATTTGGAGCGCTTTCAGGCCTATGTTGAAAAAGGAAATATCTTCCCATAAAAACTAGACACAAGCATTCTCAGAAACTTGTTTGTGATGTGTGCCCTCTACTGACAGAGTTGAACCTTTCTTTTCATAGAGCAGTTTTGAAACACTCTTTTTGTAGAATCTGCAAGAGGATATTTGCATAGCTTTGAGGATTTCGTGGGAAACGGGATTGTCTTCAGGTAAAATCTAGACAGAAGCATTCTCAGAAACTTCTTTGGGATGTTTGCATTCAAGTCACAGAGTAGAACATTCCCTTTGGTAGAGCAGGTTTGAAACACTCTTTTTGTAGTATCTGGAAGTGGACATTTGGAGCGCTTTCAGGCCTATGTTGGAAAGGGAAATATCTTCCGGTAACAACTAGGCAGAAGCATTCTCAGAAACTTATTTGAGATGTGTGTACTCAACTAAGAGAATTGAACCACCGTTTTGAAGGAGCAGTTTTGAAACACTCTTTTTCTGGAATCTGCAAGAGTATATTTGCCTAGCCTTGAGGATTTCGTTGGAAACGGGATTGTCTTCAGAGAAAATCTAGACAGAAGCATTCTCAGAAACTTCTTTGGGATGTTTGCATTCAAGTCACAGAGTAGAACATTCCCTTTGGTAGAGCAGGTTTGAAACACTCTTTTTTTAGTATATGGAAGTGGACATTTGGAGCGCTTTCAGGCCTACGTTGGAAAAGGAAATATCTTCCCATAACAACTAGACAGAAGCATTCTCAGAAACTAGTTTCTGATGTGTGTCCTCAACTAACACAGTTGAACATTTCTTTAGACAGAACAGTTTTGAAACACTCTTTTTGTGGAATCTGCAAGTGGCTATTTGGCTAGATTTGAGGATTTCGTTGGAAACGGGATTACATATAAAAAGCAGTCAGCAGCATTCTCAGAAAGTTCTTTGTGATGATTGCATTCAAGTCACAGAATTGAACATTCCCTTTCACAGAGCAGGTTTGAAACACTCTTTTTGTAGTGTGTGTAAGTGGACATTTGGAGCACTTTCCGGCCTAAGGTGAAAAAGGAAATATCTTCCCATAAAAACTAGACAGAAGCATTCTCAGAAACTTACTCGTGATGTGTGTCCTCAACTAAAGGAGTAGAACCTTTCTTTTCATAGAGAAGTTTTGAAACGCTCTTTTTGTGGAATCTGCAAGTGGATATTTGGCTAGTTTTGAGGATTTCGTTGGAAGCGGGAATTCATACAAATTGCAGACTGCAGCGTTCTGAGAAACATCTTTGTGATGTTTGTATTCAGGACACAGAGTTGAACATTCCCTATCATAGAGCAGGTTGGAATCACTCCTTTTGTAGTATCTGGAAGTGGACATTTGGAGCGCTTTCAGGCCTATGTTGGAAAAGGAAATATCTTCCCATAACAACTAGACAGAAGCATTCTCAGAAACTTATTTGAGATGTGTGTACTCAACTAAGAGAATTGAACCACCGTTTTGAAGGAGCAGTTTTGAAACACTCTTTTTCTGGAATCTGCAAGTGGATATTTGGCTAGCTTTGGGGATTTCGCTGGAAGCGGGAATACATATAAAAAGCACACAGCAGCGTTCTGAGAAAACTGCTTTCTGATGTTTGCATTCAAGTCAAAAGTTGAACACTCCCTTTCATAGTGCAGTCCTGAAACACTCCTTTTGTAGTATCTGGAACTGGACTTTTGGAGCGCTTTCAGGGCTAAGGTGAAAAAGGAAATATCTTCCCATAAAAACTGGACAGAAGCATTCTCAGAAACTTGGTTATGCTGTATCTACTCAACTAACAAAGTTGAACCTTTCTTTTGATAGAGCAGTTTTGAAATGGTCTTTTTGTGGAATCTGCAAGTGGATATTTGGCTAGTTTTGAGGATTTCGTTGGAAGCGGGAATTCATACAAATTGCAGACTGCAGCGTTCTGAGAAACATCTTTGTGATGTTTGTATTCAGGACACAGAGTTGAACATTCCCTATCATAGAGCAGGTTGGAATCACTCCTTTTGTAGTATCTGGAAGTGGACATTTGGAGCGCTTTCAGGCCTATTTTGGAAAGGGAAATATCTTCCCGTAACAACTATGCAGAAGCATTCTCAGAAACTTGTTTGTGATGTGTGCCCTCTACTGACAGAGTTGAACCTTTCTTTTCATAGAGCAGTTTCGAAACACTCTTTTTGTAGAATCTGCAAGAGGATATTTGCATAGATTTGAGGATTTCGTGGGAAACGGGATTGTCTTCAGGTAAAATCTAGACAGAAGCATTCTCAGAAACTTCTCTGGGATGTTTGCATTCAAGTCACAGAGTAGAACATTCCCTTTGGTAGAGCAGGTTTGAAACACTCTTTTTGTAGTATCTGGAAGTGGACATTTGGAGCGCTTTCAGGCCCATGTTGGAAAGGGAAATATCTTCCCGTAACAACTAGGCAGAAGCATTCTCAGAAACTTATTTGAGATGTGTGTACTCAACTAAGAGAATTGAACCACCGTTTTGAAGGAGCAGTTTTGAAACACTCTTTTTCTGGAATCTGCAAGAGGATATTTGCCTAGCCTTGAGGATTTCGTTGGAAACGGGATTGTCTTCAGATCAAATCTAGACAGAAGCATTCTCAGAAACTTCTTTGGGATGTTTGCATTCAAGTCACAGAGTAGAACATTCCCTTTGGTAGAGCAGGTTTGAAACACTCTTTTTTTAGTATATGGAAGTGGACATTTGGAGCGCTTTCAGGCCTACGTTGGAAAAGGAAATATCTTCCCATAACAACTAGACAGAAGCATTCTCAGAAACTAGTTTCTGATGTGTGTCCTCAACTAACACAGTTGAACTTTTCTTTAGACAGAACAGTTTTGAAACACTCTTTTTGTGGAATCTGCAAGTGGATATTGGGCTAGATTTGAGGATTTCGTTGGAAACGGGATTACATATAAAAAACAGTCAGCAGCATTCTCAGAAAGTTCTTTGTGATGATTGCATTCAAGTCACAGAATTGAACATTCCCTTTCACAGAGCAGGTTTGAAACACTCTTTTTGTAGTGTGTGTAAGTGGACATTTGGAGCGCTTTCCGGCCTAAGGTGAAAAAGGAAATATCTTCCCATAAAAACTAGACAGAAGCATTCTCAGAAACTTACTCGTGATGTGTGTACTCAAGTAAAGGAGTAGAAACTTTCTTTTCATAGAGAAGTTTTGAAACGCTCTTTTTGTGGAATCTGCAAGTGGATATTTGGCTAGTTTTGAGGATTTCGTTGGAAGCGGGAATTCATACAAATTGCAGACTGCAGCGTTCTGAGAAACATCTTTGTGATGTTTGTATTCAGGACACAGAGTTGAACATTCCCTATCATAGAGCAGGTTTGAATCACTCCTTTTGTAGTATCTGGAAGTGGACATTTGGAGCGCTTTCAGGCCTATGTTGGAAAAGGAAATATCTTCCCATAACAAATAGACAGAAGCATTCTCAGAAACTTATTTGAGATGTGTGTACTCAACTAAGAGAATTGAACCACCGTTTTGAAGGAGCAGTTTTGAAACACTCTTTTTCTGGAATCTGCAAGTGGATATCTGGCTAGCTTTGGGGATTTCGCTGGAAGCGGGAATACATATAAAAAGCACACAGCAGCGTTCTGAGAAACTGCTTTCTGATGTTTGCATTCAAGTCAAAAGTTGAACACTCCCTTTCATAGAGCAGTCCTGAAACACCCCTTTTGTAGTATCTGGAACTGGACTTTTGGAGCGATTTCAGGGCTAAGGTGAAAAAGGAAATATCTTCCCATAAAAACTGGACAGAAGCATTCTCAGAAACTTGTTTATGCTGTATCTACTCAACTAACAAAGTTGAACCTTTCTTTTGATAGAGCAGTTTTGAAATGGTCTTTTTGTGGAATCTGCAAGTGGATATTTGGCTAGTTTTGAGGATTTCGTTGGAAGCGGGAATTCATACAAATTGCAGACTGCAGCGTTCTGAGAAACATCTTTGTGATGTTTGTATTCAGGACACAGCAGATGAACATTCCCTATCATAGAGCATGTTGGAATCACTCCTTTTGTAGTATCTGGAAGTGGACATTTGGAGCGCTTTCAGGCCTATGTTGAAAAAGGAAATATCTTCCCATAACAACTAGACACAAGCATTCTCAGAAACTTGTTTGTGATGTGTGCCCTCTACTGACAGAGTTGAACCTTTCTTTTCATAGAGCAGTTTTGAAACACTCTTTTTGTAGAATCTGCAAGAGGATATTTGCATAGCTTTGAGGATTTCGTGGGAAACGGGATTGTCTTCAGGTAAAATCTAGACAGAAGCATTCTCAGAAACTTCTTTGGGATGTTTGCATTCAAGTCACAGAGTAGAACATTCCCTTTGGTAGAGCAGGTTTGAAACACTCTTTTTGTAGTATCTGGAAGTGGACATTTGGAGCGCTTTCAGGCCTATGTTGGAAAGGGAAATATCTTCCCGTAACAACTAGGCAGAAGCATTCTCAGAAACTTATTTGAGATGTGTGTACTCAAGTAAGAGAACTGAACCACCGTTTTGAAGGAGCAGTTTTGAAACCCTCTTTTTCTGGAATCTGCAAGAGTATATTTGCCTAGCCTTGAGGATTTCGTTGGAAACGGGATTGTCTTCAGATAAAATCTAGACAGAAGCATTCTCAGAAACTTCTTTGGGTGTTTGCATTCAATTCATAGAGTAGAACATTCCCTTTGTTAGAGCAGGTTTGAAACACTCTTTTTTTAGTATATGGAAGTGGACATTTGGAGCGCTTTCAGGCCTACGTTGGAAAAGGAAATATCTTCCCATAACAACTAGACAGAAGCATTCTCAGAAACTAGTTTCTGATGTGTGTCCTCAACTAACACAGTTGTACATTTCTTTAGACAGAACAGTTTTGAAACACTCTTTTTGTGGAATCTGCAAGTGGCTATTTGGCTAGATTTGAGGATTTCTTTGGAAACGGGATTACATATAAAAAGCTGACAGCAGCATTCTCAGAAACTTCTTTGTGATGATTGCATTCAAGTCACAGAATTGAACATTCCCTTTCACAGAGCAGGTTTGAAACACTCTTTTTGTAGTGTGTGTAAGTGGACATTTGGAGCACTTTCCGGCCTAAGGTGAAAAAGGAAATATCTTCCCATAAAAACTAGACAGAAGCACTCTCAGAAACTTACTCGTGATGTGTGTCCTCAACTAAAGGAGTAGAACCTTTCTTTTCATAGAGAAGTTTTGAAACGCTCTTTTTGTGGAATCTGCAAGTGGATATTTGGCTAGTTTTGAGGATTTCGTTGGAAGCGGGAATTCATACAAATTGCAGACTGCAGCGTTCTGAGAAACATCTTTGTGATGTTTGTATTCAGGACACAGAGTTGAACATTCCCTATCATAGAGCAGGTTTGAATCACTCCTTTTGTAGTATCTGGAAGTGGACATTTGGAGCGCTTTCAGGCCTATGTTGGAAAAGGAAATATCTTCCCATAACAACTAGACAGAAGCATTCTCAGAAACTTATTTGAGATGTGTGTACTCAACTAAGAGAATTGAACCACCGTTTTGAAGGAGCAGTTTTGAAACACTCTTTTTCTGGAATCTGCAAGTGGATATTTGGCTAGCTTTGGGGATTTCGCTGGAAGCGGGAATACATATAAAAAGCACACAGCAGCGTTCTGAGAAACTGCTTTCTGATGTTTGCATTCAAGTCAAAAGTTGAACACTCCCTTTCATAGAGCAGTCCTGAAACACTCCTTTTGTAGTATCTGGAACTGGACTTTTGGAGCGCTTTCAGGGCTAAGGTGAAAAAGGAAATATCTTCCCATAAAAACTGGACAGAAGCATTCTCAGAAACTTGTTTATGCTGTATCTACTCAACTAACAAAGTTGAACCTTTCTTTTGATAGAGCAGTTTTGAAATGGTCTTTTTGTGGAATCTGCAAGTGGATATTTGGCTAGTTTTGAGGATTTCGTTGGAAGCGGGAATTCATACAAATTGCAGACTGCAGCGTTCTGAGAAACATCTTTGTGATGTTTGTATTCAGGACACAGAGTTGAACATTCCCTATCATAGAGCAGGTTGGAATCACTCCTTTTGTAGTATCTGGAAGTGGACATTTGGAGCGCTTTCAGGCCTATTTTGGAAAGGGAAATATCTTCCCGTAACAACTATGCAGAAAGCATTCTCAGAAACTTGTTTGTGATGTGTGCCCTCTACTGACACAGTTGAATCTTTCTTTTCATAGAGCAGTTTCGAAACACTCTTTTTGTAGAATCTGCAAGAGGATATTTGCATAGCTTTGAGGATTTCGTGGGAAACGGGATTGTCTTCAGGTAAAATCTAGACAGAAGCATTCTCAGAAACTTCTTTGGGATGTTTGCATTCAAGTCACAGAGTAGAACATTCCCTTTGGTAGAGCAGGTTTGAAACACTCTTTTTGTAGTGTGTGTAAGTGGACATTTGGAGCGCTTTCTGGCCTACGTTGGAAAAGGAAATATCTTCCCATAACAACTAGACAGAAGCATTCTCAGAAACTAGTTTCTGATGTGTGTCCTCAACTAACACCGTTGAACATTTCTTTAGACAGAACAGTTTTGAAACACGCTTTTTGTGGAATCTGCAAGTGGCTATTTGGCTAGATTTGAGGATTTCGTTGGAAACGGGATTACATATAAAAAGCAGACAGCAGCATTCTCAGAAACTTCTTTGTGATGATTGCATTCAAGTCACAGAATTGAACATTCCCTTTCACAGAGCAGGTTTGAAACACTCTTTTTGTAGTGTGTGTAAGTGGACATTTGGAGCACTTTCCGGCCTAAGGTGAAAAAGGAAATATCTTCCCATAAAAACTAGACAGAAGCATTCTCAGAAACTTACTCGTGATGTGTGCCCTCAACTAAAGGAGTAGAACCTTCCTTTTCATAGAGAAGTTTTGAAACGCTCTTTTTCTGGAATCTGCAAGTGGATATTTGGCTAGTTTTGAGGATTTCGTTGGAAGCGGGAATTCATACAAATTGCAGACTGCAGCGTTCTGAGAAACTGCTTTCTGATGTTTGCATTCAAGTCAAAAGTTGAACACTCCCTTTCATAGAGCAGTCCTGAAACACTCCTTTTGTAGTATCTGGAACTGGATTTTTGGAGCGCTTTCAGGGCTAAGGTGAAAAAGGAAATATCTTCCCATAAAAACTGGACAGAAGCATTCTCAGAAACTTGTTTATGCTGTATCTACTCAACTAACAAAGTTGAACCTTTCTTTTGATAGAGCAGTTTTGAAATGCTCTTTTTGTGGAATCTGCAAGTGGATATTTGGCTAGTTTTGAGGATTTCGCTGGAAGCGGGAATTCATACAAATTGCAGACTGCAGCGTTCTGTGAAACATCTTTGTGATGTTTGTATTCAGGACAGAGAGTTGAACATTCCCTATCATAGAGCAGGTTGGAATCACTCCTTTTGTAGTATCTGGAAGTGGACATTTGGAGCGCTTTCAGGCCTATGTTGAAAAAGGAAATATCTTCCCATAACAACTAGACACAAGCATTCTCAGAAACTTGTTTGTGATGTGTGCCCTCTACTGACAGAGTTGAACCTTTCTTTTCATAGAGCAGTTTTGAAACACTCTTTTTGTAGAATCTGCAAGAGGATATTTGCATAGCTTTGAGGATTTCGTGGGAAACGGGATTGTCTTCAGGTAAAATCTAGACAGAAGCATTCTCAGAAACTTCTTTGGGATGTTTGCATTCAAGTCACAGAGTAGAACATTCCCTTTGGTAGAGCAGGTTTGAAACACTCTTTTTGTAGTATCTGGAAGTGGACATTTGGAGCGCTTTCAGGCCCATGTTGGAAAGGGAAATATCTTCCCGTAACAACTAGGCAGAAGCATTCTCAGAAACTTATTTGAGATGTGTGTACTCAACTAAGAGAATTGAACCACCGTTTTGAAGGAGCAGTTTTGAAACACTCTTTTTCTGGAATCTGCAAGAGTATATTTGCCTAGCCTTGAGGATTTCGTTGGAAACGGGATTGTCTTCAGAGAAAATCTAGACAGAAGCATTCTCAGAAACTTCTTTGGGATGTTTGCATTCAAGTCACAGAGTAGAACATTCCCTTTGGTAGAGCAGGTTTGAAACACTCTTTTTTTAGTATATGGAAGTGGACATTTGGAGCGCTTTCAGGCCTACGTTGGAAAAGGAAATATCTTCCCATAACAACTAGACAGAAGCATTCTCAGAAACTAGTTTCTGATGTGTGTCCTCAACTAACACAGTTGAACATTTCTTTAGACAGAACAGTTTTGAAACACTCTTTTTGTGGAATCTGCAAGTGGCTATTTGGCTAGATTTGAGGATTTCGTTGGAAACGGGATTACATATAAAAAGCAGACAGCAGCATTCTCAGAAACTTCTTTGTGATGATTGCATTCAAGTCACAGCAATTGAACATTCCCTTTCACAGAGCAGGTTTGAAACACTCTTTTTGTAGTGTGTGTAAGTGGACATTTGGAGCACTTTCCGGCCTAAGGTGAAAAAGGAAATATCTTCCCATAAAAACTAGACAGAAGCATTCTCAGAAACTTACTCGTGATGTGTGTCCTCAACTAAAGGAGTAGAACCTTTCTTTTCATAGAGAAGTTTTGAAACGCTCTTTTTGTGGAATCTGCAAGTGGATATTTGGCTAGTTTTGAGGATTTCGTTGGAAGCGGGAATTCATACAAATTGCAGACTGCAGCGTTCTGAGAAACATCTTTGTGATGTTTGTATTCAGGACACAGAGATGAACATTCCCTATCATAGAGCAGGTTGGAATCACTCCTTTTGTAGTATCTGGAAGTGGACATTTGGAGCGCTTTCAGGCCTATGTTGAAAAAGGAAATATCTTCCCATAACAACTAGACACAAGCATTCTCAGAAACTTATTTGAGATGTGTGTACTCAACTAAGAGAATTGAACCACCGTTTTGAAGGAGCAGTTTTGAAACTCTCTTTTTCTGGAATCTGCAAGTGGATATTTGGCTAGCTTTGGGGATTTCGCTGGAAGCGGGAATACATATAAAAAGCACACAGCAGCGTTCTGAGAAACTGCTTTCTGATGTTTGCATTCAAGTCAAAAGTTGAACACTCCCTTTCATAGAGCAGTCCTGAAACACTCCTTTTGTAGTATCTGGAACTGGACTTTTGGAGCGCTTTCAGGGCTAAGGTGAAAAAGGAAATATCTTCCCATAAAAACTGGACAGAAGCATTCTCAGAAACTTGTTTATGCTGTATCTACTCAACTAACAAAGTTGAACCTTTCTTTTGATAGAGCAGTTTTGAAATGCTCTTTTTGTGGAATCTGCAAGTGGATATTTGGCTAGTTTTGAGGATTTCGCTGGAAGCGGGAATTCATACAAATTGCAGACTGCAGCGTTCTGAGAAACATCTTTGTGATGTTTGTATTCAGGACAGAGAGTTGAACATTCCCTATCATAGAGCAGGTTGGAATCACTCCTTTTGTAGTATCTGGAAGTGGACATTTGGAGCGCTTTCAGGCCTATGTTGAAAAAGGAAATATCTTCCCATAACAACTAGACACAAGCATTCTCAGAAACTTGTTTGTGATGTGTGCCCTCTACTGACAGAGTTGAACCTTTCTTTTCATAGAGCAGTTTTGAAACACTCTTTTTGTAGAATCTGCAAGAGGATATTTGCATAGCTTTGAGGATTTCGTGGGAAACCGGATTGTCTTCAGGTAAAATCTAGACAGAAGCATTCTCAGAAACTTCTTTGGGATGTTTGCATTCAAGTCACAGAGTAGAACATTCCCTTTGGTAGAGCAGGTTTGAAACACTCTTTTTGTAGTATCTGGAAGTGGACATTTGGAGCGCTTTCAGGCCCATGTTGGAAAGGGAAATATCTTCCCGTAACAACTAGGCAGAAGCATTCTCAGAAACTTATTTGAGATGTGTGTACTCAACTAAGAGAATTCGAACCACCGTTTTGAAGGAGCAGTTTTGAAACACTCTTTTTCTGGAATCTGCAAGAGGATATTTGCCTAGCTTTGAGGATTTCGTTGGAAACGGGATTGTGTTCAGATCAAATCTAGACAGAAGCATTCTCAGAAACTTCTTTGGGATGTTTGCATTCAAGTCACAGAGTAGAACATTCCCTTTGGTAGAGCAGGTTTGAAACAC
This sequence comes from Homo sapiens, assembly GCF_000001405.40. Taxonomy (NCBI): domain Eukaryota; kingdom Metazoa; phylum Chordata; class Mammalia; order Primates; family Hominidae; genus Homo; species Homo sapiens. The sequence goes on from NC_000018.10 coordinate 20,295,164, forward strand.
TCTTTTTTTAGTATATGGAAGTGGACATTTGGAGCGCTTTCAGGCCTACGTTGGAAAAGGAAATATCTTCCCATAACAACTAGACAGAAGCATTCTCAGAAACTAGTTTCTGATGTGTGTCCTCAACTAACACAGTTGAACATTTCTTTAGACAGAACAGTTTTGAAACACTCTTTTTGTGGAATCTGCAAGTGGATATTTGGCTAGATTTGAGCATTTCGTTGGAAACGGGATTACATATAAAAAGCACACAGCGACATTCTCAGAAAGTTCTTTGTGATGATTGCATTCAAGTCACAGAATTGAACATTCCCTTTCACAGAGCAGGTTTGAAACACTCTTTTTGTACTGTGTGTAAGCGGACATTTGGAGCGCTTTCCGGCCTAAGGTGAAAAAGGAAATATCTTCCCACAAAAAGTAGACAGAAGCATTCTCAGAAACTTACTCGTGATGTGTGTACTCAACTAAAGGAGTAGAAACTTTCTTTTCATAGAGAAGTTTTGAAACGCTCTTTTTGTGGAATCTGCAAGTGGATATTTGGCTAGTTTTGAGGATTTCGTTGGAAGCGGGAATTCATACAAATTGCAGACTGCAGCGTTCTGAGAAACATCTTTGTGATGTTTGTATTCAGGACACAGAGTTGAACATTCCCTATCATAGAGCAGGTTGGAATCACTCCTTTTGTAGTATCTGGAAGTGGACATTTGGAGCGCTTTCAGGCCTATGTTGGAAAAGGAAATATCTTCCCATAACAAATAGACAGAAGCATTCTCAGAAACTTATTTGAGATGTGTGTACTCAACTAAGAGAATTGAACCACCGTTTTGAAGGAGCAGTTTTGAAACACTCTTTTTCTGGAATCTGCAAGTGGATATCTGGCTAGCTTTGGGGATTTCGCTGGAAGCGGGAATACATATAAAAAGCACACAGCAGCGTTCTGAGAAACTGCTTTCTGATGTTTGCATTCAAGTCAAAAGTTGAACACTCCCTTTCATAGAGCAGTCCTGAAACACTCCTTTTGTAGTATCTGGAACTGGACTTTTGGAGCGCTTTCAGGGCTAAGGTGAAAAAGGAAATATCTTCCCATAAAAACTGGACAGAAGCATTCTCAGAAACTTGTTTATGCTGTATCTACTCAACTAACAAAGTTGAACCTTTCTTTTGATAGAGCAGTTTTGAAATGGTCTTTTTGTGGAATCTGCAAGTGGATATTTGGCTAGTTTTGAGGATTTCGTTGGAAGCGGGAATTCATACAAATTGCAGACTGCAGCGTTCTGAGAAACATCTTTGTGATGTTTGTATTCAGGACACAGAGTTGAACATTCCCTATCATAGAGCAGGTTGGAATCACTCCTTTTGTAGTATCTGGAAGTGGACATTTGGAGCGCTTTCAGGCCTATTTTGGAAAGGGAAATATCTTCCCGTAACAACTATGCAGAAGCATTCTCAGAAACTTGTTTGTGATGTGTGCCCTCTACTGACAGAGTTGAACCTTTCTTTTCATAGAGCAGTTTTGAAACACTCTTTTTGTAGAATCTGCAAGAGGATATTTGCATAGCTTTGAGGATTTCGTGGGAAACGGGATTGTCTTCAGGTAAAATCTAGACAGAAGCATTCTCAGAAACTTCTTTGGGATGTTTGCATTCAAGTCACAGAGTAGAACATTCCCTTTGGTAGAGAAGGTTTGAAACACTCTTTTTGTAGTATCTGGAAGTGGACATTTGGAGCGCTTTCAGGCCTATGTTGGAAAGGGAAATATCTTCCCGTAACAACTAGGCAGAAGCATTCTCAGAAACTTATTTGAGATGTGTGTACTCAACTAAGAGAATTGAACCACCGTTTTGAAGGAGCAGTTTTGAAACACTCTTTTTCTGGAATCTGCAAGAGTATATTTGCCTAGCCTTGAGGATTTCGTTGGAAACGGGATTGTCTTCAGAGAAAATCTAGACAGAAGCATTCTCAGAAACTTCTTTGGGATGTTTGCATTCAAGTCACAGAGTAGAACATTCCCTTTGGTAGAGCAGGTTTGAAACACTCTTTTTTTAGTATATGGAAGTGGACATTTGGAGCGCTTTCAGGCCTACGTTGGAAAAGGAAATATCTTCCCATAACAACTAGACAGAAGCATTCTCAGAAACTAGTTTCTGATGTGTGTCCTCAACTAACACAGTTGAACATTTCTTTAGACAGAACAGTTTTGAAACACTCTTTTTGTGGAATCTGCAAGTGGCTATTTGGCTAGATTTGAGGATTTCGTTGGAAACGGGATTACATATAAAAAGCAGTCAGCAGCATTCTCAGAAAGTTCTTTGTGATGATTGCATTCAAGTCACAGAATTGAACATTCCCTTTCACAGAGCAGGTTTGAAACACTCTTTTTGTAGTGTGTGTAAGTGGACATTTGGAGTGCTTTCCGGCCTAAGGTGAAAAAGGACATATCTTCCCATAAAAACTAGACAGAAGCATTCTCAGAAACTTACTCGTGATGTGTGTCCTCAACTAAAGGAGTAGAACCTTTCTATTCATAGAGAAGTTTTGAAACGCTCTTTTTGTGGAATCTCCAAGTGGATATTTGGCTAGTTTTGAGGATTTCGTTGGAAGCGGGAATTCATACAAATTGCAGACTGCAGCATTCTCAGAAACTTGTTTATGCTGTATCTACTCAACTAACAAAGTTGAACCTTTCTTTTGATAGAGCAGTTTTGAAATGCTCTTTTTGTGGAATCTGCAAGTGGATATTTGGCTAGTTTTGAGGATTTCGTTGGAAGCGGGAATTCATACAAATTGCAGACTGCAGCGTTCTGAGAAACATCTTTGTGATGTTTGTATTCAGGACACAGAGTTGAACATTCCCTATCATAGAGCAGGTTGGGATCACTCCTTTTGTAGTATCTGGAAGTGGACATTTGGAGCGCTTTCAGGCCTATGTTGAAAAAGGAAAAATCTTCCCATAACAACTAGACAGAAGCATTCTCAGAAACTTCTTTGTGATGTGTGCCCTCTACTGACAGAGTTGAACCTTTCTTTTCATAGAGCAGTTTTGAAACACTCTTTTTGTAGAATCTGCAAGAGGATATTTGCATAGCTTTGAGGATTTCGTGGGAAACCGGATTGTCTTCAGGTAAAATCTAGACAGAAGCATTCTCAGAAACTTCTTTGGGATGTTTGCATTCAAGTCACAGAGTAGAACATTCCCTTTGGTAGAGCAGGTTTGAAACACTCTTTTTGTAGTATCTGGAAGTGGACATTTGGAGCGCTTTCAGGCCCATGTTGGAAAGGGAAATATCTTCCCGTAACAACTAGGCAGAAGCATTCTCAGAAACTTATTTGAGATGTGTGTACTCAACTAAGAGAATTGAACCACCGTTTTGAAGGAGCAGTTTTGAAACACTCTTTTTCTGGAATCTGCAAGAGGATATTTGCCTAGCCTTGAGGATTTCGTTGGAAACGGGATTGTCTTCAGATCAAATCTAGACAGAAGCATTCTCAGAAACTTCTTTGGGATGTTTGCATTCAAGTCACAGAGTAGAACATTCCCTTTGGTAGAGCAGGTTTGAAACACTCTTTTTTTAGTATATGGAAGTGGACATTTGGAGCGCTTTCAGGCCTACGTTGGAAAAGGAAATATCTTCCCATAACAACTAGACAGAAGCATTCTCAGAAACTAGTTTCTGATGTGTGTCCTCAACTAACACAGTTGAACATTTCTTTAGACAGAACAGTTTTGAAACACTCTTTTTGTGGAATCTGCAAGTGGATATTTGGCTAGATTTGAGGATTTCGTTGGAAACGGGATTACATATAAAAAGCAGACAGCAGCATTCTCAGAAAGTTCTTTGTGATGATTGCATTCAAGTCACAGAATTGAACATTCCCTTTCACAGAGCAGGTTTGAAACACTCTTTTTGTAGTGTGTGTAAGTGGACATTTGGAGCACTTACCGGCCTAAGGTGAAAAAGGAAATATCTTCCCATAAAAACTAGACAGAAGCATTCTCAGAAACTTACTCGTGATGTGTGTCCTCAACTAAAGGAGTAGAACCTTTCTTTTCATAGAGAAGTTTTGAAACGCTCTTTTTGTGGAATCTGCAAGTGGATATTTGGCTAGTTTTGAGGATTTCGTTGGAAGCGGGAATTCATACAAATTGCAGACTGCAGCGTTCTGAGAAACATCTTTGTGATGTTTGTATTCAGGACACAGAGTTGAACATTCCCTATCATAGAGCAGGTTTGAATCACTCCTTTTGTAGTATCTGGAAGTGGACATTTGGAGCGCTTTCAGGCCTATGTTGGAAAAGGAAATATCTTCCCATAACAACTAGACAGAAGCATTCTCAGAAACTTATTTGAGATGTGTGTACTCAACTAAGAGAATTGAACCACCGTTTTGAAGGAGCAGTTTTGAAACACTCTTTTTCTGGAATCTGCAAGTGGATATTTGGCTAGCTTTGGGGATTTCGCTGGAGGCGGGAATACATATAAAAAGCACACAGCAGCGTTCTGAGAAACTGCTTTCTGATGTTTGCATTCAAGTCAAAAGTTGAACACTCCCTTTCATAGAGCAGTCTTGAAACACCCCTTTTGTAGTATCTGGAACTGGACTTTTGGAGCGATTTCAGGGCTAAGGTGAAAAAGGAAATATCTTCCCATAAAAACTGGACAGAAGCATTCTCAGAAACTTGTTTATGCTGTATCTACTCAACTAACAAAGTTGAACCTTTCTTTTGATAGAGCAGTTTTGAAATGCTCTTTTTGTGGAATCTGCAAGTGGATATTTGGCTAGTTTTGAGGATTTCGTTGGAAGCGGGAATTCATACAAATTGCAGACTGCAGCGTTCTGAGAAACATCTTTGTGATGTTTGTATTCAGGACACAGAGTTGAACATTCCCTATCATAGAGCAGGTTGGAATCACTCCTTTTGTAGTATCTGGAAGTGGACATTTGGAGCGCTTTCAGGCCTATTTTGGAAAGGGAAATATCTTCCCGTAACAACTATGCAGAAGCATTCTCAGAAACTTGTTTGTGATGTGTGCCCTCTACTGACAGAGTTGAACCTTTCTTTTCATAGAGCAGTTTTGAAACACTCTTTTTGTAGAATCTGCAAGAGGATATTTGCATAGCTTTGAGGATTTCGTGGGAAACGGGATTGTCTTCAGGTAAAATCTAGACAGAAGCATTCTCAGAAACTTCTTTGGGATGTTTGCATTCAAGTCACAGAGTAGAACATTCCCTTTGGTAGAGCAGGTTTGAAACACTCTTTTTGTAGTATCTGGAAGTGGACATTTGGAGCGCTTTCAGGCCTATGTTGGAAAGGGAAATATCTTCCCGTAACAACTAGGCAGAAGCATTCTCAGAAACTTATTTGAGATGTGTGTACTCAACTAAGAGAATTGAACCACCGTTTTGAAGGAGCAGTTTTGAAACACTCTTTTTCTGGAATCTGCAAGAGTATATTTGCCTAGCCTTGAGGATTTCGTTGGAAACGGGATTGTCTTCAGAGAAAATCTAGACAGAAGCATTCTCAGAAACTTCTTTGGGATGTTTCTATTCAAGTCACAGAGTAGAACATTCTCTTTGGTAGAGCAGGTTTGAAACACTCTTTTTTTAGTATATGGAAGTGGACATTTGGAGCGCTTTCAGGCCTATGTTGGAAAAGGAAATGTCTTCCCATAACAACTAGACAGAAGCATTCTCAGAAACTAGTTTCTGATGTGTGTCCTCAACTAACACAGTTGAACATTTCTTTAGACAGAACAGTTTTGAAACACTCTTTTTGTGGAATCTGCAAGTGGCTATTTGGCTAGATTTGAGGATTTCGTTGGAAACGGGATTACATATAAAAAGCAGTCAGCAGCACTCTCAGAAAGTTCTTTGTGATGATTGCATTCAAGTCACAGAATTGAACATTCCCTTTCACAGAGCAGGTTTGAAACACTCTTTTTGTAGTGTGTGTAAGTGGACATTTGGAGCGCTTTCCGGCCTAAGGTGAACAAGGAAATATCTTCCCATAAAAACTAGACAGAAGCATTCTCAGAAACTTACTCGTGATGTGTGTCCTCAACTAAAGGAGTAGAACCTTTCTTTTCATAGAGAAGTTTTGAAACGCTCTTTTTGTGGAATCTGCAAGTGGATATTTGGCTAGTTTGGAGGATTTCGTTGGAAGCGGGAATTCATACAAATTGCAGACTGCAGCATTCTCAGAAACTTATTTGAGATGTGTGTACTCAACTAAGAGAATTGAACCACCGTTTTGAAGGAGCAGTTTTGAAACTCTCTTTTTCTGGAATCTGCAAGTGGATATTTGGCTAGCTTTGGGGATTTCGCTGGAAGCGGGAATACATATAAAAAGCACACAGCAGCGTTCTGAGAAACTGCTTTCTGATGTTTGCATTCAAGTCAAAAGTTGAACACTCCCTTTCATAGAGCAGTCCTGAAACACCCCTTTTGTAGTATCTGGAACTGGACTTTTGGAGCGATTTCAGGGCTAAGGTGAAAAAGGAAATATCTTCCCATAAAAACTGGACAGAAGCATTCTCAGAAACTTGTTTATGCTGTATCTACTCAACTAACAAAGTTGAACCTTTCTTTTGATAGAGCAGTTTTGAAATGCTCTTTTTGTGGAATCTGCAAGTGGATATTTGGCTAGTTTTGAGGATTTCGTTGGAAGCGGGAATTCATACAAATTGCAGACTGCAGCGTTCTGAGAAACATCTTTGTGATGTTTGTATTCAGGACACAGAGTTGAACATTCCCTATCATAGAGCAGGTTGGAATCACTCCTTTTGTAGTATCTGGAAGTGGACATTTGGAGCGCTTTCAGGCCTATGTTGAAAAAGGAAATATCTTCCCATAACAACTAGACACAAGCATTCTCAGAAACTTGTTTGTGATGTGTGCCCTCTACTGACAGAGTTGAACCTTTCTTTTCATAGAGCAGTTTTGAAACACTCTTTTTGTAGAATCTGCAAGAGGATATTTGCATAGCTTTGAGGATTTCGTGGGAAACGGGATTGTCTTCAGGTAAAATCTAGACAGAAGCATTCTCAGAAACTTCTTTGGGATGTTTGCATTCAAGTCACAGAGTAGAACATTCCCTTTGGTAGAGCAGGTTTGAAACACTCTTTTTGTAGTATCTGGAAGTGGACATTTGGAGCGCTTTCAGGCCCATGTTGGAAAGGGAAATATCTTCCCGTAACAACTAGGCAGAAGCATTCTCAGAAACTTATTTGAGATGTGTGTACTCAACTAAGAGAATTGAACCACCGTTTTGAAGGAGCAGTTTTGAAACACTCTTTTTCTGGAATCTGCAAGAGGATATTTGCCTAGCCTTGAGGATTTCGTTGGAAACGGGATTGTCTTCAGATCAAATCTAGACAGAAGCATTCTCAGAAACTTCTTTGGGATGTTTGCATTCAAGTCACAGAGTAGAACATTCCCTTTGGTAGAGCAGGTTTGAAACACCCTTTTTTTAGTATATGGAAGTGGACATTTGGAGCGCTTTCAGGTCTACGTTGGAAAAGGAAATATCTTCCCATAACAACTAGACAGAAGCATTCTCAGAAACTAGTTTCTGATGTGTGTCCTCAACTAACACAGTTGAACATTTCTTTAGACAGAACAGTTTTGAAACACTCTTTTTGTGGAATCTGCAAGTGGCTATTTGGCTAGATTTGAGGATTTCGTTGGAAACGGGATTACATATAAAAAGCAGTCAGCAGCATTCTCAGAAAGTTCTTTGTGATGATTGCATTCAAGTCACAGAATTGAACATTCCCTTTCACAGAGCAGGTTTGAAACACTCTTTTTGTAGTGTGTGTAAGTGGACATTTGGAGCACTTTCCGGCCTAAGGTGAAAAAGGAAATATCTTCCCATAAAAACTAGACAGAAGCGTTCTGAGAAGCTTCTTTCTGATGTTCGCATTCAAGTCAAAAGTTGAACACTCCCTTTCGTAGAGCAGTCTTGAAACTCCCCTTTTGTGGTATCTGGAAGTGGACATTTGGAGTGCTTTCAGGGCTAAGGTGAAAAAGGAAATATCTTCCCATAAAAACTGGACAGAAGCATTCTCAGAAACTTGTTTATGCTGTATCTACTCAGCTAACAAAGTTGAACCTTTCTTTTGATAGAGCAGTTTTGAAATGCTCTTTTTGTGGAGTCTGCAAGTGGATATTTGGCTAGTTTTGAGGATTTCGTTGGAAGCGGGAATTCATACAAATTGCAGACTGCAGCGTTCTGAGAAACATCTTTGTGATGTTTGTATTCAGGACACAGAGTTGAACATTCCCTATCATAGAGCAGGTTGGAATCACTCCTTTTGTAGTATCTGGAAGTGGCCATTTCGAGCGCTTTCAGGCCTATGTTGAAAAAGGAAATATCTTCCCATAACAAGTAGACACAAGCATTCTCAGAAACTTGTTGGTGATGTGTTTCCTCTACTGACAGAGTTGAACCTTTCTTTTCATAGAGCAGTTTCGAAACACTCTTTTTGTAGAATCTGCAAGAGGATATTTGCATAGCTCTGAGGATTTCGTGGGAAACGGGATTGTCTTCAGGTAAAATCTAGACAGAAGCATTCTCAGAAACTTCTTTGGGATGTTTGCATTCAAGTCACAGAGTAGAACATTCCCTTTGGTAGAGCAGGTTTGAAACACTCTTTTTGTAGTATCTGGAAGTGGACATTTGGAGCGCTTTCAGGCCCATGTTGGAAAGGGAAATATCTTCCCGTAACAACTAGGCAGAAGCATTCTCAGAAACTTATTTGAGATGTGTGTACTCAACTAAGAGAATTGAACCACCGTTTTGAAGGAGCAGTTTTGAAACACTCTTTTTCTGGAATCTGCAAGAGTATATTTGCCTAGCCTTGAGGATTTCGTTGGAAACGGGATTGTCTTCAGAGAAAATCTAGACAGAAGCATTCTCAGAAACTTCTTTGGGATGTTTGCATTCAAGTCACAGAGTAGAACATTCCCTTTGGTAGAGCAGGTTTGAAACACTCTTTTTTTAGTATATGGAAGTGGACATTTGGAGCGCTTTCAGGCCTACGTTGGAAAAGGAAATATCTTCCCATAACAACTAGACAGAAGCAATCTCAGAAACTAGTTTCTGATGTGTGTCCTCAACTAACACAGTTGTACATTTCTTTAGACAGAACAGTTTTGAAACACTCTTTTTGTGGAATCTGCAAGTGGATATTTGGCTAGATTTGAGGATTTCGTTGGAAACGGGATTACATATAAAAAGCAGTCAGCCAGCATTCTCAGAAAGTTCTTTGTGATGATTGCATTCAAGTCACAGAATTGAACATTCCCTTTCACAGAGCAGGTTTGAAACACTCTTTTTGTAGTGTGTGTAAGTGGACATTTGGAGCGCTTTCCGGCCTAAGGTGAAAAAGGAAATATCTTCCCATAAAAACTAGACAGAGCATTCTCAGAAACTTACTCGTGATGTGTGTCCTCAACTAAAGGAGTAGAACCTTTCTTTTCATAGAGAAGTTTTGAAACGCTCTTTTTGTGGAATCTGCAAGTGGATATTTGGCTAGTTTGGAGGATTTCGTTGGAAGCGGGAATTCATACAAATTGCAGACTGCAGCATTCTCAGAAACTTGTTTATGCTGTATCTACTCAACTAACAAAGTTGAACCTTTCTTTTGATAGAGCAGTTTTGAAATGCTCTTTTTGTGGAATCTGCAAGTGGATATTTGGCTAGTTTTGAGGATTTCGTTGGAAGCGGGAATTCATACAAATTGCAGACTGCAGCGTTCTGAGAAACGTCTTTGTGATGTTTGTATTCAGGACACAGAGTTGAACATTCCCTATCATAGAGAAGGCTGGAATCACTCCTTTTGTAGTATCTGGAAGTCGACATTTGGAGCGCTTTCAGGCCTATGTTGAAAAAGGAAATATCTTCCCATAACAACTAGGCAGAAGCATTCTCAGAAACTTGTTTGTGATGTGTGCCCTCTACTGACACAGTTGAACCTTTCTTTTCATAGAGCAGTTTCGAAACACTCTTTTTGTAGAATCTGCAAGAGGATATTTGCATAGCTTTGAGGATTTCGTGGGAAACGGGAATGTCTTCAGGTAAAATCTAGACAGAAGCATTCTCAGAAACTGCTTTGGGATGTTTGCATTCAAGTCACAGAGTAGAACATTCCCTTTGGTAGAGCAGGTTTGAAACACTCTTTTTGTAGTATCTGGAAGTGGACATTTGGAGCGCTTTCAGGCCTATGTTGGAAAGGGAAATATCTTCCCTTAACAACTAGGCAGAAGCATTCTCAGAAACTTATTTGAGATGTGTGTACTCAACTAAGAGAATTGAACCACCGTTTTGAAGGAGCAGTTTTGAAACCCTCTTTTTCTGGAATCTGCAAGAGTATATTTGCCTAGCCTTGAGGATTTCGTTGGAAACGGGATTGTCTTCAGATAAAATCTAGACAGAAGCATTCTCAGAAACTTCTTTGGGATGTTTGCATTCAAGTCACAGAGTAGAACATTCCCTTTGGTAGAGCAGGTTTGAAACACTCTTTTTTTAGTATATGGAAGTGGACATTTGGAGCGCTTTCAGGCCTACGTTGGAAAAGGAAATATCTTCCCATAACAACTAGACAGAAGCATTCTCAGAAACTAGTTTCTGATGTGTGTCCTCAACTAACACAGTTGAACTTTTCTTTAGACAGAACAGTTTTGAAACACTCTTTTTGTGGAATCTGCAAGTGGATATTTGGCTAGATTTGAGGATTTCGTTGGAAACGGGATTACATATAAAAAGCAGACAGCAGCATTCTCAGAAAGTTCTTTGTGATGATTGCATTCAAGTCACAGAATTGAACATTCCCTTTCACAGAGCAGGTTTGAAACACTCTTTTTGTAGTGTGTGTAAGTGGACATTTGGAGCACTTTCCGGCCTAAGGTGAAAAAGGAAATATCTTCCCTTAAAAACTAGACAGAAGCATTCTCAGAAACTTACTCGTGATGTGTGTCCTCAACTAAAGGAGTAGAACCTTTCTTTCATAGAGAAGTTTTGAAACGCTCTTTTTGTGGAATCTGCAAGTGGATATTTGGCTAGTTTGGAGGATTTCGTTGGAAGCGGGAATTCATACAAATTGCAGACTGCAGCATTCTCAGAAACTTGTTTATGCTGTATCTGCTCAACTAACAAAGTTGAACCTTTCTTTTGATAGAGCAGTTTTGAAATGCTCTTTTTGTGGAATCTGCAAGTGGATATTTGGCTAGTTTTGAGGATTTCGTTGGAAGCGGGAATTCGTACAAATTGCAGACTGCAGCATTCTCAGAAACTTATTTGAGATGTGTGTACTCAACTAAGAGAATTGAACCACCGTTTTGAAGGAGCAGTTTTGAAACACTCTTTTTCTGGAATCTGCAAGTGGATATTTGGCTAGCTTTGGGGATTTCGCTGGAAGCGGGAATACATATAAAAAGCACACAGCAGCGTTCTGAGTAAACTGCTTTCTGATGTTTGCATTCAAGTCAAAAGTTGAACACTCCCTTTCATAGAGCAGTCCTGAAACACCCCTTTTGTAGTATCTGGAACTGGACTTTTGGAGCGATTTCAGGGCTAAGGTGAAAAAGGAAATATCTTCCCATAAAAACTGGACAGAAGCATTCTCAGAAACTTGTTTATGCTGTATCTACTCAACTAACAAAGTTGAACCTTTCTTTTGATAGAGCAGTTTTGAAATGCTCTTTTTGTGGAATCTGCAAGTGGATATTTGGCTAGTTTTGAGGATTTCGCTGGAAGCGGGAATTCATACAAATTGCAGACTGCAGCGTTCTGAGAAACATCTTTGTGATGTTTGTATTCAGGACAGAGAGTTGAACATTCCCTATCATAGAGCAGGTTGGAATCACTCCTTTTGTAGTATCTGGAAGTGGACATTTGGAGCGCTTTCAGGCCTATGTTGAAAAAGGAAATATCTTCCCATAACAACTAGACACAAGCATTCTCAGAAACTTGTTTGTGATGTGTGCCCTCTACTGACAGAGTTGAACCTTTCTTTTCATAGAGCAGTTTTGAAACACTCTTTTTGTAGAATCTGCAAGAGGATATTTGCATAGCTTTGAGGATTTCGTGGGAAACGGGATTGTCTTCAGGTAAAATCTAGACAGAAGCATTCTCAGAAACTTCTTTGGGATGTTTGCATTCAAGTCACAGAGCAGAACATTCCCTTTGGTAGAGCAGGTTTGAAACACTCTTTTTGTAGTATCTGGAAGTGGACATTTGGAGCGCTTTCAGGCCTATGTTGGAAAGGGAAATATCTTCCCGTAACAACTAGGCAGAAGCATTCTCAGAAACTTATTTGAGATGTGTGGACTCAACGAAGAGAATTGAACCACCGTTTTGAAGGAGCAGTTTTGAAACACTCTTTTTCTGGAATCTGCAAGAGTATATTTGCCTAGCCTTGAGGATTTCGTTGGAAACGGGATTGTCTTCAGATAAAATCTAGACAGAAGCATTCTCAGAAACTTCTTTGGGATGTTTGCATTCAAGTCACAGAGTAGAACATTCCCTTTGGTAGAGCAGGTTTGAAACACTCTTTTTGTAGTATCTGGAAGTGGACATTTGGAGCGCTTTCAGGCCTACGTTGGAAAAGGAAATATCTTCCCATAACAACTAGACAGAAGCATTCTCAGAAACTAGTTTCTGATGTGTGTCCTCAACTAACACAGTTGAACTTTTCTTTAGACAGAACAGTTTTGAAACACTCTTTTTGTGGAATCTGCAAGTGGCTATTTGGCTAGATTTGAGGATTTCGTTGGAAACGGGATTACATATAAAAAGCAGTCAGCAGCATTCTCAGAAAGTTCTTTGTGATGATTGCATTCAAGTCACAGAATTGAACATTCCCTTTCACAGAGCAGGTTTGAAACACTCTTTTTGTAGTGTGTGTAAGTGGACATTTGGAGCACTTACCGGCCTAAGGTGAAAAAGGAAATATCTTCCCATAAAAACTAGACAGAAGCATTCTCAGAAACTTACTCGTGATGTGTGTCCTCAACTAAAGGAGTAGAACCTTTCTTTTCATAGAGAAGTTTTGAAACGCTCTTTTTGTGGAATCTGCAAGTGGATATTTGGCTAGTTTGGAGGATTTCGTTGGAAGCGAGAATTCATACAAATTGCAGACTGCAGCGTTCTGAGAAACATCTTTGTGATGTTTGTATTCAGGACACAGAGTTGAACATTCCCTATCATAGAGCAGGTTGGAATCACTCCTTTTGTAGTATCTGGAAGTGGACATTTGGAGCGCTTTCAGGCCTATGTTGGAAAAGGAAATATCTTCCCATAACAACTAGACAGAAGCATTCTCAGAAACTTATTTGAGATGTGTGTACTCAACTAAGAGAATTGAACCACCGTTTTGAAGGAGCAGTTTTGAAACTCTCTTTTTCTGGAATCTGCAAGTGGATATTTGGCTAGCTTTGGGGATTTCGCTGGAAGCGGGAATACATATAAAAAGCACACAGCAGCGTTCTGAGAAACTGCTTTCTGATGTTTGCATTCAAGTCAAAAGTTGAACACTCCCTTTCATAGAGCAGTCTTGAAACACCCCTTTTGTAGTATCTGGAACTGGACTTTTGGAGCGATTTCAGGGCTAAGGTGAAAAAGGAAATATCTTCCCATAAAAACTGGACAGAAGCATTCTCAGAAACTTGTTTAAGCTGTATCTACTCAACTAACAAAGTTGAACCTTTCTTTTGATAGAGCAGTTTTGAAATGCTCTTTTTGTGGGATCTGCAAGTGGATATTTGGCTAGTTTTGAGGATTTCGTTGGAAGCGGGAATTCATACAAATTTCAGACTGCAGCGTTCTGAGAAACATCTTTGTGATGTTTGTATTCAGGACAGAGAGTTGAACATTCCCTATCATAGAGCAGGTTGGAATCACTCCTTTTGTAGTATCTGGAAGTGGACATTTGGAGCACTTTCCGGCCTAAGGTGAAAAAGGAAATATCTTCCCATAAAAACTAGACAGAAGCATTCTCAGAAACTTGTTTGTGATGTGTGCCCTCTACTGACAGAGTTGAACCTTTCTTTTCATAGAGCAGTTTTGAAACACTCTTTTTGTAGAATCTGCAAGAGGATATTTGCATAGCTTTGAGGATTTCGTGGGAAACGGGATTGTCTTCAGGTAAAATCTAGACAGAAAGCATTCTCAGAAAATTCTTCGGGATGTTTGCATTCAAGTCACAGAGTAGAACATTCCCTTTGGTAGAGCAGGTTTGAAACACTCTTTTTGTAGTATCTGGAAGTGGACATTTGGAGCGCTTTCAGGCCTATGTTGGAAAGGGAAATATCTTCCCGTAACAACTAGGCAGAAGCATTCTCAGAAACTTCTTTGGGATGTTTGCATTCAAGTCACAGAGTAGAACATTCCCTTTGGTAGAGCAGGTTTGAAACACTCTTTTTTTAGTATATGGAAGTGGACATTTGGAGCGCTTTCAGGCCTACGTTGGAAAAGGAAATATCTTCCCATAACAACTAGACAGAAGCATTCTCAGAAACTAGTTTCTGATGTGTGTCCTCAACTAACACAGTTGAACATTTCTTTAGACAGAGCAGATTTGAAACACTCTCTTTGTGGAATCTGCAAGTGGATATTTGGCTAGATTTGAGGATTTCGTTGGAAACGGGATTACATATAAAAAGCAGACAGCAGCATTCTCAGAAACTTCTTTGTGATGATTGCATTCAAGTCACAGAATTGAACATTCCCTTTCACAGAGCAGGTTTGAAACACTCTTTTTGTAGTGTGTGTAAGTGGACATTTGGAGCGCTTTCCGGCCTAAGGTGAACAAGGAAATATCTTCCTATAAAAACTAGACAGAAGCATTCTCAGAAACTTACTCGTGATGTGTGTCCTCAACTAAAGGAGTAGAACCTTTCTTTTCATAGAGAAGTTTTGAAACGCTCTTTTTGTGGAATCTGCAAGTGGATATTTGGCTAGTTTTGAGGATTTCGTTGGAAGCGGGAATTCATACAAATTGCAGACTGCAGCATTCTCAGAAACTTATTTGAGATGTGTGTACTCAACTAAGAGAATTGAACCACCGTTTTGAAGGAGCAGTTTTGAAACACTCTTTTTCTGGAATCTGCAAGTGGATATTTGGCTAGCTTTGGGGATTTCGCTGGAAGCGGGAATACATATAAAAAGCACACAGCAGCATTCTCAGAAACTTATTTGAGATGTGTGTACTCAACTAAGAGAATTGAACCACCGTTTTGAAGGAGCAGTTTTGAAACTCTCTTTTTCTGGAATCTGCAAGTGGATATTTGGCTAGCTTTGGGGATTTCGCTGGAAGCGGGAATACATATAAAAAGCACACAGCAGCGTTCTGAGAAACTGCTTTCTGATGTTTGCATTCAAGTCAAAAGTTGAACACTCCCTTTCATAGAGCAGTCCTGAAACACTCCTTTTGTAGTATCTGGAACTGGACTTTTGGAGCGCTTTCAGGGCTAAGGTGAAAAAGGAAATATCTTCCCATAAAAACTGGACAGAAGCATTCTCAGAAATTTGTTTATGCTGTATCTACTCAACTAACAAAGTTGAACCTTTCTTTTGATAGAGCAGTTTTGAAATGCTCTTTTTGTGGAATCTGCAAGTGGATATTTGGCTAGGTTTGAGGATTTCGTTGGAAGCGGGAATTCATACAAATTGCAGACTACAGCGTTCTGAGAAACATCTTTGTGATGTTTGTATTCAGGACACAGAGAGGAACATTCCCTATCATAGAGCAGGTTGGAATCACTCCTTTTGTAGTATCTGGAAGTGGACATTTGGAGCGCTTTCAGGCCTATGTTGAAAAAGGAAATATCTTCCCATAACAACTAGACACAAGCATTCTCAGAAACTTGTTTGTGATGTGTGCCCTCTACTGACAGAGTTGAACCTTTCTTTTCATAGAGCAGTTTTGAAACACTCTTTTTGTAGAATCTGCAAGAGGATATTTGCATAGCTTTGAGGATTTCGTGGGAAACGGGATTGTCTTCAGGTAAAATCTAGACAGAAGCATTCTCAGAAACTTCTTTGGGATGTTTACATTCAAGTCACAGAGTAGAACATTCCCTTTGGTAGAGCAGGTTTGAAACCCTCTTTTTGTAGTATCTGGAAGTGGACATTTGGAGCGCTTTCTGGCCCATGTTGCAAAGGGAAATATCTTCCCGTAACAACTAGGCAGAAGCATTCTCAGAAACTTATTTGAGATGTGTGTACTCAACTAAGAGAATTGAACCACCGTTTTGAAGGAGCAGTTTTGAAACACTCTTTTTCTGGAATCTGCAAGAGGATATTTGCCTAGCCTTGAGGATTTCGTTGGAAACGGGATTGTCTTCAGATCAAATCTAGACAGAAGCATTCTCAGAAAGTTCTTTGGGATGTTTGCATTCAAGTCACAGAGTAGAACGTTCCCTTTGGTAGAGCAGGTTTGAAACACTCTTTTTTTAGTATATGGAAGTGGACATTTGGAGCGCTTTCAGGCCTACGTTGGAAAAGGAAATATCTTCCCATAACAACTAGACAGAAGCATTCTCAGAAACTAGTTTCTGATGTGTGTCCTCAACTAACACAGTTGAACTTTTCTTTAGACAGAACAGTTTTGAAACACTCTTTTTGTGGAATCTGCAAGTGGATATTTGGCTAGATTTGAGGATTTCGTTGGAAACGGGATTACATATAAAAAGCAGACAGCAGCATTCTCAGAAAGTTCTTTGTGATGATTGCATTCAAGTCACAGAATTGAACATTCCCTTTCACAGAGCAGGTTTGAAACACTCTTTTTGTAGTGTGTGTAAGTGGACATTTGGAGCGCTTTCCGGCCTAAGGTGAAAAAGGAAATATCTTCCCATAAAAACTAGACAGAAGCATTCTCAGAAACTTACTCGTGATGTGTGTCCTCAACTAAAGGAGTAGAACCTTTCTATTCATAGAGAAGTTTTGAAACGCTCTTTTTGTGGAATCTCCAAGTGGATATTTGGCTAGTTTTGAGGATTTCGTTGGAAGCGGGAATTCATACAAATTGCAGACTGCAGCGTTCTGAGAACTGCTTTCTGATGTTTGCATTCAAGTCAAAAGTTGAACACTCCCTTTCATAGAGCAGTCCTGAAACACTCCTTTTGTAGTATCTGGAACTGGACTTTTGGAGCGCTTTCAGGGCTAAGGTGAAAAAGGAAATATCTTCCCATAAAAACTGGACAGAAGCATTCTCAGAAACTTGTTTATGCTGTATCTACTCAACTAACAAAGTTGAACCTTTCTTTTGATAGAGCAGTTTTGAAATGCTCTTTTTGTGGAATCTGCAAGTGGATATTTGGCTAGTTTTGAGGATTTCGTTGGAAGCGGGAATTCATACAAATTGCAGACTGCAGCGTTCTGAGAAACATCTTTGTGATGTTTGTATTCAGGACAGAGAGTTGAACATTCCCTATCATAGAGCAGGTTGGAATCACTCCTTTTGTAGTATCTGGAAGTGGACATTTGGAGCGCTTTCAGGCCTATGTTGAAAAAGGAAATATCTTCCCATAACAACTAGACACAAGCATTCTCAGAAACTTGTTTGTGATGTGTGCCCTCTTGCTGACAGAGTTGAACCTTTCTTTTCATAGAGCAGTTTTGAAACACTCTTTTTGTAGAATCTGCAAGAGGATATTTGCATAGCTTCGAGGATTTCGTGGGAAACGGGATTGTCTTCAGGTAAAATCTAGACAGAAGCATTCTCAGAAACTTCTTTGGGATGTTTGCATTCAAATCACAGAGTAGAACATTCCCTTTGGTAGAGCAGGTTTGAAACACTCTTTTTGTAGTATCTGGAAGTGGACATTTGGAGCGCTTTCAGGCCTATGTTGGAAAGGGAAATATCTTCCCGTAACAACTAGGCAGAAGCATTCTCAGAAACTTATTTGAGATGTGTGTACTCAACTAAGAGAATTGAACCACCGTTTTGAAGGAGCAGTTTTGAAACACTCTTTTTCTGGAATCTGCAAGAGTATATTTGCCTAGCCTTGAGGATTTCGTTGGAAACGGGATTGTCTTCAGAGAAAATCTAGACAGAAGCATTCTCAGAAACTTCTTTGGGATGTTTGCATTCAAGTCACAGAGTAGAACATTCCCTTTGGTAGAGCAGGTTTGAAACACTCTTTTTTTAGTATATGGAAGTGGACATTTGGAGCGCTTTCAGGCCTACGTTGGAAAAGGAAATATCTTCCCATAACAACTAGACAGAAGCATTCTCAGAAACTAGTTTCTGATGTGTGTCCTCAACTAACACAGTTGCACATTTCTTTAGACAGAACAGTTTTGAAACACTCTTTTTGTGGAATCTGCAAGTGGCTATTTGGCTAGATTTGAGGATTTCGTTGGAAACGGGATTACATATAAAAAGCAGTCAGCAGCATTCTCAGAAAGTTCTTTGTGATGATTGCATTCAAGTCACAGAATTGAACATTCCCTTTCACAGAGCAGGTTTGAAACACTCTTTTTGTAGTGTGTGTAAGTGGACATTTGGAGCGCTTTCCGGCCTAAGGTGAAAAAGGACATATCTTCCCATAAAAACTAGACAGAAGCATTCTCAGAAACTTACTCGTGATGTGTGTCCTCAACTAAAGGAGTAGAACCTTTCTTTTCATAGAGAAGTTTTGAAACGCTCTTTTTGTGGAATCTGCAAGTGGATATTTGGCTAGTTTTGAGGATTTCGTTGGAAGCGGGAATTCATACAAATTGCAGACTGCAGCATTCTCAGAAACTTGTTTATGCTGTATCTACTCAACTAACAAAGTTGAACCTTTCTTTTGATAGAGCAGTTTTGAAATGCTCTTTTTGTGCAATCTGCAAGTGGATATTTGGCTAGTTTTGAGGATTTCGTTGGAAGCGGGAATTCATACAAATTGCAGACTGCAGCATTCTCAGAAACTTATTTGAGATGTGTGTACTCAACTAAGAGAATTGAACCACCGTTTTGAAGGAGCAGTTTTGAAACACTCTTTTTCTGGAATCTGCAAGTGGATATTTGGCTAGCTTAGGGGATTTCGCTGGAAGCGGGAATACATATAAAAAGCACACAGCAGCGTTCTGAGCAAACTTCTTTCTGATGTTCGCATTCAAGTCAAAAGTTGAACACTCCCTTTCATAGAGCAGTCTTGAAACTCCCCTTTTGTGGTATCTGGAAGTGGACATTTGGAGTGCTTTCAGGGCTAAGGTGAAAAAGGAAATATCTTCCCATAAAAACTGGACAGAAGCATTCTCAGAAACTTGTTTATGCTGTAACTACTCAGCTAACAAGTTGAACCTTTCTTTTGATAGAGCAGTTTTGAAATGCTCTTTTTGTGGAGTCTGCAAGTGGATATTTGGTTACTTTTGAGGATTTCTTTGGAAGCGGGAATTCATACAAATTGCAGACTGCAGCATTCTCAGAAACTTATTTGAGATGTGTGTACTCAACTAAGAGAATTGAACCACCGTTTTGAAGGAGCAGTTTTGAAACTCTCTTTTTCTGGAATCTGCAAGTGGATATTTGGCTAGCTTTGGGGATTTCGCTGGAAGCGGGAATACATATAAAA
Organism: Homo sapiens; assembly: GCF_000001405.40. NCBI lineage: Eukaryota > Metazoa > Chordata > Mammalia > Primates > Hominidae > Homo > Homo sapiens. Next base: position 20,314,727 of record NC_000018.10, read on the forward strand.
AGCACACAGCAGCGTTCTGAGAAACTGCTTTCTGATGTTTGCATTCAAGTCAAAAGTTGAACACTCCCTTTCATAGAGCAGTCTTGAAACACCCCTTTTGTAGTATCTGGAACTGGACTTTTGGAGCGATTTCAGGGCTAAGGTGAAAAAGGAAATATCTTCCCATAAAAACTGGACAGAAGCATTCTCAGAAACTTGTTTATGCTGTATCTACTCAACTAACAAAGTTGAACCTTTCTTTTGATAGAGCAGTTTTGAAATGCTCTTTTTGTGGAATCTGCAAGTGGATATTTGGCTAGTTTTGAGGATTTCGCTGGAAGCGGGAATTCATACAAATTGCAGACTGCAGCGTTCTGAGAAACATCTTTGTGATGTTTGTATTCAGGACACAGAGTTGAACATTCCCTATCATAGAGCAGGTTGGAATCACTCCTTTTGTAGTATCTGGAAGTGGACATTTGGAGCGCTTTCAGGCCTATTTTGGAAAGGGAAATATCTTCCCGTAACAACTATGCAGAAGCATTCTCAGAAACTTGTTTGTGATGTGTGCCCTCTACTGACAGAGTTGAACCTTTCTTTTCATAGAGCAGTTTTGAAACACTCTTTTTGTAGAATCTGCAAGAGGATATTTGCATAGCTTTGAGGATTTCGTGGGAAACGGGATTGTCTTCAGGTAAAATCTAGACAGAAGCATTCTCAGAAACTTCTTTGGGATGTTTGCATTCAAGTCACAGAGTAGAACATTCCCTTTGGTAGAGCAGGTTTGAAACACTCTTTTTGTAGTATCTGGAAGTGGACATTTGGAGCGCTTTCAGGCCCATGTTGGAAAGGGAAATATCTTCCCGTAACAACTAGGCAGAAGCATTCTCAGAAACTTATTTGAGATGTGTGGACTCAACTAAGAGAATTGAACCACCGTTTTGAAGGAGCAGTTTTGAAACACTCTTTTTCTGGAATCTGCAAGAGTATATTTGCCTAGCCTTGAGGATTTCGTTGGAAACGGGATTGTCTTCAGATCAAATCTAGACAGAAGCATTCTCAGAAACTTCTTTGGGATGTTTGCATTCAAGTCACAGAGTAGAACATTCTCTTTGGTAGAGCAGGTTTGAAACACTCTTTTTTTAGTATCTGGAAGTGGACATTTGGAGCGCTTTCAGGCCTACGTTGGAAAAGGAAATATCTTCCCATAACAACTAGACAGAAGCATTCTCAGAAACTAGTTTCTGATGTGTGTCCTCAACTAACACAAGTTGAACATTTCTTTAGACAGAACAGTTTTGAAACACTCTTTTTGTGGAATCTGCAAGTGGCTATTTGGCTAGATTTGAGGATTTCGTTGGAAACGGGATTACATATAAAAAGCAGTCAGCGGCATTCTCAGAAAGTTCTTTGTGATGATTGCATTCAAGTCACAGAATTGAACATTCCCTTTCACAGAGCAGGTTTGAAACACTCTTTTTGTAGTGTGTGTAAGTGGACATTTGGAGCACTTACCGGCCTAAGGTGAAAAAGGAAATAATCTTCCCATAAAAACTAGACAGAAGCATTCTCAGAAACTTACTCGTGATGTGTGTCCTCAACTAAAGGAGTAGAACCTTTCTATTCATAGAGAAGTTTTGAAACGCTCTTTTTGTGGAATCTCCAAGTGGATATTTGGCTAGTTTTGAGGATTTCGTTGGAAGCGGGAATTCATACAAATTGCAGACTGCAGCGTTCTGAGAAACTGCTTTCTGATGTTTGCATTCAAGTCAAAAGTTGAACACTCCCTTTCATAGAGCAGTCCTGAAACACCCCTTTTGTAGTATCTGGAACTGGACTTTTGGAGCGATTTCAGGGCTAAGGTGAAAAAGGAAATATCTTCCCATAAAAACTGGACAGAAGCATTCTCAGAAACTTGTTTATGCTGTATCTACTCAACTAACAAAGTTGAACCTTTCTTTTGATAGAGCAGTTTTGAAATGCTCTTTTTGTGGAATCTGCAAGTGGATATTTGGCTAGTTTGGAGGATTTCGTTGGAAGCGGGAATTCATACAAATTGCAGACTGCAGCGTTCTGAGAAACATCTTTGTGATGTTTGTATTCAGGACAGAGAGTTGAACATTCCCTATCATAGAGCAGGTTGGAATCACTCCTTTTGTAGTATCTGGAAGTGGACATTTGGAGCGCTTTCAGGCCTATGTTGAAAAAGGAAATATCTTCCCATAACAACTAGACACAAGCATTCTCAGAAACTTGTTTGTGATGTGTGCCCTCTACTGACAGAGTTGAACCTTTCTTTTCATAGAGCAGTTTTGAAACACTCTTTTTGTAGAATCTGCAAGAGGATATTTGCATAGCTTTGAGGATTTCGTGGGAAACGGGATTGTCTTCAGGTAAAATCTAGACAGAAGCATTCTCAGAAACTTCTTTGGGATGTTTGCATTCAAGTCACAGAGTAGAACATTCCCTTTGGTAGAGCAGGTTTGAAACACTCTTTTTGTAGTATCTGGAAGTGGACATTTGGAGCGCTTTCAGGCCCATGTTGGAAAGGGAAATATCTTCCCGTAACAACTAGGCAGAAGCATTCTCAGAAACTTATTTGAGATGTGTGTACTCAACTAAGAGAATTGAACCACCGTTTTGAAGGAGCAGTTTTGAAACACTCTTTTTCTGGAATCTGCAAGAGTATATTTGCCTAGCCTTGAGGATTTCGTTGGAAACGGGATTGTCTTCAGATAAAATCTAGACAGAAGCATTCTCAGAAACTTCTTTGGGATGTTTGCATTCAAGTCACAGAGTAGAACATTCCCTTTGGTAGAGCAGGTTTGAAACACTCTTTTTTTAGTATATGGAAGTGGACATTTGGATCGCTTTCAGGCCTACGTTGGAAAAGGAAATATCTTCCCATAACAACTAGACAGAAGCATTCTCAGAAACTAGTTTCTGATGTGTGTCCTCAACTAACACAGTTGAACATTTCTTTAGACAGAACAGTTTTGAAACACTCTTTTTGTGGAATCTGCAAGTGGCTATTTGGCTAGATTTGAGGATTTCGTTGGAAACGGGATTACATATAAAAAGCAGTCAGCAGCATTCTCAGAAAGTTCTTTGTGATGATTGCATTCAAGTCACAGAATTGAACATTCCCTTTCACAGAGCAGTTTTGAAACCCTCTTTTTGTAGTGTGTGTAAGTGGACATTTGGAGCGCTTTCCGGCCTCAGGTGAAAAAGGAAATATCTTCCCATAAAAACTAGACAGAAGCATTCTCAGAAACTTACTCGTGATGTGTGTCCTCAACTAAAGGAGTAGAACATTTCTATTCATAGAGAAGTTTTGAAACGCTCTTTTTGTGGAATCTCCAAGTGGATATTTGGCTAGTTTTGAGGATTTCGTTGGAAGCGGGAATTCATACAAATTGCAGACTGCAGCGTTCTGAGAATCATCTTTGTGATGTTTGTATTCAGGACACAGAGATGAACATTCCCTATCATAGAGTAGGTTGGAATCACTCCTTTTGTAGTATCTGGAAGTGGACATTTGGAGCGCTTTCAGTCCTATGTTGAAAAAGGAAATATCTTCCCATAACAACTAGACACAAGCATTCTCAGAAACTTATTTGAGATGTGTGTACTCAACTAAGAGAATTGAACCACCGTTTTGAAGGAGCAGTTTTGAAACTCTCTTTTTCTGGAATCTGCAAGTGGATATTTGGCTAGCTTTGGGGATTTCGCTGGAAGCGGGAATACATATAAAAAGCACACAGCAGCGTTCTGAGAAACTGCTTTCTGATGTTTGCATTCAAGTCAAAAGTTGAACACTCCCTTTCATAGAGCAGTCCTGAAACACTCCTTTTGTAGTATCTGGAACTGGACTTTTGGAGCGCTTTCAGGGCTAAGGTGAAAAAGGAAATATCTTCCCATAAAAACTGGACAGAAGCATTCTCAGAAACTTGTTTATGCTGTATCTACTCAACTAACAAAGTTGAACCTTTCTTTTGATAGAGCAGTTTTGAAATGGTCTTTTTGTGGAATCTGCAAGTGGATATTTGGCTAGTTTTGAGGATTTCGTTGGAAGCGGGAATTCATACAAATTGCAGACTGCAGCGTTCTGAGAAACATCTTTGTGATGTTTGTATTCAGGACAGAGAGTTGAACATTCCCTATCATAGAGCAGGTTGGAATCACTCCTTTTGTAGTATCTGGAAGTGGACATTTGGAGCGCTTTCAGGCCTATGTTGAAAAAGGAAATATCTTCCCATAACAACTAGACACAAGCATTCTCAGAAACTTGTTTGTGATGTGTTCCCTCTACTGACACAGTTGAACCTTTCTTTTCATAGAGCAGTTTTGAAACACTCTTTTTGTAGAATCTGCAAGAGGATATTTGCATAGCTTTGAGGATTTCGTGGGAAACGGGATTGTCTTCAGGTAAAATCTAGACAGAAGCATTCTCAGAAACTTCTTTGGGATGTTTGCATTCAAGTCACAGAGTAGAACATTCCCTTTGGTAGAGCAGGTTTGAAACACTCTTTTTGTAGTATCTGGAAGTGGACATTTGGAGCGCTTTCAGGCCCATGTTGGAAAGGGAAATATCTTCCCGTAACAACTAGGCAGAAGCATTCTCAGAAACTTATTTGAGATGTGTGTACTCAACTAAGAGAATTGAACCACCGTTTTGAAGGAGCAGTTTTGAAACACTCTTTTTCTGGAATCTGCAAGAGGATATTTGCCTAGCTTTGAGGATTTCGTTGGAAACGGGATTGTGTTCAGATCAAATCTAGACAGAAGCATTCTCAGAAACTTCTTTGGGATGTTTGCATTCAAGTCACAGAGTAGAACATTCCCTTTGGTAGAGCAGGTTTGAAACACTCTTTTTTTAGTATATGGAAGTGGACATTTGGAGCGCTTTCAGGCCTACGTTGGAAAAGGAAATATCTTCCCATAACAACTAGACAGAAGCATTCTCAGAAACTAGTTTCTGATGTGTGTCCTCAACTAACACAGTTGAACATTTCTTTAGACAGAACAGTTTTGAAACTCTCTTTTTGTGGAATCTGCAAGTGGCTATTTGGCTAGATTTGAGGATTTCGTTGGAAACGGGATTACATATAAAAAGCAGACAGCAGCATTCTCAGAAAGTTCTTTGTGATGATTGCATTCAAGTCACAGAATTGAACATTCCCTTTCACAGAGCAGGTTTGAAACACTCTTTTTGTAGTGTGTGTAAGTGGACATTTGGAGCGCTTTCCGGCCTAAGGTGAAAAAGGACATATCTTCCCATAAAAATTAGACAGAAGCATTCTCAGAAACTTACTCGTGATGTGTGTCCTCAACTAAAGGAGTAGAACCTTTCTTTTCATAGAGAAGTTTTGAAACGCTCTTTTTGTGGAATCTGCAAGTGGATATTTGGCTAGTTTGGAGGATTTCGTTGGAAGCGGGAATTCATACAAATTGCAGACTGCCAGCGTTCTGAGAAACTGCTTTCTGATGTTTGCATTCAAGTCAAAAGTTGAACACTCCCTTTCATAGAGCAGTCTTGAAACACCCCTTTTGTAGTATCTGGAACTGGAAATTTGGAGCGCTTTCAGGGCTAAGGTGAAAAAGGAAATATCTTCCCATAAAAACTGGACAGAGCATTCTCAGAAACTTATTTGAGATGTGTGTACTCAACTAAGAGAATTGAACCACCGTTTTGAAGGAGCAGTTTTGAAACACTCTTTTTCTGGAATCTGCAAGTGGATATTTGGCTAGCTTTGGGGATTTCGCTGGAAGCGGGAATACATATAAAAAGCACACAGCAGCGTTCTGAGGAAACTGCTTTCTGATGTTTGCATTCAAGTCAAAAGTTGAACACTCCCTTTCATAGAGCAGTCTTGAAACACCCCTTTTGTAGTATCGGGAACTGGACATTTGGAGCGCTTTCAGGGCTAAGGTGAAAAAGGAAATATCTTCCCATAAAAACTGGACAGAAGCATTCTCAGAAACTTGTTTATGCTGTATCTACTCTACTAAAAAAGTTGAACCTTTCTTTTGATAGAGCAGTTTTGAAATGCTCTTTTTGTGGAATCTGCAAGTGGATATTTGGCTAGTTTTGAGGATTTCGTTGGAAGCTGGAATACATACAAATTGCAGACTGCAGCGTTCTGAGAAACATATTTGTGATGTTTGTATTCAGGACACAGAGATGAACATTCCCTATCATAGAGCAGGTTGGAATTACTCCTTTTGTAGTATCTGGAAGTGGACATTTGGAGCGCTTTCAGGCCTATGTTGAAAAAGGAAATATCTTCCCATAACAACTAGACACAAGCATTCTCAGAAACTTGTTTGTGATGTGTGCCCTCTACTGACAGAGTTGAACCTTTCTTTTCATAGAGCAGTTTTGAAACACTCTTTTTGTAGAATCTGCAAAAGGATATTTGCATAGCTTTGAGGATTTCGTGGGAAACGGGATTGTCTTCAGGTAAAATCTAGACAGAAGCATTCTCAGAAACTTCTTTGGGATGTTTGCATTCAAGTCACAGAGTAGAACATTCCCTTTGGTAGAGCAGGTTTGAAACACTCTTTTTGTAGTATCTGGAAGTGGACATTTGGAGCGCTTTCAGGCCCATGTTGGAAAGGGAAATATCTTCCCGTAACAACTAGGCAGAAGCATTCTCAGAAACTTATTTGAGATGTGTGTACTCAACTAAGAGAATTGAACCACCGCTTTGAAGGAGCAGATTTGAAACACTCTTTTTCTGGAATATGCAAGAGTATATTTGCCTAGCCTTGAAGATTTCGTTGGAAACGGGATTGTCTTCAGATAAAATCTAGACAGAAGCATTCTCAGAAACTTCTTTGGGATGTTTGCATTCAAGTCACAGAGTAGAACATTCCCTTTGGTAGAGCAGGTTTGAAACACTCTTTTTTTAGTATATGGAAGTGGACATTTGGAGCGCTTTCAGGCCTACGTTGGAAAAGGAAATATCTTCCCATAACAACTAGACAGAAGCATTCTCAGAAACTAGTTTCTGATGTGTGTCCTCAACTAACACAGTTGAACATTTCTTTAGACAGAACAGTTTTGAAACACTCTTTTTGTGGAATCTGCAAGTGGCTATTTGGCTAGATTTGAGGATTTCGTTGGAAACGGGATTACATATAAAAAGCAGACAGCGGAATTCTCAGAAAGTTCTTTGTGATGATTGCATTCAAGTCACAGAATTGAACATTCCCTTTCACAGAGCAGGTTTGAAACACTCTTTTTGTAGTGTGTGTAAGCGGACATTTGGAGCGCTCTCCGGCCTAAGGTGAAAAAGGAAATATCTTCCCATAAAAACTAGACAGAAGCATTCTCAGAAACTTACTAGTGATGTGTGTACTCAACTAAAGGAGTAGAAACTTTCTTTTCATAGAGAAGTTTTGAAACGCTCTTTTTGTGGAATCTGCAAGTGGATATTTGGCTAGTTTTGAGGATTTCGTTGGAAGCGGGAATGCATACAAATTGCAGACTGCAGCGTTCTGAGAAACATCTTTGTGATGTTTATATTCAGGACACAGAGTTGAACATTCCCTATCATAGAGCAGGTTTGAATCACTCCTTTTGTAGTACCTGGAAGTGGACATTTGGAGCGCTTTCAGGCCTATGTTGGAAAAGGAAATATCTTCCCATAACAACTAGACAAAGCATTCTCAGAAACTTATTTGAGATGTGTGTACTCAACTAAGAGAATTGAACCACCGTTTTGAAGGAGCAGTTTTGAAACACTCTTTTTCTGGAATCTGCAATTGGATATTTGGCTAGCTTTGGGGATTTCGCTGGAAGCGGGAATACATATAAAAAGCACACAGCAGCGTTCTGAGAAACTGCTTTCTGATGTTTGCATTCAAGTCAAAAGTTGAACACTCCCTTTCATAGAGCAGTCCTGAAACACCCCTTTTGTAGTATCTGGAACTGGACTTTTGGAGCGATTTCAGGGCTAAGGTGAAAAAGGAAATATCTTCCCATAAAAACTGGACAGAAGCATTCTCAGAAACTTGTTTATGCTGTATCTACTCAACTAACAAAGTTGAACCTTTCTTTTGATAGAGCAGTTTTGAAATGGTCTTTTTGTGGAATCTGCAAGTGGATATTTGGCTAGTTTTGAGGATTTCGTTGGAAGCGGGAATTCATACAAATTGCAGACTGCAGCGTTCTGAGAAACATCTTTGTGATGTTTGTATTCAGGACACAGAGTTGAACATTCCCTATCATAGAGCAGGTTGGAATCACTCCTTTTGTAGTATCTGGAAGTGGACATTTGGAGCGCTTTCAGGCCTATTTTGGAAAGGGAAATATCTTCCCGTAACAACTATGCAGAAGCATTCTCAGCAAACTTGTTTGTGATGTGTGCCCTCTACTGACAGAGTTGAACCTTTCTTTTCATAGAGCAGTTTTGAAACACTCTTTTTGTAGAATCCGCAAGAGGATATTTGCATAGCTTTGAGGATTTCGTGGGAAACGGGATTGTCTTCAGGTAAAATCTAGACAGAAGCATTCTCAGAAACTTCTTTGGGATGTTTGCATTCAAGTCACAGAGTAGAACATTCCCTTTGGTAGAGCAGGTTTGAAACACTCTTTTTGTAGTATCTGGAAGTGGACATTTGGAGCGCTTTCAGGCCCATGTTGGAAAGGGAAATATCTTCCCGTAACAACTAGGCAGAAGCATTCTCAGAAACATATTTGAGATGTGTGTACTCAACTAAGAGAATTGAACCACCGTTTTGAAGGAGCAGTTTTGAAACACTCTTTTTCTGGAATCTGCAAGAGTATATTTGCCTAGCCTTGAGGATTTCGTTGGAAACGGGATTGTCTTCAGATAAAATGTAGACAGAAGCATTCTCAGAAACTTCTTTGGGATGCTTGCATTCAAGTCACAGAGTAGAACATTCCCTTTGGTAGAGCAGGTTTGAAACACTCTTTTTGTAGTATCTGGAAGTGGACATTTGGAGCGCTTTCAGGCCTACGTTGGAAAAGGAAATATCTTCCCATAACAACTAGACAGAAGCATTCTCAGAAACTAGTTTGTGATGTGTGTCCTCAACTAACACAGTTGTACATTTCTTTAGACAGAACAGTTTTGAAACACTCTTTTTGTGGAATCTGCAAGTGGATATTGGGCTAGATTTGAGGATTTCGTTGGAAACGGGATTACATATAAAAAGCAGACAGCAGCATTCTCAGAAAGTTCTTTGTGATGATTGCATTCAAGTCACAGAATTGAACATTCCCTTTCACAGAGCAGGTTTGAAACACTCTTTTTGTAGTGTGTGTAAGTGGACATTTGGAGCGCTTTCCGGCCTAAGGTGAAAAAGGAAATATCTTCCCATAAAAACTAGACAGAAGCATTCTCAGAAACTTACTCGTGATGTGTGTCCTCAACTAAAGGAGTAGAACCTTTCTTTTCATAGAGAAGTTTTGAAACGCTCTTTTTGTGGAATCTGCAAGTGGATATTTGGCTAGTTTTGAGGATTTCGTTGGAAGCGGGAATTCATACAAATTGCAGACTGCAGCGTTCTGAGAAACATCTTTGTGATGTTTGTATTCAGGACACAGAGTTGAACATTCCCTATCATAGAGCAGGTTGGAATCACTCCTTTTGTAGTATCTGGAAGTGGACATTTGGAGCGCTTTCAGGCCTATGTTGGAAAAGGAAATATCTTCCCATAACAACTAGACAGAAGCATTCTCAGAAACTTATTTGAGATGTGTGTACTCAACTAAGAGAATTGAACCACCGTTTTGAAGGAGCAGTTTTGAAACACTCTTTTTCTGGAATCTGCAAGTGGATATTTGGCTAGCTTTGGGGATTTCGCTGGAAGCGGGAATACATATAAAAAGCACACAGCAGCGTTCTGAGCAAACTGCTTTCTGATGTTTGCATTCAAGTCAAAAGTTGAACACTCCCTTTCATAGAGCAGTCTTGAAACACCCCTTTTGTAGTATCTGGAACTGGACATTTGGAGCGCTTTCAGGGCTAAGGTGAAAAAGGAAATATCTTCCCATAAAAACTGGACAGAAGCATTCTCAGAAACTTGTTTATGCTGTATCTACTCTACTAACAAAGTTGAACCTTTCTTTTGATAGAGCAGTTTTGAAATGCTCTTTTTGTGGAATCTGCAAGTGGATATTTGGCTAGTTTTGAGGATTTCGTTGGAAGCTGGAATTCATGCAAATTGCAGACTGCAGCGTTATGAGAAACATCTTTGTGATGTTTGTATTCAGGACACAGAGATGAACATTCCCTATCATAGAGCAGGTTGGAATCACTCCTTTTGTAGTATCTGGAAGTGGACATTTGGAGCGCTTTGAGGCCTATGTTGAAAAAGGAAATATCTTCCCATAACAACTAGACACAAGCATTCTCAGAAACTTGTTTGTGATGTGTGCCCTCTACTGACAGAGTTGAACCTTTCTTTTCATAGAGCAGTTTTGAAACACTCTTTTTGTAGAATCTGCAAGAGGATATTTGCATAGCTTTGAGGATTTCGTGGGAAACGGGATTGTCTTCAGGTAAAATCTAGACAGAAGCATTCTCAGAAACTTCTTTGGGATGTTTGCATTCAAGTCACAGAGTAGAACATTCCCTTTGGTAGAGCAGGTTTGAAACACTCTTTTTGTAGTATCTGGAAGTGGACATTTGGAGCGCTTTCAGGCCCATGTTGGAAAGGGAAATATCTACCCGTAACAACTAGGCAGAAGCATTCTCAGAAACTTATTTGAGATGTGTGTACTCAACTAAGAGAATTGAACCACCGTTTTGAAGGAGCAGTTTTGAAACCCTCTTTTTCTGGAATCTGCAAGAGTATATTTGCCTAGCCTTGAGGATTTCGTTGGAAACGGGATTGTCTTCAGATAAAATCTAGACAGAAGCATTCTCAGAAACTTCTTTGGGATGTTTGCATTCAAGTCACAGAGTAGAACATTCCCTTTGGTAGAGCAGGTTTGAAACACTCTTTTTTTAGTATATGGAAGTGGACATTTGGAGCGCTTTCAGGCCTACGTTGGAAAAGGAAATATCTTCCCATAACAACTAGACAGAAGCATTCTCAGAAACTAGTTTCTGATGTGTGTCCTCAACTAACACAGTTGAACATTTCTTTAGACAGAACAGTTTTGAAACACTCTTTTTGTGGAATCTGCAAGTGGCTATTTGGCTAGATTTGAGGATTTCGTTGGAAACGGGATTACATATAAAAAGCAGACAGCAGCATTCTCAGAAACTTCTTTGTGATGATTGCATTCAAGTCACAGAATTGAACATTCCCTTTCACAGAGCAGGTTTGAAACACTCTTTTTGTAGTGTGTGTAAGTGGACATTTGGAGCGCTTTCCGGCCTAAGGTGAACAAGGAAATATCTTCCCATAAAAACTAGACAGAAGCATTCTCAGAAACTTACTCGTGATGTGTGTCCTCAACTAAAGGAGTAGAACCTTTCTTTTCATAGAGAAGTTTTGAATCGCTCTTTTTGTGGAATCTGCAAGTGGATATTTGGCTACTTTGGAGGATTTCGTTGGAAGCGGGAATTCATACAAATTGCAGACTGCAGCGTTCTGAGAAACATCTTTGTGATGTTTGTATTCAGGACACAGAGTTGAACATTCCCTATCATAGAGCAGGTTGGAATCACTCCTTTTGTAGTATCTGGAAGTGGACATTTGGAGCGCTTTCAGGCCTATGTTGGAAAAGGAAATATCTTCCCATAACAACTAGACAGAAGCATTCTCAGAAACTTATTTGAGATGTGTGTACTCAACTAAGAGAATTGAACCACCGTTTTGAAGGAGCAGTTTTGAAACTCTCTTTTTCTGGAATCTGCAAGTGGATATTTGGCTAGCTTTGGGGATTTCGCTGGAAGCGGGAATACATATAAAAAGCACACAGCAGCGTTCTGAGAAACTGCTTTCTGATGTTTGCATTCAAGTCAAAAGTTGAACACTCCCTTTCATAGAGCAGTCTTGAAACACCCCTTTTGTAGTATCTGGAACTGGACTTTTGGAGCGATTTCAGGGCTAAGGTGAAAAAGGAAATATCTTCCCATAAAAACTGGACAGAAGCATTCTCAGAAACTTGTTTATGCTGTATCTACTCAACTAACAAAGTTGAACCTTTCTTTTGATAGAGCAGTTTTGAAATGGTCTTTTTGTGGAATCTGCAAGTGGATATTTGGCTAGTTTTGAGGATTTCGTTGGAAGCGGGAATTCATACAAATTGCAGACTGCAGCGTTCTGAGAAACATCTTTGTGATGTTTGTATTCAGGACACAGAGTTGAACATTCCCTATCATAGAGCAGGTTGGAATCACTCCTTTTGTAGTATCTGGAAGTGGACATTTGGAGCGCTTTCAGGCCTATTTTGGAAAGGGAAATATCTTCCCGTAACAACTATGCAGAAGCATTCTCAGAAACTTGTTTGTGATGTGTGCCCTCTACTGACAGAGTTGAACCTTTCTTTTCATAGAGCAGTTTTGAAACACTCTTTTTGTAGAATCTGCAAGAGGATATTTACATAGCTTTGAGGATTTCGTGGGAAACGGGATTGTCTTCAGGTAAAATCTAGACAGAAGCATTCTCAGAAACTTCTTTGGGATGTTTGCATTCAAGTCACAGAGTAGAACATTCCCTTTGGTAGAGCAGGTTTGAAACACTCTTTTTGTAGTATCTGGAAGTGGACATTTGGAGCGCTTTCAGGCCCATGTTGGAAAGGGAAATATCTTCCCGTAACAACTAGGCAGAAGCATTCTCAGAAACTTATTTGAGATGTGTGTACTCAACTAAGAGAATTGAACCACCGTTTTGAAGGAGCAGTTTTGAAACACTCTTTTTCTGGAATCTGCAAGAGTATATTTGCCTAGCCTTGAGGATTTCGTTGGAAACGGGATTGTCTTCAGATAAAATCTAGACAGAAGCATTCTCAGAAACTTCTTTGGGATTTTTGCATTCAAGTCACAGAGTAGAACATTCCCTTTGGTAGAGCAGGTTTGAAACACTCTTTTTTTAGTATATGGAAGTGGACATTTTGATCGCTTTCAGGCCTACGTTGGAAAAGGAAATATCTTCCCATAACAACTAGACAGAAGCATTCTCAGAAACTAGTTTCTGATGTGTGTCCTCAACTAACACAGTTGAACATTTCTATAGACAGAACAGTTTTGAAACACTCTTTTTGTGGAATCTGCAAGTGGTATTTGGCTAGATTTGAGGATTTCGTTGGAAACGGGATTACATATAAAAAGCAGTCAGCAGCATTCTCAGAAAGTTCTTTGTGATGATTGCATTCAAGTCACAGAATTGAACATTCCCTTTCACAGAGCAGGTTTGAAACACTCTTTTTGTAGTGTGTGTAAGTGGACATTTGGAACCCTTACCGGCCTAAGGTGAAAAAGGAAATATCTTCCCATAAAAACTAGACAGAAGCATTCTCAGAAGCTTACTCGTGATGTGTGTCCTCAACTAAAGGAGTAGAACCTTTCTTTTCATAGAGAAGTTTTGAAACGCTCTTTTTGTGGAATCTGCAAGTGGATATTTGGCTAGTTTGGAGGATTTCGTTGGAAGCGGGAATTCATACAAATTGCAGACTACAGCGTTCTGAGAAACATCTTTGTGATGTTTGTATTCAGGACACAGAGTTGAACATTCCCTATCATAGAGCAGGTTGGAATCACTCCTTTTGTAGTATCTGGAAGTGGACATTTGGAGCGCTTTCAGGCCTATGTTGGAAAAGGAAATATCTTCCCATAACAACTAGACAGAAGCATTCTCAGAAACTTATTTGAGATGTGTGTACTCAACTAAGAGAATTGAACCACCGTTTTGAAGGAGCAGTTTTGAAACACTCTTTTTCTGGAATCTGCAAGTGGATATTTGGCTAGCTTTGGGGATTTCGCTGGAAGCGGGAATACATATAAAAAGCACACAGCAGCGTTCTGAGAAACTGCTTTCTGATGTTTGCATTCAAGTCAAAAGTTGAACACTCCCTTTCATAGGGCAGTCCTGAAACACCCCTTTTGTAGTATCTGGAACTGGACTTTTGGAGCGATTTCAGGGCTAAGGTGAAAAAGGAAATATCTTCCCATAAAAACTGGACAGAAGCATTCTCAGAAACTTGTTTATGCTGTATCTACTCAACTAACAAAGTTGAACCTTTCTTTTGATAGAGCAGTTTTGAAATGGTCTTTTTGTGGAATCTGCAAGTGGATATTTGGCTAGTTTTGAGGATTTCGTTGGAAGCGGGAATTCATACAAATTGCAGACTGCAGCGTTCTGAGAAACATCTTTGTGATGTTTGTATTCAGGACACAGAGTTGAACATTCCCTATCATAGAGCAGGTTGGAATCACTCCTTTTGTAGTATCTGGAAGTGGACATTTGGAGCGCTTTCAGGCCTATTTTGGAAAGGGAAATATCTTCCCGTAACAACTATGCAGAAGCATTCTCAGAAACTTGTTTGTGATGTGTGCCCTCTACTGACAGAGTTGAACCTTTCTTTTCATAGAGCAGTTTTGAAACACTCTTTTTGTAGAATCTGCAAGAGGATATTTGCATAGCTTTGAGGATTTCGTGGGAAACGGGATTGTCTTCAGGTAAAATCTAGACAGAAGCATTCTCAGAAACTTCTTTGGGATGTTTGCATTCAAGTCACAGAGTAGAACATTCCCTTTGGTAGAGCAGGTTTGAAACACTCTTTTTGTAGTATCTGGAAGTGGACATTTGGAGCGCTTTCAGGCCCATGTTGGAAAGGGAAATATCTTCCCGTAACAACTAGGCAGAAGCATTCTCAGAAACTTATTTGAGATGTGTGTACTCAACTAAGAGAATTGAACCACCGTTTTGAAGGAGCAGTTTTGAAACACTCTTTTTCTGGAATCTGCAAGAGGATATTTGCCTAGCTTTGAGGATTTCGTTGGAAACGGGATTGTGTTCAGATCAAATCTAGACAGAAGCATTCTCAGAAACTTCTTTGGGATGTTTGCATTCAAGTCACAGAGTAGAACATTCCCTTTGGTAGAGCAGGTTTGAAACACTCTTTTTTTAGTATATGGAAGTGGACATTTGGAGCGCTTTCAGGCCTACGTTGGAAAAGGAAATATCTTCCCATAACAACTAGACAGAAGCATTCTCAGAAACTAGTTTCTGATGTGTGTCCTCAACTAACACAGTTGAACATTTCTTTAGACAGAACAGTTTTGAAACACTCTTTTTGTGGAATCTGCAAGTGGCTATTTGGCTAGATTTGAGGATTTCGTTGGAAACGGGATTACATATAAAAAGCAGACAGCGGCATTCTCAGAAAGTTCTTTGTGATGATTGCATTCAAGTCACAGAATTGAACATTCCCTTTCACAGAGCAGGTTTGAAACACTCTTTTTGTAGTGTGTGAAAGTGGACATTTGGAGCGCTTTCCGGCCTAAGGTGAAAAAGGAAATATCTTCCCATAAAAACTAGACAGAAGCATTCTCAGAAACTTACTCGTGATGTGTGTACTCAACTAAAGGAGTAGAAACTTTCTTTTCATAGAGAAGTTTTGAAACGCTCTTTTTGTGGAATCTGCAGGTGGATATTTGGCTAGTTTTGAGGATTACGTTGGAAACGGGAATTCATACAAATTGCAGACTGCAGCGTTCTGAGAAACATCTTTGTGATGTTTGTATTCAGGACACAGAGTTGAACATTCCCTATCATAGAGCAGGTTTGAATCACTCCTTTTGTAGTATCTGGAAGTGGACATTTGGAGCGCTTTCAGGCCTATGTTGGAAAAGGAAATATCTTCCCATAACAAATAGACAGAAACATTCTCAGAAACTTATTTGAGATGTGTGTACTCAACTAAGAATTGAACCACCGTTTTGAAGGAGCAGTTTTGAAACACTCTTTTTCTGGAATCTGCAAGTGGATATTTGGCTAGCTTTGGGGATTTCGCTGGAAGCGGGAATACATATAAAAAGCACACAGCAGCATTCTCAGAAACTTATTTGAGATGTGTGTACTCAACTAAGAGAATTGAACCACCGTTTTGAAGGAGCAGTTTTGAAACACTCTTTTTCTGGAATCTGCAAGTGGATATTTGGCTAGCTTTGGGGATTTCGCTGGAAGCGGGAATACATATAAAAAGCACACAGCAGCGTTCTGAGAAACTGCTTTCTGATGTTTGCATTCAAGTCAAAAGTTGAACACTCCCTTTCATAGAGCAGTCCTGAAACACCCCTTTTGTAGTATCTGGAACTGGACTTTTGGAGCGATTTCAGGGCTAAGGTGAAAAAGGAAATATCTTCCCATAAAAACTGGACAGAAGCATTCTCAGAAACTTGGTTATGCTGTATCTACTCAACTAACAAAGTTGAACCTTTCTTTTGATAGAGCAGTTTTGAAATGGTCTTTTTGTGGAATCTGCAAGTGGATATTTGGCTAGTTTTGAGGATTTCGTTGGAAGCGGGAATTCATACAAATTGCAGACTGCAGCGTTCTGAGAAACATCTTTGTGATGTTTGTATTCAGGACAGAGAGTTGAACATTCCCTATCATAGAGCAGGTTGGAATCACTCCTTTTGTAGTATCTGGAAGTGGACATTTGGAGCGCTTTCAGGCCTATGTTGAAAAAGGAAATATCTTCCCATAACAACTAGACACAAGCATTCTCAGAAACTTGTTTGTGATGTGTGCCCTCTACTGACAGAGTTGAACCTTTCTTTTCATAGAGCAGTTTTGAAACACTCTTTTTGTAGAATCCGCAAGAGGATATTTGCATAGCTTTGAGGATTTCGTGGGAAACGGGATTGTCTTCAGGTAAAATCTAGACAGAAGCATTCTCAGAAACTTCTTTGGGATGTTTGCATTCAAGTCACAGAGTAGAACATTCCCTTTGGTAGAGCAGGTTTGAAACACTCTTTTTATAGTATCTGGAAGTGGACATTTGGAGCGCTTTCAGGCCTATGTTGGAAAGGGAAATATCTTCCCGTAACAACTAGGCAGAAGCATTCTCAGAAACTTATTTGAGATGTGTGTACTCAACTAAGAGAATTGAACCACCGTTTTCAAGGAGCAGTTTTGAAACACTCTTTTTCTGGAATCTGCAAGAGTATATTTGCCTAGCCTTGAGGATTTCGTTGGAAACGGGATTGTCTTCAGATAAAATCTAGACAGAAGCATTCTCAGAAACTTCTTTGGGATGTTTGCATTCAAGTCACAGAGTAGAACATTCCCTTTGGTAGAGCAGGTTTGAAACACTCTTTTTTTAGTATATGGAAGTGGACATTTGGAGCACTTTCAGGCCTACGTTGGAAAAGGAAATATCTTCCCATTACAACTAGACAGAAGCATTCTCAGAAACTAGTTTCTGATGTGTGTCCTCAACTAACACAGTTGAACTTTTCTTTACACAGAACAGTTTTGAAACACTCTTTTTGTGGAATCTGCAAGTGGATATTTGGCTAGATTTGAGGATTTCGTTGGAAACGGGATTACATATAAAAAGCAGACAGCAGCATTCTCAGAAAGTTCTTTGTGATGATTGCATTCAAGTCACAGAATTGAACATTCCCTTTCACAGAGCAGGTTTGAAACACTCTTTTTGTAGTGTGTGTAAGTGGACATTTGGAGCGCTTTCCGGCCTAAGGTGAAAAAAGAAATATCTTCCCATAAAAACTAGACAGAAGCATTCTCAGAAACTTACTCGTGATGTGTGTCCTCAACTAAAGGAGTAGAACCTTTCTTTTCATAGAGAAGTTTTGAAACGCTCTTTTTGTGGAATCTGCAAGTGGATATTTGCCTAGTTTTGAGGATTTCGTTGGAAGCGGGAATTCATACAAATTGCAGACTGCAGCGTTCTGAGAAACTGCTTTCTGATGT
The DNA here is from genome assembly GCF_000001405.40 of Homo sapiens. Classification (NCBI taxonomy): domain Eukaryota; kingdom Metazoa; phylum Chordata; class Mammalia; order Primates; family Hominidae; genus Homo; species Homo sapiens. Next base: position 20,332,571 of record NC_000018.10, read on the forward strand.
TTGCATTCAAGTCAAAAGTTGAACACTCCCTTTCACAGAGCAGTCTTGAAACACCCCTTTTGTAGTATCTGGAACTGGACATTTGGAGCGCTTTCAGGGCTAAGGTGAAAAAGGAAATATCTTCCCATAAAAACTGGACAGAAGCATTCTCAGAAACTTATTTGAGATGTGTGTACTCAACTAAGAGAATTGAACCACCGTTTTGAAGGAGCAATTTTGAAACACTCTTTTTCTGGAATCTGCAAGTGGATATCTGGCTAGCTTTGGGGATTTCGCTGGAAGCGGGAATACATATAAAAAGCACACAGCAGCGTTCTGAGAAACTTCTTTCTGATGTTCGCATTCAAGTCAAAAGTTGAACACTCCCTTTCATAGAGCAGTCTTGAAACTCCCCTTTTGTGGTATCTGGAAGTGGACATTTGGAGTGCTTTCAGGGCTAAGGTGAAAAAGGAAATATCTTCCCATAAAAACTGGACAGAAGCATTCTCAGAAACTTGTTTATGCTGTATCTACTCAGCTAACAAAGTTGAACCTTTCTTTTGATAGAGCAGTTTTGAAATGCTCTTTTTGTGGAGTCTGCAAGTGGATATTTGGTTAGTTTTGAGGATTTCTTTGGAAGCGGGAATTCATACAAATTGCAGACTGCAGCGTTCTGAGAAACATCTTTGTGATGTTTGTATTCAGGACACAGAGTTGAACATTCCCTATCATAGAGCAGGTTGGAATCACTCCTTTTGTAGTATCTGGAAGTGGACATTTGGAGCGCTTTCAGGCCTATTTTGGAAAGGGAAATATCTTCCCGTAACAACTATGCAGAAGCATTCTCAGAAACTTGTTTGTGATGTGTGCCCTCTACTGACAGAGTTGAACCTTTCTTTTCATAGAGCAGTTTTGAAACACTCTTTTTGTAGAATCTGCAAGAGGATATTTGCATAGCTTTGAGGATTTCGTGGGAAACGGGATTGTCTTCAGGTAAAATCTAGACAGAAGCATTCTCAGAAACTTCTTTGGGATGTTTGCATTCAAGTCACAGAGTAGAACATTCCCTTTGGTAGAGCAGGTTTGAAACACTCTTTTTGTAGTATCTGGAAGTGGACATTTGGAGCGCTTTCAGGCCCATGTTGGAAAGGGAAATATCTTCCCGTAACAACTAGGCAGAAGCATTCTCAGAAACTTATTTGAGATGTGTGTACTCAACTAAGAGAATTGAACCACCGTTTTGAAGGAGCAGTTTTGAAACACTCTTTTTCTGGAATCTGCAAGAGGATATTTGCCTAGCCTTGAGGATTTCGTTGGAAACGGGATTGTCTTCAGAGAAAATCTAGACAGAAGCATTCTCAGAAACTTCTTTGGGATGCTTGCATTCAAGTCACAGAGTAGAACATTCCCTTTGGTAGAGCAGGTTTGAAACACTCTTTTTGTAGTATCTGGAAGTGGACATTTGGAGCGCTTTCAGGCCTACGTTGGAAAAGGAAATATCTTCCCATAACAACTAGACAGAAGCATTCTCAGAAACTAGTTTCTGATGTGTGTCCTCAACTAACACAGTTGAACATTTCTTTAGACAGAACAGTTTTGAAACACTCTTTTTGTGGAATCTGCAAGTGGCTATTTGGCTAGATTTGAGGATTTCGTTGGAAACGGGATTACATATAAAAAGCAGTCAGCAGCATTCTCAGAAAGTTCTTTGTGATGATTGCATTCAAGTCACAGAATTGAACATTCCCTTTCACAGAGCAGGTTTGAAACACTCTTTTTGTAGTGTGTGTAAGTGGACATTTGGAGCACTTTCCGGCCTAAGGTGAGAAAGGAAATATCTTCCCATAAAAACTAGACAGAAGCACTCTCAGAAACTTACTCGTGATGTGTGTCCTCAACTAAAGGAGTAGAACCTTTCTTTTCATAGAGAAGTTTTGAAACGCTCTTTTTGTGGAATCTGCAAGTGGATATTTGGCTAGTTTGGAGGATTTCGTTGGAAGCGGGAATTCATACAAATTGCAGACTGCAGCGTTCTGAGAAACTGCTTTCTGATGTTTGCATTCAAGTCAAAAGTTGAACACTCCCTTTCATAGAGCAGTCCTGAAACACCCCTTTTGTAGTATCTGGAACTGGACTTTTGGAGCGATTTCAGGGCTAAGGTGAAAAAGGAAATATCTTCCCATAAAAACTGGACAGAAGCATTCTCAGAAACTTGGTTATGCTGTATCTACTCAACTAACAAAGTTGAACCTTTCTTTTGATAGAGCAGTTTTGAAATGGTCTTTTTGTGGAATCTGCAAGTGGATATTTGGCTAGTTTTGAGGATTTCGTTGGAAGCGGGAATTCATACAAATTGCAGACTGCAGCGTTCTGAGAAACATCTTTGTGATGTTTGTATTCAGGACACAGAGTTGAACATTCCCTATCATAGAGCAGGTTGGAATCACTCCTTTTGTAGTATCTGGAAGTGGACATTTGGAGCGCTTTCAGGCCTATTTTGGAAAGGGAAATATCTTCCCGTAACAACTATGCAGAAGCATTCTCAGAAACTTGTTTGTGATGTGTGCCCTCTACTGACAGAGTTGAACCTTTCTTTTCATAGAGCAGTTTTGAAACACTCTTTTTGTAGAATCTGCAAGAGGATATTTGCATAGCTTTGAGGATTTCGTGGGAAACGGGATTGTCTTCAGGTAAAATCTAGACAGAAGCATTCTCAGAAAATTCTTCGGGATGTTTGCATTCAAGTCACAGAGTAGAACATTCCCTTTGGTAGAGCAGGTTTGAAACACTCTTTTTGTAGTATCTGGAAGTGGACATTTGGAGCGCTTTCAGGCCTATGTTGGAAAGGGAAATATCTTCCCGTAACAACTAGGCAGAAGCATTCTCAGAAACTTATTTGAGATGTGTGTACTCAACTAAGAGAATTGAACCACCGTTTTGAAGGAGCAGTTTTGAAACACTCTTTTTCTGGAATCTGCAAGAGTATATTTGCCTAGCCTTGAGGATTTCGTTGGAAACGGGATTGTCTTCAGAGAAAATCTAGACAGAAGCATTCTCAGAAACTTCTTTGGGATGTTTGCATTCAAGTCACAGAGTAGAACATTCCCTTTGGTAGAGCAGGTTTGAAACACTCTTTTTGTAGTATATGGAAGGACATTTGGAGCGCTTTCAGGCCTACGTTGGAAAAGGAAATCTCTTCCCATAACAACTAGACAGAAGCATTCTCAGAAACTAGTTTCTGATGTGTGTCCTCAACTAACACAGTTGTACATTTCTTTATACAGAACAGTTTTGAAACACTCTTTTTGTGGAATCTGCAAGTGGATATTGGGCTAGATTTGAGGATTTCGTTGGAAACGGGATTACATATAAAAAGCAGACAGCAGCATTCTCAGAAAGTTCTTTGGGATGATTGCATTCAAGTCACAGAATTGAACATTCCCTTTCACAGAGCAGGTTTGAAACACTCTTTTTGTAGTGTGTGTAAGTGGACATTTGGAGCGCTTTCCGGCCTAAGGTGAAAAAGGAAATATCTTCCCATAAAAACTAGACAGAAGCATTCTCAGAAACTTACTCGTGATGTGTGTCCTCAACTAAAGGAGTAGAACCTTTCTATTCATAGAGAAGTTTTGAAACGCTCTTTTTGTGGAATCTCCAAGTGGATATTTGGCTAGTTTTGAGGATTTCGTTGGAAGAGGGAATTCATACAAATTGCAGACTGCAGCGTTCTGAGAAACTGCTTTCTGATGTTTGCATTCAAGTCAAAACTTGAACACTCCCTTTCATAGAGCAGTCTTGAAACACCCCTTTTGTAGTATCTGGAACTGGACTTTTGGAGCGATTTTAGGGCTAAGGTGAAAAAGGAAATATCTTCCCATAAAAACTGGACAGAAGCATTCTCAGAAACTTGTTTATGCTGTATCTACTCAACTAACAAAGTTGAACCTTTCTTTTGATAGAGCAGTTTTGAAATGGTCTTTTTGTGGAATCTGCAAGTGGATATTTGGCTAGTTTTGAGGATTTCGTTGGAAGCGGGAATTCATACAAATTGCAGACTGCAGCGTTCTGAGAAACATCTTTGTGATGTTTGTATTCAGGACACAGAGTTGAACATTCCCTATCATAGAGCAGGTTGGAATCACTCCTTTTGTAGTATCTGGAAGTGGACATTTGGAGCGCTTTCAGGCCTATGTTGGAAAAGGAAATATCTTCCCATAACAACTAGACAGAAGCATTCTCAGAAACTTGTTTGTGATGTGTGCCCTCTACTGACAGAGTTGAACCTTTCTTTTCATAGAGCAGTTTTGAAACACTCTTTTTGTAGAATCTGCAAGAGGATATTTGCATAGCTTTGAGGATTTCGTGGGAAACGGGATTGTCTTCAGGGTAAAATCTAGACAGAAGCATTCTCAGAAACTTCTTTGGGATGTTTGCATTCAAGTCACAGAGTAGAACATTCCCTTTGGTAGAGCAGGTTTGAAACACTCTTTTTGTTGTATCTGGAAGTGGACATTTGGAGCGCTTTCAGGCCCATGTTGGAAAGGGAAATATCTTCCCGTAACAACTAGGCAGAAGCATTCTCAGAAACTTATTTGAGATGTGTGTACTCAACTAAGAGAATTGAACCACCGTTTTGAAGGAGCAGTTTTGAAACACTCTTTTTCTGGAATCTGCAAGAGGATATTTGCATAGATTTGAGGATTTCGTTGGAAACGGGATTGTCTTCAGATCCAATCTAGACAGAAGCATTCTCAGAAACTTCTTTGGGATGTTTGCATTCAAGTCACAGAGTAGAACATTCCCTTTGGTAGAGCAGGTTTGAAACACTCTTTTTGTAGTATCTGGAAGTGGACATTTGGAGCGCTTTCAGGCCTACGTTGGAAAAGGAAATATCTTCCCATAACAACTAGACAGAAGCATTCTCAGAAACTAGTTTCTGATGTGTGTCCTCAACTAACACAGTTGAACTTTTCTTTAGACAGAACAGTTTTGAAACACTCTTTTTGTGGAATCTGCAAGTGGATATTTGGCTAGATTTGAGGATTTCGTTGGAAACGGGATTACATATAAAAAGCAGACTGCAGCATTCTCAGAAAGTTCTTTGTGATGATTGCATTCAAGTCACAGAATTGAACATTCCCTTTCACAGAGCAGGTTTGAAACACTCTTTTTGTAGTGTGTGTAAGTGGACATTTGGAGCACTTACCGGCCTAAGGTGAAAAAGGAAATATCTTCCCATAAAAACTAGACAGAAGCATTCTCAGAAACTTACTCGTGATGTGTGTCCTCAACTAAAGGAGTAGAACCTTTCTTTTCATAGAGAAGTTTTGAAACGCTCTTTTTGTGGAATCTGCAAGTGGATATTTGGCTAGTTTTGAGGATTTCATTGGAAGCGGGAATTCATACAAATTGCAGACTGCAGCGTTCTGAGTAAACTGCTTTCTGATGTTTGCATTCAAGTCAAAAGTTGAACACTCCCTTTCATAGAGCAGTCCTGAAACACTCCTTTTGTAGTATCTGGAACTGGACTTTTGGAGCGCTTTCAGGGCTAAGGTGAAAAAGGAAATATCTTCCCATAAAAACTGGACAGAAGCATTCCCAGAAACTTATTTGAGATGTGTGTACTCAACTAAGAGAATTGAACCACCGTTTTGAAGGAGCAGTTTGAAAACACTCTTTTTCTGGAATCTGCAAGTGGATATTTGGCTAGCTTTGGGGATTTCGCTGGAAGCGGGAATACATATAAAAAGCACACAGCAGCGTTCTGAGAAACTGCTTTCTGATGTTTGCATTCAAGTCAAAAGTTGAACACTCCCTTTCATAGAGCAGTCTTGAAACACCCCTTTTGTAGTATCTGGAACTGGACTTTTGGAGCGATTTCAGGGCTAAGGTGAAAAAGGAAATATCTTCCCATAAAAACTGGACAGAAGCATTCTCAGAAACTTGGTTATGCTGTATCTACTCAACTAACAAAGTTGAACCTTTCTTTTGATAGAGCAGTTTTGAAATGGTCTTTTTGTGGAATCTGCAAGTGGATATTTGGCTAGTTTTGAGGATTTCGTTGGAAGCGGGAATTCATACAAATTGCAGACTGCAGCGTTCTGAGAAACATCTTTGTGATGTTTGTATTCAGGACACAGAGTTGAACATTCCCTATCATAGAGCAGGTTTGAATCACTCCTTTTGTAGTATCTGGAAGTGGACATTTGGAGCGCTTTCAGGCCTATGTTGGAAAAGGAAATATCTTCCCATAACAACTAGACAGAAGCATTCTCAGAAACTTATTTGAGATGTGTCTACTCAACTAAGAGAATTGAACCACCGTTTTGAAGGAGCAGTTTTGAAACACTCTTTTTCTGGAATCTGCAAGTGGATATTTGGCTAGCTTTGGGGATTTCGCTGGAAGCGGGAATACATATAAAAAGCACAAAGCAGCGTTCTGAGAAACTGCTTTCTGATGTTTGCATTCAAGTCAAAAGTTGAACACTCCCTTTCATAGAGCAGTCTTGAAACACCCCTTTTGTAGTATCTGGAACTGGACTTTTGGAGCGATTTTAGGGCTAAGGTGAAAAAGGAAATATCTTCCCATAAAAACTGGACAGAAGCATTCTCAGAAACTTATTTGAGATGTGTGTACTCAACTAAGAGAATTGAACCACCGTTTTGAAGGAGCAGTTTTGAAACACTCTTTTTCTGGAATCTGCAAGTGGATATTTGGCTAGCTTTGGGGATTTCGCTGGAGGCGGGAATACATATAAAAAGCACACAGCAGCGTTCTGAGAAACTGCTTTCTGATGTTTGCATTCAAGTCAAAAGTTGAACACTCCCTTTCATAGAGCAGTCTTGAAACACCCCTTTTGTAGTATCTGGAACTGGACTTTTGGAGCGATTTCAGGGCTAAGGTGAAAAAGGAAATATCTTCCCATAAAAACTGGACAGAAGCATTCTCAGAAACTTGTTTATGCTGTATCTACTCAACTAACAAAGTTGAACCTTTCTTTTGATAGAGCAGTTTTGAAATGGTCTTTTTGTGGAATCTGCAAGTGGATATTTGGCTAGTTTTGAGGATTTCGTTGGAAGCGGGAATTCATACAAATTGCAGACTGCAGCGTTCTGAGAAACATCTTTGTGATGTTTGTATTCAGGACACAGAGTTGAACATTCCCTATCATAGAGCAGGTTGGAATCACTCCTTTTGTAGTATCTGGAAGTGGACATTTGGAGCGCTTTCAGGCCTATGTTGGAAAAGGAAATATCTTCCCATAACAACTAGACAGAAGCATTCTCAGAAACTTGTTTGTGATGTGTGCCCTCTACTGACAGAGTTGAACCTTTCTTTTCATAGAGCAGTTTTGAAACACTCTTTTTGTAGAATCTGCAAGAGGATATTTGCATAGCTTTGAGGATTTCGTGGGAAACGGGATTGTCTTCAGGTAAAATCTAGACAGAAGCATTCTCAGAAACTTCTTTGGGATGTTTGCATTCAAGTCACAGAGTAGAACATTCCCTTTGGTAGAGCAGGTTTGAAACACTCTTTTTGTAGTATCTGGAAGTGGACATTTGGAGCGCTTTCAGGCCCATGTTGGAAAGGGAAATATCTTCCCGTAACAACTAGGCAGAAGCATTCTCAGAAACTTATTTGAGATGTGTGTACTCAACTAAGAGAAATGAACCACCGTTTTGAAGGAGCAGTTTTGAACCACTCTTTTTCTGGAATCTGCAAGAGTATATTTGCCTAGCCTTGAGGATTTCGTTGGAAACGGGATTGTCTTCAGATAAAATCTAGACAGAAGCATTCTCAGAAACTTCTTTGGGATGTTTGCATTCAAGTCACAGAGTAGAACATTCCCTTTGGTAGAGCAGGTTTGAAACACTCTTTTTGTAGTATCTGGAAGTGGACATTTGGAGCGCTTTCAGGCCTACGTTGGAAAAGGAAATATCTTCCCATAACAACTAGACAGAAGCATTCTCAGAAACTAGTTTCTGATGTGTGTCCTCAACTAACACAGTTGAACATTTCTTTAGACAGAACAGTTTTGAAACACTCTTTTTGTGGAATCTGCAAGTGGCTATTTGGCTAGATTTGAGGATTTCGTTGGAAACGGGATTACATATAAAAAGCAGTCAGCAGCATTCTCAGAAAGTTCTTTGTGATGATTGCATTCAAGTCACAGAATTGAACATTCCCTTTCACAGAGCAGGTTTGAAAGACTCTTTTTGTAGTGTGTGTAAGTGGACATTTGGAGCACTTACCGGCCTAAGGTGAAAAAGGAAATATCTTCCCATAAAAACTAGACAGAAGCATTCTCAGAAACTTACTCGTGATGTGTGTCCTCAACTAAAGGAGTAGAACCTTTCTTTCATAGAGAAGTTTTGAAACGCTCTTTTTGTGGAATCTGCAAGTGGATATTTGGCTAGTTTGGAGGATTTCGTTGGAAGCGGGAATTCATACAAATTGCAGACTGCAGCGTTCTGAGAAACATCTTTGTGATGTTTGTATTCAGGACACAGAGTTGAACATTCCCTATCATAGAGCAGGTTGGAATCACTCCTTTTGTAGTATCTGGAAGTGGACATTTGGAGCGATTTCAGGCCTACGTTGGAAAAGGAAATATCTTCCCATAACAACTAGACAGAAGCATTCTCAGAAACTAGTTTCTGATGTGTGTCCTCAACTAACACAGTTGAACATTTCTTTAGACAGAACAGTTTTGAAACACTCTTTTTGTGGAATCTGCAAGTGGCTATTTGGCTAGATTTGAGGATTTCGTTGGAAACGGGATTACATATAAAAAGCAGACAGCAGCATTCTCAGAAAGTTCTTTGTGATGATTGCATTCAAGTCACAGAATTGAACATTCCCTTTCACAGAGCAGGTTTGAAACACTCTTTTTGTAGTGTGTGTAAGTGGACATTTGGAGCACTTACCGGCCTAAGGTGAAAAAGGAAATAATCTTCCCATAAAAACTAGACAGAAGCATTCTCAGAAACTTACTCGTGATGTGTGTCCTCAACTAAAGGAGTAGAACCTTTCTTTTCATAGAGAAGTTTTGAAACGCTCTTTTTGTGGAATCTGCAAGTGGATATTTGGCTAGTTTGGAGGATTTCGTTGGAAGCGGGAATTCATACAAATTGCAGACTGCAGCGTTCTGAGAAACATCTTTGTGATGTTTGTATTCAGGACACAGAGTTGAACATTCCCTATCATAGAGCAGGTTGGAATCACTCCTTTTGTAGTATCTGGAAGTGGACATTTGGAGCGCTTTCAGGCCTATGTTGGAAAAGGAAATATCTTCCCATAACAACTAGACAGAAGCATTCTCAGAAACTTATTTGAGATGTGTGTACTCAACTAAGAGAATTGAACCACCGTTTTGAAGGAGCAGTTTTGAAACACTCTTTTTCTGGAATCTGCAAGTGGATATTTGGCTAGCTTTGGGGATTTCGCTGGAAGCGGGAATACATATAAAAAGCACACAGCAGCGTTCTGAGAAACTGCTTTCTGATGTTTGCATTCAAGTCAAAAGTTGAACACTCCCTTTCATAGAGCAGTCTTGAAACACCCCTTTTGTAGTATCTGGAACTGGACTTTTGGAGCGATTTCAGGGCTAAGGTGAAAAAGGAAATATCTTCCCATAAAAACTGGACAGAAGCATTCTCAGAAACTTGTTTATGCTGTATCTACTCAATTAACAAAGTTGAACCTTTCTTTTGATAGAGCAGTTTTGAAATGCTCTTTTTGTGGAATCTGCAAGTGGATATTTGGCTAGTTTTGAGGATTTCATTGGAAGCGGGAATTCATACAAATTGCAGACTGCAGCGTTATGAGAAACATCTTTGTGATGTTTGTATTCAGGACACAGAGATGAACATTCCCTATCATAGAGCAGGTTGGAATCACTCCTTTTGTAGTATCTGGAAGTGGACATTTGGAGCGCTTTCAGGCCTATGTTGAAAAAGGAAATATCTTCCCATAACAACTAGACACAAGTATTCTCAGAAACTTGTTTGTGATGTGTGCCCTCTACTGACAGAGTTGAACCTTTCTTTTCATAGAGCAGTTTTGAAACACTCTTTTTGTAGAATCTGCAAGAGGATATTTGCATAGCTTTGAGGATTTCGTGGGAAACGGGATTGTCTTCAGGTAAAATCTAGACAGAAGCATTCTCAGAAACTTCTTTGGGATGTTTGCATTCAAGTCACAGAGTAGAACATTCCCTTTGGTAGAGCAGGTTTGAAACACTCTTTTTGTAGTATCTGGAAGTGGACATTTGGAGCGCTTTCAGGCCCATGTTGGAAAGGGAAATATCTTCCCGTAACAACTAGGCAGAAGCATTCTCAGAAACTTATTTGAGATGTGTGTACTCAACTAAGAGAATTGAACCACCGTTTTGAAGGAGCAGTTTTGAAACACTCTTTTTCTGGAATCTGCAAGAGTATATTTGCCTAGCCTTGAGGATTTCGTTGGAAACGGGATTGTCTTCAGAGAAAATCTAGACAGAAGCATTCTCAGAAACTTCTTTGGGATGTTTGCATTCAAGTCACAGAGTAGAACATTCCCTTTGGTAGAGCAGGTTTGAAACACTCTTTTTTTAGTATATGGAAGTGGACATTTGGAGCGCTTTCAGGCCTACGTTGGAAAAGGAAATATCTTCCCATAACAACTAGACAGAAGCATTCTCAGAAACTTACTCGTGATGTGTGTACTCAACTAAACGAGTAGAAACTTTCTTTTCATAGAGAAGTTTTGAAACGCTCTTTTTGTGGAATCTGCAAGTGGATAGTTGGCTAGTTTTGAGGATTTCGTTGGAAGCGGGAATTCATACAAATTGCAGACTGCAGCGTTCTGAGAAACATCTTTGTGATGTTTGTATTGAGGACACAGAGTTGAACATTCCCTATCATAGAGCAGGTTGGAATCACTCCTTTTGTAGTATCTGGAAGTGGACATTTGGAGCGCTTTCAGGCCTATGTTGGAAAAGGAAATATCTTCCCATTACAACTAGACAGAAGCATTCTCAGAAACTTATTTGAGATGTGTGTACTCAACTAAGAGAACTGAACCACCGTTTTGAAGGAGCAGTTTTGAAACACTCTTTTTCTGGAATCTGCAAGTGGATATTTGGCTAGCTTTGGGGATTTCGCTGGAAGCGGGAATACATATAAAAAGCACACAGCAGCGTTCTGAGAAACTGTTTTCTGATGTTTGCATTCAAGTCAAAAGTTGAACACTCCCTTTCATAGAGCAGTCTTGAAACACCCCTTTTGTAGTATCTGGAACTGGACATTTGGAGCGCTTTCAGGGCTAAGGTGAAAAAGGAAATATCTTCCCATAAAAACTGGACAGAAGCATTCTCAGAAACTTGTTTATGCTGTATCTACTCCACTAACAAAGTTGAACCTTTCTTTTGATAGAGCAGTTTTGAAATGCTCTTTTTGTGGAATCTGCAAGTGGATATTTGGCTAGTTTTGAGGATTTCGTTGGAAGCTGGAATTCATACAAATTGCAGACTGCAGCGTTCTGAGAAACTGCTTTCTGATGTTTGCATTCAAGTCAAAAGTTGAACACTCCCTTTCATAGAGCAGTCCTGAAACACCCCTTTTGTAGTATCTGGAACTGGACTTTTGGAGCGATTTCAGGGCTAAGGTGAAAAAGGAAATATCTTCCCATAAAAACTGGACAGAAGCATTCTCAGAAACTTGTTTATGCTGTATCTACTCAACTAACAAAGTTGAACCTTTCTTTTGATAGAGCAGTTTTGAAATGCTCTTTTTGTGGAATCTGCAAGTGGATATTTGGCTAGTTTTGAGGATTTCGTTGGAAGCGGGAATTCATACAAATTGCAGACTGCAGCGTTCTGAGAAACATCTTTGTGATGTTTGTATTCAGGACACAGAGTTGAACATTCCCTATCATAGAGCAGGTTTGAATCACTCCTTTTGTAGTATCTGGAAGTGGACATTTGGAGCGCTTTCAGGCCTATGTTGGAAAAGGAAATATCTTCCCATAACAACTAGACAGAAGCATTCCCAGAAACTTATTTGAGATGTGTGTACTCAACTAAGAGAATTGAACCACCGTTTTGAGGGAGCAGTTTGGAAACACTCTTTTTCTGGAATCTGCAAGTGGATATTTGGCTAGCTTTGGGGATTTCGCTGGAAGCGGGAATACATATAAAAAGCACACAGCAGCGTTCTGAGAAACTGCTTTCTGATGTTTGCATTCAAGTCAAAAGTTGAACACTCCCTTTCATAGAGCAGTCTTGAAACACCCCTTTTGTAGTATCTGGAACTGGAAATTTGGAGCGCTTTCAGGGCTAAGGTGAAAAAGGAAATATCTTCCCATAAAAACTGGACAGAAGCATTCTCAGAAACTTGTTTATGCTGTATCTGCTCAACTAACAAAGTTGAACCTTTCTTTTGATAGAGCAGTTTTGAAATGCTCTTTTTGTGGAATCTGCAAGTGGATATTTGGCTAGTTTTGAGGATTTCGTTGGAAGCGGGAATTCGTACAAATTGCAGACTGCAGCGTTCTGAGAAACATCTTTGTGATGTTTGTATTCAGGACACAGAGTTGAACATTCCCTATCATAGAGCAGGTTTGAATCACTCCTTTTGTAGTATCTGGAAGTGGACATTTGGAGCGCTTTCAGGCCTATGTTGGAAAAGGAAATATCTTCCCATAACAACTAGACAGAAGCATTCTCAGAAACTTATTTGAGATGTGTGTACTCAACTAAGAGAATTGAACCACCGTTTTGAAGGAGCAGTTTTGAAACACTCTTTTTCTGGAATCTGCAAGTGGATATTTGGCTAGCTTTGGGGATTTCGCTGGAAGCGGGAATACATATAAAAAGCACACAGCAGCATTCTCAGAAACTTATTTGAGATGTGTGTACTCAACTAAGAGAATTGAACCACCGTTTTGAAGGAGCAGTTTTGAAACACTCTTTTTCTGGAATCTGCAAGTGGATATTTGGCTAGCTTTGGGGATTTCGCTGGAAGCGGGAATACATATAAAAAGCACACAGCAGCGTTCTGAGAAACTGCTTTCTGATGTTTGCATTCAAGTCAAAAGTTGAACACTCCCTTTCATAGAGCAGTCTTGAAACACCCCTTTTGTAGTATCTGGAACTGGACTTTTGGAGCGATTTCAGGGCTAAGGTGAAAAAGGAAATATCTTCCCATAAAAACTGGACAGAAGCATTCTCAGAAACTTGTTTATGCTGTATCTACTCAACTAACAAAGTTGAACCTTTCTTTTGATAGAGCAGTTTTGAAATGGTCTTTTTGTGGAATCTGCAAGTGGATATTTGGCTAGTTTTGAGGATTTCGTTGGAAGCGGGAATTCATACAAATTGCAGACTGCAGCGTTCTGAGAAACATCTTTGTGATGTTTGTATTCAGGACACAGAGTTGAACATTCCCTATCATAGAGCAGGTTTGAATCACTCCTTTTCTAGTATCTGGAAGTGGACATTTGGAGCGCTTTCAGGCCCATGTTGAAAAAGGAAATATCTTCCCATAACAACTAGGCAGAAGCATTCTCAGAAACTTGTTTGTGATGTGTGCCCTCTACTGACAGAGTTGAACCTTTCTTTTCATAGAGCAGTTTCGAAACACTCTTTTTGTAGAATCTGCAAGAGGATATTTGCATAGCTTTGAGGATTTCGTTGGAAACGGGATTGTCTTCAGGTAAAATCTAGACAGAAGCATTCTCAGAAACTTCTTTGGGATGTTTGCATTCAAGTCACAGAGTAGAACATTCCCTTTGGTAGAGCAGGTTTGAAACACTCTCTTTTTAGTATATGGAAGTGGACATTTGGAGCGCTTTCAGGCCTACATTGGAAAAGGAAATATCTTCCCATAACAACTAGACAGAAGCATTCTCAGAAACTAGTTTCTGATGTGTGTCCTCAACTAACACAGTTGAACTTTTCTTTAGACAGAACAGTTTTGAAACACTCTTTTTGTGGAATCTGCAAGTGGATATTTGGCTAGATTTGAGGATTTCGTTGGAAAGGGGATTACATATAAAAAGCAGACAGCAGCATTCTCAGAAAGTTCTTTGTAATGATTGCATTCAAGTCACAGAATTGAACATTCCCTTTCACAGAGCAGGTTTGAAACACTCTTTTTGTAGTGTGTGTAAGTGGACATTTGGAGCGCTTTCCGGCCTAAGGTGAAAAAGGAAATATCTTCCCATAAAAACTAGACAGAAGCATTCTCAGAAACTTACTCGTGATGTGTGTCCTCAACTAAAGGAGTAGAACCTTTCTATTCATAGAGAAGTTTTGAAACGCTCTTTTTGTGGAATCTCCAAGTGGATATTTGGCTAGTTTTGAGGATTTCGTTGGAAGCGGGAATTCATACAAATTGCAGACTGCAGCGTTCTGAGAAACTGCTTTCTGATGTTTGCATTCAAGTCAAAAGTTGAACACTCCCTTTCATAGCAGCAGTCTTGAAACACCCCTTTTGTAGTATCTGGAACTGGACTTTTGGAGCGCTTTCAGGGCTAAGGTGAAAAAGGAAATATCTTCCCATAAAAACTGGACAGAAGCATTCTCAGAAACTTATTTGAGATGTGTGTACTCAACTAAGAGAATTGAACCACCGTTTTGAAGGAGCAGTTTTGAAACTCTCTTTTTCTGGAATCTGCAAGTGGATATTTGGCTAGCTTTGGGGATTTCGCTGGAAGCGGGAATACATATAAAAAGCACACAGCAGCGTTCTGAGAAACTGCTTTCTGATGTTTGCATTCAAGTCAAAAGTTGAACACTCCCTTTCATAGAGCAGTCTTGAAACACCCCTTTTGTAGTATCTGGAACTGGACTTTTGGAGCGATTTCAGGGCTAAGGTGAAAAAGGAAATATCTTCCCATAAAAACTGGACAGAAGCATTCTCAGAAACTTGTTTATGCTGTATCTACTCAACTAACAAAGTTGAACCTTTCTTTTGATAGAGCAGTTTTGAAATGGTCTTTTTGTGGAATCTGCAAGTGGATATTTGGCTAGTTTTGAGGATTTCGTTGGAAGCGGGAATTCATACAAATTGCAGACTGCAGCGTTCTGAGAAACATCTTTGTGATGTTTGTATTCAGGACAGAGAGTTGAACATTCCCTATCATAGAGCAGGTTGGAATCACTCCTTTTGTAGTATCTGGAAGTGGACATTTGGAGCGCTTTCTGGCCTATGTTGAAAAAGGAAATATCTTCCCATAACAACTAGACACAAGCATTCTCAGAAAGTTGTTTGTGATGTGTGCCCTCTACTGACAGAGTTGAACGTTTCTTTTCATAGAGCAGTTTTGAAACACTCTTTTTGTAGAATCCGCAAGAGGATATTTGCATAGCTTTGAGGATTTCGTGGGAAACGGGATTGTCTTCAGGTAAAATCTAGACAGAAGCATTCTCAGAAACTTCTTTGGGATGTTTGCATTCAAGTCACAGAGTAGAACATTCCCTTTTGTAGAGCAGGTTTGAAACACTCTTTTTGTAGTATCTGGAAGTGGACATTTGGAGCGCTTTCAGGCCTATGTTGGAAAGGGAAATATCTTCCCGTAACAACTAGGCAGAAGCATTCTCAGAAACTTATTTGAGATGTGTGTACTCAACTAAGAGAATTGAACCACCGTTTTGAAGGAGCAGTTTTGAAACACTCTTTTTCTGGAATCTGCAAGAGGATATTTGCCTAGCCTTGAGGATTTCGTTGGAAACGGGATTGTCTTCAGATCAAATCTAGACAGAAGCATTCTCAGAAACTTCTTTGGGATGTTTGCATTCAAGTCACAGAGTAGAACATTCCCTTTGGTAGAGCAGGTTTGAAACACTCTTTTTGTAGTGTGTGTAAGTGGACATTTGGAGCGCGTTCAGGCCTACGTTGGAAAAGGAAATATCTTCCCATAACAACTAGACAGAAGCATTCTCAGAAACTAGTTTCTGATGTGTGTCCTCAACTAACACAGTTGAACATTTCTTTAGACAGAACAGTTTTGAAACACTCTTTTTGTGGAATCTGCAAGTGGCTATTTGGCTAGATTTGAGGATTTCGTTGGAAACGGGATTACATATAAAAAGCAGACAGCAGCATTCTCAGAAAGTTCTTTGTGATGATTGCATTCAAGTCACAGAATTGAACATTCCCTTTCACAGAGCAGGTTTGAAACACTCTTTTTGTAGTGTGTGTAAGTGGACATTTGGAGCACTTTCCGGCCTAAGGTGAAAAAGGAAATATCTTCCCATAAAAACTAGACAGAAGCATTCTCAGAAACTTACTCGTGATGTGTGTCCTCAACTAAAGGAGTAGAACCTTTCTTTTCATAGAGAAGTTTTGAAACGCTCTTTTTGTGGAATCTGCAAGTGGATATTTGGCTAGTTTTGAGGATTTCGTTGGAAGCGGGAATTCATACAAATTGCAGACTGCAGCGTTCTGAGAAACATCTTTGTGATGTTTGTATTCAGGACACAGAGTTGAACATTCCCTATCATAGAGCAGGTTGGAATCACTCCTTTTGTAGTATCTGGAAGTGGACATTTGGAGCGCTTTCAGGCCTATGTTGGAAAAGGAAATATCTTCCCATAACAACTAGACAGAAGCATTCTCAGAAACTTATTTGAGATGTGTGTACTCAACTAAGAGAATTGAACCACCGTTTTGAAGGAGCAGTTTTGAAACACTCTTTTTCTGGAATCTGCAAGTGGATATTTGGCTAGCTTTGGGGATTTCGCTGGAAGCGGGAATACATATAAAAAGCACACAGCAGCGTTCTGAGAAACTGCTTTCTGATGTTTGCATTCAAGTCAAAAGTTGAACACTCCCTTTCATAGAGCAGTCTTGAAACACCCCTTTTGTAGTATCTGGAACTGGACTTTTGGAGCGATTTCAGGGCTAAGGTGAAAAAGGAAATATCTTCCCATAAAAACTGGACAGAAGCATTCTCAGAAACTTGTTTATGCTGTATCTACTCAACTAACAAAGTTGAACCTTTCTTTTGATAGAGCAGTTTTGAAATGGTCTTTTTGTGGAATCTGCAAGTGGATATTTGGCTAGTTTTGAGGATTTCGTTGGAAGCGGGAATTCATACAAATTGCAGACTGCAGCGTTCTGAGAAACATCTTTGTGATGTTTGTATTCAGGACACAGAGTTGAACATTCCCTATCATAGAGCAGGTTGGAATCACTCCTTTTGTAGTATCTGGAAGTGGACATTTGGAGTGCTTTCAGGCCTATGTTGGAAAAGGAAATATCTTCCCATAACAACTAGACAGAAGCATTCTCAGAAACTTATTTGAGATGTGTGTACTCAACTAAGAGAATTGAACCACCGTTTTGAAGGAGCAGTTTTGAAACACTCTTTTTCTGGAATCTGCAAGTGGATATTTGGCTAGCTTTGGGGATTTCGCTGGAGGCGGGAATACATATAAAAAGCACACAGCAGCGTTTCTGAGAAACTGCTTTCTGATGTTTGCATTCAAGTCAAAAGTTGAACACTCCCTTTCATAGAGCAGTCTTGAAACACCCCTTTTGTAGTATCTGGAACTGGAAATTTGGAGCGCTTTCAGGGCTAAGGTGAAAAAGGAAATATCTTCCCATAAAAACTGGACAGAAGCATTCTCAGAAACTTGTTTATGCTGTATCTACTCAACTAACAAAGTTGAACCTTTCTTTTGATAGAGCAGTTTTGAAATGCTCTTTTTGTGGAATCTGCAAGTGGATATTTGGCTAGTTTTGAGGATTTCGTTGGAAGCGGGAATTCATACAAATTGCAGACTGCAGCGTTCTGAGAAACATCTTTGTGATGTTTGTATTCAGGACAGAGAGTTGAACATTCCCTATCATAGAGCAGGTTGGAATCACTCCTTTTGTAGTATCTGGAAGTGGACATTTGGAGCGCTTTCTGGCCTATGTTGAAAAAGGAAATATCTTCCCATAACAACTAGGCACAAGCATTCTCAGAAACTTGTTTGTGATGTGTGCCCTCTACTGACAGAGTTGAACCTTTCTTTTCATAGAGCAGTTTTGAAACACTCTTTTTGTAGAATCTGCAAGAGGATTTTTGCATAGCTTTGAGGATTTCGTGGGAAACGGGATTGTCTTCAGGTAAAATCTAGACAGAAGCATTCTCAGAAACTTCTTTGGGATGTTTGCATTCAAGTCACAGAGCAGAACATTCCCTTTGGTAGAGCAGGTTTGAAACACTCTTTTTGTAGTATCTGGAAGTGGACATTTGGAGCGCTTTCAGGCCTATGTTGGAAAGGGAAATATCTTCCCGTAACAACTAGGCAGAAGCATTCTCAGAAACTTATTTGAGATGTGTGTACTCAACTAAGAGAACTGAACCACCGTTTTGAAGGAGCAGTTTTGAAACACTCTTTTTCTGGAATCTGCAAGAGAATATTTGCCTAGACTTGAGGATTTCGTTGGAAACGGGATTGTCTTCAGATAAAATCTAGACAGAAGCATTCTCAGAAACTTCTTTGGGATGTTTGCATTCAAGTCACAGAGTAGAACATTCCCTTTGGTAGAGCAGGTTTGAAACACTCTTTTTTTAGTATATGGAAGTGGACATTTGGAGCGCTTTCAGGCCTACGTTGGAAAAGGAAATATCTTCCCATAACAACTAGACAGAAGCATTCTCAGAAACTAGTTTCTGATGTGTGTCCTCAACTAACACAGTTGAACATTTCTTTAGACAGAACAGTTTTGAAACTCTCTTTTTGTGGAATCTGCAAGTGGCTATTTGGCTAGATTTGAGGATTTCGTTGGAAACGGGATTACATATAAAAAGCAGACAGCAGCATTCTCAGAAAGTTCTTTGTGATGATTGCATTCAAGTCACAGAATTGAACATTCCCTTTCACAGAGCAGGTTTGAAACACTCTTTTTGTAGTGTGTGTAAGTGGACATTTGGAGCACTTACCGGCCTAAGGTGAAAAAGGAAATATCTTCCCATAAAAACTAGACAGAAGCGTTCTGAGAAACTGCTTTCTGATGTTTGCATTCAAGTCAAAAGTTGAACACTCCCTTTCATAGAGCAGTCCTGAAACACTCCTTTTGTAGTATCTGGAACTGGACTTTTGGAGCGCTTTCAGGGCTAAGGTGAAAAAGGAAATATCTTCCCATAAAATCTGGACAGAAGCATTCTCAGAAACTTGTTTATGCTGTATCTACTCTACTAAAAAAGTTGAACCTTTCTTTTGATAGAGCAGTTTTGAAATGCTCTTTTTGTGGAATCTGCAATTGGATATTTGGCTAGATTTGAGGATTTCGTTGGAAGCTGGAATACATACAAATTGCAGACTGCAGCATTCTCAGAAACCTATTTGAGATGTGTATTCTCAACTAGGAGAATTGAACCACCGTTTTGAAGGAGCAGTTTTGAAACACTCGTTTTCTGGAATCTGCAAGTGGATATTTGGCTAGCTTTGGGGATTTCGCTGGAAGCGGGAATACATATAAAAAGCACACAGCAGCGTTCTGAGAAACTGCTTTCTGATGTTTGCATTCAAGTCAAAAGTTGAACACTCCCTTTCATAGAGCAGTCTTGAAACACCCCTTTTGTAGTATCTGGAACTGGACTTTTGGAGCGATTTCAGGGCTAAGGTGAAAAAGGAAATATCTTCCCATAAAAACTGGACAGAAGCATTCTCAGAAACTTGTTTATGCTGTATCTACTCAACTAACAAAGTTGAACCTTTCTTTTGATAGAGCAGTTTTGAAATGGTCTTTTTGTGGAATCTGCAAGTGGATATTTGGCTAGTTTTGAGGATTTCGTTGGAAGCGGGAATTCATACAAATTGCAGACTGCAGCGTTCTGAGAAACATCTTTGTGATGTTTGTATTCAGGACACAGAGTTGAACATTCCCTATCATAGAGCAGGTTGGAATCACTCCTTTTGTACTATCTGGAAGTGGACATTTGGAGCGCTTTCAGGCCTATGTTGAAAAAGGAAATATCTTCCCATAACAACTAGACAGAAGCATTCTCAGAAACTTGTTTGTGATGTGTGCCCTCTACTGACAGAGTTGAACCTTTCTTTTCATAGAGCAGTTTTGAAACACTCTTTTTGTAGAATCTGCAAGAGGATATTTGCATAGCTTTGAGGATTTCGTGGGAAACGGGATTGTCTTCAGGTAAAATCTAGACAGAAGCATTCTCAGAAACTTATTTGAGATGTGTGTACTGAACTAAGAGAATTGAACCACCGTTTTGAAGGAGCAGGTTTGAAACACTCTTTTTGTAGTATCTGGAAGTGGACATTTGGAGCGCTTTCAGGCCTATGTTGGAAAGGGAAATATCTTCCCGTAACAACTAGGCAGAAGCATTCTCAGAAACTTATTTGAGATGTGTGTACTCAACTAAGAGAATTGAACCACCGTTTTGAAGGAGCAGTTTTGAAACACTCTTTTTCTGGAATCTGCAAGAGTATATTTGCCTAGCCTTGAGGATTTCGTTGGAAACGGGATTGTCTTCAGATAAAATCTAGACAGAAGCATTCTCAGAAACTTCTTTGGGATGTTTGCATTCAAGTCACAGAGTAGAACATTCCCTTTGGTAGAGCAGGTTTGAAACACTCTTTTTGTAGTATCTGGAAGTGGACATTTGGAGCGCTTTCAGGCCTACGTTGGAAAAGGAAATATCTTCCCATAACAACTAGACAGAAGCATTCTCAGAAACTAGTTTCTGATGTGTGTCCTCAACTAACACAGTTGAACATTTCTTTAGACAGAACAGTTTTGAAACTCTCTTTTTGTGGAATCTGCAAGTGGCTATTTGGCTAGATTTGAGGATTTCGTTGGAAACGGGATTACATATAAAAAGCAGACAGCAGCATTCTCAGAAAGTTCTTTGTGATGATTGCATTCAAGTCACAGAATTGAACATTCCCTTTCACAGAGCAGGTTTGAAACACTCTTTTTGTAGTGTGTGTAAGTGGACATTTGGAGCACTTTCCGGCCTAAGGTGAAAAAGGAAATATCTTCCCATAAAAACTAGACAGAAGCACTCTCAGAAACTTACTCGTGATGTGTGTCCTCAACTAAAGGAGTAGAACCTTTCTTTTCATAGAGAAGTTTTGAAACCCTCTTTTTGTGGAATCTGCAAGTGGATATTTGGCTAGTTTGGAGGATTTCGTTGGAAGCGGGAATTCATACAAATTGCAGACTGCAGCGTTCTGAGAAACATCTTTGTGATGTTTGTATTCAGGACACAGAGTTGAACATTCCCTATCATAGAGCAGGTTTGAATCACTCCTTTTGTAGTATCTGGAAGTGGACATTTGGAGCGCTTTCAGGCCTATGTTGGAAAAGGAAATATCTTCCCATAACAACTAGACAGAAGCATTCTCAGAAACTTATTTGAGATGTGTGTACTCAACTAAGAGAATTGAACCACCGTTTTGAAGGAGCAGTTTTGAAACTCTCTTTTTCTGGAATCTGCAAGTGGATATTTGGCTAGCTTTGGGGATTTCGCTGGAAGCGGGAATACATATAAAAAGCACACAGCAGCGTTCTGAGAAACTGCTTTCTGATGTTTGCATTCAAGTCAAAAGTTGAACACTCCCTTTCATAGAGCAGTCTTGAAACACCCCTTTTGTAGTATCTGGAACTGGACTTTTGGAGCGATTTCAGGGCTAAGGTGAAAAAGGAAATATCTTCCCATAAAAACTGGACAGAAGCATTCTCAGAAACTTGTTTATGCTGTATCTACTCAACTAACAAAGTTGAACCTTTCTTTTGATAGAGCAGTTTTGAAATGCTCTTTTTGTGGAATCTGCAAGTGGATATTTGGCTAGTTTTGAGGATTTCGTTGGAAGCGGGAATTCATACAAATTGCAGACTGCAGCGTTCTGAGAAACATCTTTGTGATGTTTGTATTCAGGACAGAGTTGAACATTCCCTATCATAGAGCAGGTTGGAATCACTCCTTTTGTAGTATCTGGAAGTGGACATTTGGAGCGCTTTCAGGCCTATGTTGAAAAAGGAAATATCTTCCTATAACAACTAGACACAAGCATTCTCAGAAAGTTGTTTGTGATGTGTGCCCTCTACTGACAGAGTTGAACCTTTCTTTTCATAGAGCAGTTTCGAAACACTCTTTTTGGAGAATCTGCAAGAGGATATTTGCATAGCTCTGAGGATTTCGTTGGAAACGGGATTGTCTTCAGGTAAAATCTAGACAGAAGCATTCTCAGAAACTTCTTTGGGATGTTTGCATTCAAGTAACAGAGTAGAACATTCCCTTTGGTAGACCAGGTTTGAAACACTCTTTTTGTAGTATCTGGAAGTGGACATTTGGAGCCCTTTCAGGCCTATGTTGCAAAGGGAAATATCTTCCCGTAACAACTAGGTAGAAGCATTCTCAGAAACTTATTTGAGATGTGTGTACTCAAGTAAGAGAATTGAACCACCGTTTTGAAGGAGCAGTTTTGAAACACTCTTTTTCTGGAATCTGCAAGAGGATATTTGCCTAGCCTTGATGATTTCGTTGGAAACGGGATTGTCTTCAGATCAAATCTAGACAGAAGCATTCTCAGAAACTTCTTTGGGATGTTTGCATTCAAGTCACAGAGTAGAACATTCCCTTTGGTAGAGCAGGTTTGAAACACTCTTTTTTTAGTATATGGAAGTGGACATTTGGAGCGCTTTCAGGCCTACGTTGGAAAAGGAAATATCTTCCCATAACAACTAGACAGAAGCATTCTCAGAAACTAGTTTCTGATGTGTGTCCTCAACTAACACAGTTGAACATTTCCTTAGACAGAACAGTTTTGAAACACTCTTTTTGTGGAATCTGCAAGTGGCTATCTGGCTAGATTTGAGGATTTCGTTGGAAACGGGATTACATATAAAAAGCAGTCAGCAGCATTCTCAGAAAGTTCTTTGTGATGATTGCATTCAAGTCACAGAATTGAACATTCCCTTTCACAGAGCAGGTTTGAAACCCTCTTTTTGTAGTGTGTGTAAGTGGACATTTGGAGCGCTTTCCGGCCTAAGGTGAAAAAGGAAATATCTTCCCATAAAAACTAGACAGAAGCATTCTCAGAAACTTACTCGTGATGTGTGTCCTCAACTAAAGGAGTAGAACATTTCTATTCATAGAGAAGTTTTGAAACGCTCTTTTTGTGGAATCTGCAAGTGGATATTTGGCTAGTTTTGAGGATTTCGTTGGAAGCGGAAATTCATACAAATTGCAGACTGCAAGCGTTCTGAGAAACATCTTTGTGATGTTTGTATTCAGGACACAGAGTTGAACATTCCCTATCATAGAGCAGGTTTGAATCACTCCTTTTGTAGTATCTGGAAGTGGACATTTGGAGCGCTTTCAGGCCTATGTTGGAAAAGGAAATATCTTCCCATAACAACTAGACAGAAGCATTCTCAGAAACTTATTTGAGATGTGTGTACTCAACTAAGAGAATTGAACCACCGTTTTGAAGGAGCAGTTTTGAAACTCTCTTTTTCTGGAATCTGCAAGTGGATATTTGGCTAGCTTTGGGGATTTCGCTGGAAGCGGGAATACATATAAAAAGCACACAGCAGCGTTCTGAGAAACTGCTTTCTGATGTTTGCATTCAAGTCAAAAGTTGAACACTCCCTTTCATAGAGCAGTCTTGAAACACCCCTTTTGTAGTATCTGGAACTGGACTTTTGGAGCGATTTCAGGGCTAAGGTGAAAAAGGAAATATCTTCCCATAAAAACTGGACAGAAGCATTCTCAGAAACTTGTTTATGCTGTATCTACTCAACTAACAAAGTTGAACCTTTCTTTTGATAGAGCAGTTTTGAAATGCTCTTTTTGTGGAATCTGCAAGTGGATATTTGGCTAGTTTTGAGGATTTCGTTGGAAGCGGGAATTCATACAAATTGCAGACTGCAGCGTTCTGAGAAACATCTTTGTGATGTTTGTATTCAGGACAGAGAATTGAACATTCCCTATCATAGAGCAGGTTTGAATCACTCCTTTTGTAGTATCTGGAAGTGGACATTTGGAGCGCTTTCAGGCCTATGTTGAAAAAGGAAATATCTTCCCATAACAACTAGACACAAGCATTCTCAGAAACTTGTTTGTGATGTGTGCCCTCTACTGACAGAGTTGAACCTTTCTTTTCATAGAGCAGTTTTGAAACACTCTTTTTGTAGAATCTGCAAGAGGATATTTGCCTAGCCTTGAGGATTTCGTTGGAAACGGGATTGTCTTCAGATAAAATCTAGACAGAAGCATTCTCAGAAACTTCTTTGGGATGTTTGCATTCAAGTCACAGAGTAGAACATTCCCTTTGGTAGAGCAGGTTTGAAACACTCTTTTTGTAGTATCTGGAAGTGGACATTTGGAGCGCTTTCAGGCCCATGTTGGAAAGGGAAATATCTTCCCGTAACAACTAGGCAGAAGCATTCTCAGAAACTTATTTGAGATGTGTGTACTCAACTAAGAGAATTGAACCACCGTTTTGAAGGAGCAGTTTTGAAACACTCTTTTTCTGGAATCTGCAAGAGTATATTTGCCTAGCCTTGAGAATTTCGTTGGAAACGGGATTGTCTTCAGATAAAATCTAGACAGAAGCATTCTCAGAAACTTCTTTGGGATGCTTGCATTCAAGTCACAGAGTAGAACATTCCCTTTGGTAGAGCAGGTTTGAAACACTCTTTTTGTAGTATCTGGAAGTGGACATTTGGAGCGCTTTCAGGCCTACGTTGGAAAAGGAAATATCTTCCCATAACAACTAGACAGAAGCATTCTCAGAAACTAGTTTCTGATGTGTGTCCTCAACTAACACAGTTGAACATTTCTTTAGACAGAACAGTTTTGAAACTCTCTTTTTGTGGAATCTGCAAGTGGCTATTTGGCTAGATTTGAGGATTTCGTTGGAAACGGGATTACATATAAAAAGCAGACAGCAGCAGTCTCAGAAAGTTCTTTGTGATGATTGCATTCAAGTCACAGAATTGAACATTCCCTTTCACAGAGCAGGTTTGAAACACTCTTTTTGTAGTGTGTGTAAGTGGACATTTGGAGCACTTACCGGCCTAAGGTGAAAAAGGAAATATCTTCCCATAAAAACTAGACAGAAGCACTCTCAGAAACTTACTCGTGATGTGTGTCCTCAACTAAAGGAGTAGAACCTTTCTTTTCATAGAGAAGTTTTGAAACGCTCTTTTTGTGGAATCTGCAAGTGGATATTTGGCTAGTTTGGAGGATTTCGTTGGAAGCGGGAATTCATACAAATTGCAGACTGCAGCATTCTCAGAAACTTGTTTATGCTGTATCTACTCAACTAACAAAGTTGAACCTTTCTTTTGATAGAGCAGTTTTGAAATGCTCTTTTTGTGGAATCTGCAAGTGGATATTTGGCTAGTTTTGAGGATTTCGTTGGAAGCGGGAATTCATACAAATTGCAGACTGCAGCGTTCTGAGAAACATCTTTGTGATGTTTGTATTCAGGACAGAGAGTTGAACATTCCCTATCATAGAGCAGGTTGGAATCACTCCTTTTGTAGTATCTGGAAGTGGACATTTGGAGCGCTTTCTGGCCTATGTTGAAAAAGGAAATATCTTCCCATAACAACTAGACACAAGCATTCTCAGAAACTTGTTTGTGATGTGTGCCCTCTACTGACAGAGTTGAACCTTTCTTTTCATAGAGCACTTTTGAAACACTCTTTTTGTAGAATCTGCAAGAGGATATTTGCATAGCTTTGAGGATTTCGTGGGAAACGGGATTGTCTTCAGGTAAAATCTAGACAGAAGCATTCTCAGAAACTTCTTTGGGATGTTTGCATTCAAGTCACAGAGTAGAACATTCCCTTTGGTAGAGCAGGTTTGAAACACTCTTTTTGTAGTATCTGGAAGTGGACATTTGGAGCGCTTTCAGGCCCATGTTGGAAAGGGAAATATCTTCCCGTAACAACTAGGCAGAAAGCATTCTCAGCAAACTTATTTGAGATGTGTATACTCAACTAAGAGAATTGAACCACCGTTTTGAAGGAGCAGTTTTGAAACACTCTTTTTCTGGAATCTGCAAGAGGATATTTGCCTAGCCTTGAGGATTTCGTTGGAAACGGGATTGTCTTCAGATAAAATCTAGACAGAAGCATTCTCAGAAACTTCTTTGGGATGTTTGCATTCAAGTCACAGAGTAGAACATTCCCTTTGGTAGAGCAGGTTTGAAACACTCTTTTTTTAGTATATGGAAGTGGACATTTGGAGCGCTTTCAGGCCTACGTTGGAAAAGGAAATATCTTCCCATAACAACTAGACAGAAGCATTCTCAGAAACTAGTTTCTGATGTGTGTCCTCAACTAACACAGTTGAACATTTCTTTAGACAGAACAGTTTTGAAACACTCTTTTTGTGGAATCTGCAAGTGGCTATTTGGCTAGATTTGAGGATTTCGTTGGAAACGGGATTACATATAAAAAGCAGACAGCAGCATTCTCAGAAAGTTCTTTGTGATGATTGCATTCAAGTCACAGAATTGAACATTCCCTTTCACAGAGCAGGTTTGAAACACTCTTTTTGTAGTGTGTGTAAGTGGACATTTGGAGCACTTTCCGGCCTAAGGTGAAAAAGGAAATATCTTCCCATACAAACTAGACAGAAGCATTCTCAGAAACTTACTCGTGATGTGTGTCCTCAACTAAAGGAGTAGAACCTTTCTATTCATAGAGAAGTTTTGAAACGCTCTTTTTGTGGAATCTCCAAGTGGATATTTGGCTAGTTTTGAGGATTTCGTTGGAAGCGGGAATTCATACAAATTGCAGACTGCAGCGTTCTGAGAAACATCTTTGTGATGTTTGTATTCAGGACACAGAGATGAACATTCCCTATCATAGAGCAGGTTGGAATCACTCCTTTTGTAGTATCTGGAAGTGGACATTTGGAGCGCTTTCAGGCCTATGTTGAAAAAGGAAATATCTTCCCATAACAACTAGACACAAGCATTCTCAGAAACTTATTTGAGATGTGTGTACTCAACTAAGAGAATTGAACCACCGTTTTGAAGGAGCAGTTTTGAAACTCTCTTTTTCTGGAATCTGCAAGTGGATATTTGGCTAGCTTTGGGGATTTCGCTGGAAGCGGGAATACATATAAAAAGCACACAGCAGCGTTCTGAGAAACTGCTTTCTGATGTTTGCATTCAAGTCAAAAGTTGAACACTCCCTTTCATAGAGCAGTCTTGAAACACCCCTTTTGTAGTATCTGGAACTGGACTTTTGGAGCGATTTCAGGGCTAAGGTGAAAAAGGAAATATCTTCCCATAAAAACTGGACAGAAGCA
Organism: Homo sapiens; assembly: GCF_000001405.40. NCBI lineage: Eukaryota > Metazoa > Chordata > Mammalia > Primates > Hominidae > Homo > Homo sapiens. Next base: position 20,359,827 of record NC_000018.10, read on the forward strand.
TTCTCAGAAACTTGTTTATGCTGTATCTACTCAACTAACAAAGTTGAACCTTTCTTTTGATAGAGCAGTTTTGAAATGGTCTTTTTGTGGAATCTGCAAGTGGATATTTGGCTAGTTTTGAGGATTTCGTTGGAAGCGGGAATTCATACAAATTGCAGACTGCAGCGTTCTGAGAAACATCTTTGTGATGTTTGTATTCAGGACACAGAGTTGAACATTCCCTATCATAGAGCAGGTTGGAATCACTCCTTTTGTAGTATCTGGAAGTGGACATTTGGAGCGCTTTCAGGCCTATTTTGGAAAGGGAAATATCTTCCCGTAACAACTATGCAGAAGCATTCTCAGAAACTTGTTTGTGATGTGTGCCCTCTACTGACAGAGTTGAACCTTTCTTTTCATAGAGCAGTTTTGAAACACTCTTTTTGTAGAATCTGCAAGAGGATATTTGCATAGCTTTGAGGATTTCGTGGGAAACGGGATTGTCTTCAGGTAAAATCTAGACAGAAGCATTCTCAGAAACTTCTTTGGGATGTTTGCATTCAAGTCACAGAGTAGAACATTCCCTTTGGTAGAGCAGGTTTGAAACACTCTTTTTGTAGTATCTGGAAGTGGACATTTGGAGCGCTTTCAGGCCCATGTTGGAAAGGGAAATATCTTCCCGTAACAACTAGGCAGAAGCATTCTCAGAAACTTATTTGAGATGTGTGTACTCAACTAAGAGAATTGAACCACCGTTTTGAAGGAGCAGTTTTGAAACACTCTTTTTCTGGAATCTGCAAGAGTATATTTGCCTAGCCTTGAGGATTTCGTTGGAAACGGGATTGTCTTCAGAGAAAATCTAGACAGAAGCATTCTCAGAAACTTCTTTGGGATGTTTGTATTCAAGTCACAGAGTAGAACATTCCCTTTGGTAGAGCAGGTTTCAAACACTCTTTTTTTAGTATATGGAAATGGACATTTGGAGCGCTTTCAGGCCTACGTTGGAAAAGGAAATATCTTCCCATAACAACTAGACAGAAGCATTCTCAGAAACTAGTTTCTGATGTGTGTCCTCAACTAACACAGTTGAACTTTTCTTTAGACAGAACAGTTTTGAAACACTCTTTTTGTGGAATCTGCAAGTGGATATTGGGATAGATTTGAGGATTTCGTTGGAAACGGGATCACATATAAAAAGCAGTCAGCAGCATTCTCAGAAAGTTCTTTGTGATGATTGCATTCAAGTCACAGAATTGAACATTCCCTTTCACAGAGCAGGTTTGAAACACTCTTTTTGTAGTGTGTGTAAGTGGACATTTGGAGCGCTTTCCGGCCTAAGGTGAAAAAGGACATATCTTCCCATAAAAACTAGACAGAAGCATTCTCAGAAACTTACTCGTGATGTGTGTCCTCAACTAAAGGAGTAGAACCTTTCTATTCATAGAGAAGTTTTGAAACGCTCTTTTTGTGGAATCTCCAAGTGGATATTTGGCTAGTTTTGAGGATTTCGTTGGAAGCGGGAATTCATACAAATTGCAGACTGCAGCGTTCTGAGAAACATCTTTGTGATGTTTGTATTCAAGACACAGAGATGAACATTCCCTATCATAGAGCATGTTGGAATCACTCCATTTGTAGTATCTGGAAGTGGACATTTGGAGCGCTTTCAGGCCTATGTTGAAAAAGGAAATATCTTCCCATAACAACTAGACACAAGCATTCTCAGAAACTTATTTGAGATGTGTGTACTCAACTAAGAGAATTGAACCACCGTTTTGAAGGAGCAGTTTTGAAACACTCTTTTTCTGGAATCTGCAAGTGGATATTTGGCTAGCTTTGGGGATTTCGCTGGAAGCGGGAATACATATAAAAAGCACACAGCAGCGTTCTGAGAAACTGCTTTCTGATGTTTGCATTCAAGTCAAAAGTTGAACACTCCCTTTCATAGAGCAGTCTTGAAACACCCCTTTTGTAGTATCTGGAACTGGACTTTTGGAGCGATTTCAGGGCTAAGGTGAAAAAGGAAATATCTTCCCATAAAAACTGGACAGAAGCATTCTCAGAAACTTGGTTATGCTGTATCTACTCAACTAACAAAGTTGAACCTTTCTTTTGATAGAGCAGTTTTGAAATGGTCTTTTTGTGGAATCTGCAAGTGGATATTTGGCTAGTTTTGAGGATTTCGTTGGAAGCGGGAATTCATACAAATTGCAGACTGCAGCGTTCTGAGAAACATCTTTGTGATGTTTGTATTCAGGACAGAGAGTTGAACATTCCCTATCATAGAGCAGGTTGGAATCACTCCTTTTGTAGTATCTGGAAGTGGATATTTGGAGCGCTTTCAGGCCTATGTTGAAAAAGGAAATATCTTCCCATAACAACTAGACACAAGCATTCTCAGAAACTTGTTGGTGATGTGTTTCCTCTACTGACAGAGTTGAACCTTTCTTTTCATAGAGCAGTTTCGAAACACTCTTTTTGTAGAATCTGCAAGAGGATATTTGCATAGCTCTGAGGATTTCGTGGGAAACGGGATTGTCTTCAGGTAAAATCTAGACAGAAGCATTCTCAGAAACTTCTTTGGGATGTTTGCATTCAAGTCACAGAGTAGAACATTCCCTTTGGTAGAGCAGGTTTGAAACACTCTTTTTGTAGTATCTGGAAGTGGACATTTGGAGCGCTTTCAGGCCTATGTTGGAAAGGGAAATATCTTCCCGTAACAACTAGGCAGAAGCATTCTCAGAAACTTATTTGAGATGTGTGTACTCAACTAAGAGAATTGAACCACCGTTTTGAAGGAGCAGTTTTGAAACACTCTTTTTCTGTAATCTGCAAGAGTATATTTGCCTAGCCTTGAGGATTTCGTTGGAAACGGGATTGTCTTCAGGTAAAATCTAGACAGAAGCATTCTCAGAAACTTCTTTGGGATGTTTGCATTCAAGTCACAGAGTAGAACATTCCCTTTGGTAGAGCAGGTTTGAAACACTCTTTTTTTAGTATATGGAAGTGGACATTTGGAGCGCTTTCAGGCCTACGTTGGAAAAGGAAATATCTTCCCATAACAACTAGACAGAAGCATTCTCAGAAACTAGTTTCTGATGTGTGTCCTCAACTAACACAGTTGAACATTTCTTTAGACAGAACAGTTTTGAAACACTCTTTTTGTGGAATCTGCAAGTGGCTATTTGGCTAGATTTGAGGATTTCGTTGGAAACGGGATTACATATAAAAAGCAGTCAGCAGCATTCTCAGAAAGTTCTTTGTGATGATTGCATTCAAGTCACAGAATTGAACATTCCCTTTCACAGAGCAGGTTTGAAACACTCTTTTTGTAGTGTGTGTAAGTGGACATTTGGAGCGCTTTCCGGCCTAAGGTGAAAAAGGAAATATCTTCCCATAAAAACTAGACAGAAGCATTCTCAGCAAACTTACTCGTGATGTGTGTCCTCAACTAAAGGAGTAGAACCTTTCTTTTCATAGAGAAGTTTTGAAACGCTCTTTTTGTGGAATCTGCAAGTGGATATTTGGCTAGTTTTGAGGATTTCGTTGGAAGCGGGAATTCATACAAATTGCAGACTGCCGTTCTGAGAAACATCTTTGTGATGTTTGTATTCAGGACACAGAGTTGAACATTCCCTATCATAGAGCAGGTTTGAATCACTCCTTTTGTAGTATCTGGAAGTGGACATTTGGAGCGCTTTCAGGCCTATGTTGGAAAAGGAAATATCTTCCCATAACAACTAGACAGAAGCATTCTCAGAAACTTATTTGAGATGTGTGTACTCAACTAAGAGAATTGAACCACCGTTTTGAAGGAGCAGTTTTGAAACTCTCTTTTTCTGGAATCTGCAAGTGGATATTTGGCTAGCTTTGGGGATTTCGCTGGAAGCGGGAATACATATAAAAAGCACACAGCAGCGTTCTGAGAAACTGCTTTCTGATGTTTGCATTCAAGTCAAAAGTTGAACACTCCCTTTCATAGAGCAGTCCTGAAACACTCCTTTTGTAGTATCTGGAACTGGACTTTTGGAGCGCTTTCAGGGCTAAGGTGAAAAAGGAAATATCTTCCCATAAAAACTGGACAGAAGCATTCTCAGAAACTTGTTTATGCTGTATCTACTCAACTAACAAAGTTGAACCTTTCTTTTGATAGAGCAGTTTTGAAATGGTCTTTTTGTGGAATCTGCAAGTGGATATTTGGCTAGTTTTGAGGATTTCGTTGGAAGCGGGAATTCATACAAATTGCAGACTGCAGCGTTCTGAGAAACATCTTTGTGATGTTTGTATTCAGGACAGAGAGTTGAACATTCCCTATCATAGAGCAGGTTGGAATCACTCCTTTTGTAGTATCTGGAAGTGGACATTTGGATTGCTTTCAGGCCTATGTTGAAAAAGGAAATATCTTCCCATAACAACTAGACACAAGCATTCTCAGAAACTTGTTTGTGATGTGTGCCCTCTACTGACAGAGTTGAACCTTTCTTTTCATAGAGCAGTTTTGAAACACTCTTTTTGTAGAATCTGCAAGAGGATATTTGCATAGCTTTGAGGATTTCGTGGGAAACGGGATTGTCTTCAGGTAAAATCTAGACAGAAGCATTCTCAGAAACTTCTTTGGGATGTTTGCATTCAAGTCACAGAGCAGAACATTCCCTTTGGTAGAGCAGGTTTGAAACACTCTTTTTGTAGTATCTGGAAGTGGACATTTGGAGCGCTTTCAGGCCTATGTTGGAAAGGGAAATATCTTCCCGTAACAACTAGGCAGAAGCATTCTCAGAAACTTATTTGAGATGTGTGTACTCAACTAAGAGAATTGAACCACCGTTTTGAAGGAGCAGTTTTGAAACACTCTTTTTCTGGAATCTGCAAGAGGATATTTGCCTAGCCTTGAGGATTTCGTTGGAAACGGGATTGTCTTCAGATCAAATCTAGACAGAAGCATTCTCAGAAACTTCTTTGGGATGTTTGCATTCAAGTCACAGAGTAGAACATTCCCTTTGGTAGAGCAGGTTTGAAACACTCTTTTTTTAGTATATGGAAGTGGACATTTGGAGCGCTTTCAGGCCTACGTTGGAAAAGGAAATATCTTCCCATAACAACTAGACAGAAGCATTCCAGAAACTAGTTTCTGATGTGTGTCCTCAACTAACACAGTTGTACATTTCTTTATACAGAACAGTTTTGAAACACTCTTTTTGTGGAATCTGCAAGTGGATATTGGGCTAGATTTGAGGATTTCGTTGGAAACGGGATTACATATAAAAAGCAGACAGCAGCATTCTCAGAAAGTTCTTTGTGATGATTGCATTCAAGTCACAGAATTGAACATTCCCTTTCACAGAGCAGGTTTGAAACACTCTTTTTGTAGTGTGTGTAAGTGGACATTTGGAGCGCTTTCCGGCCTAAGGTGAAAAAGGAAATATCTTCCCATAAAAACTAGACAGAAGCATTCTCAGAAACTTACTCGTGATGTGTGTCCTCAACTAAAGGAGTAGAACCTTTCTTTTCATAGAGAAGTTTTGAAACGCTCTTTTTGTGGAATCTGCAAGTGGATATTTGGCTAGTTTTGAGGATTTCGTTGGAAGCGGGAATTCATACAAATTGCAGACTGCAGCGTTCTGAGAAACATCTTTGTGATGTTTGTATTCAGGACAGAGAGTTGAACATTCCCTATCATAGAGCAGGTTGGAATCACTCCTTTTGTAGTATCTGGAAGTGGACATTTGGAGCGCTTTCAGGCCTATGTTGAAAAAGGAAATATCTTCCCATAACAACTAGACACAAGCATTCTCAGAAACTTATTTGAGATGTGTGTACTCAACTAAGAGAATTGAACCACCGGTTTGAAGGAGCAGTTTTGAAACACTCTTTTTCTGGAATCTGCAAGTGGATATTTGGCTAGCTTTGGGGATTTCGCTGGAAGCGGGAATACATATAAAAAGCACACAGCAGCGTTCTGAGAAACTGCTTTCTGATGTTTGCATTCAAGTCAAAAGTTGAACACTCCCTTTCATAGAGCAGTCCTGAAACACTCCTTTTGTAGTATCTGGAACTGGACTTTTGGAGCGCTTTCAGGGCTAAGGTGAAAAAGGAAATATCTTCCCATAAAAACTGGACAGAAGCATTCTCAGAAACTTGTTTATGCTGTATCTACTCAACTAACAAAGTTGAACCTTTCTTTTGATAGAGCAGTTTTGAAATGGTCTTTTTGTGGAATCTGCAAGTGGATATTTGGCTAGTTTTGAGGATTTCGTTGGAAGCGGGAATTCATACAAATTGCAGACTGCAGCGTTCTGAGAAACATCTTTGTGATGTTTGTATTCAGGACACAGAGTTGAACATTCCCTATCATAGAGCAGGTTGGAATCACTCCTTTTGTAGTATCTGGAAGTGGACATTTGGAGCGCTTTCTGGCCTATGTTGAAAAAGGAAATATCTTCCCATAACAACTAGACACAAGCATTCTCAGAAAGTTGTTTGTGATGTGTGCCCTCTACTGACAGAGTTGAACCTTTCTTTTCATAGAGCAGTTTTGAAACACTCTTTTTGTAGAATCCGCAAGAGGATATTTGCATAGCTTTGAGGATTTCGTGGGAAACGGGATTGTCTTCAGGTAAAATCTAGACAGAAGCATTCTCAGAAACTTCTTTGGGATGTTTGCATTCAAGTCACAGAGTAGAACATTCCCTTTGGTAGAGCAGGTTTGAAACACTCTTTTTGTAGTATCTGGAAGTGGACATTTGGAGCGCTTTCAGGCCCATGTTGGAAAGGGAAATATCTTCCCGTAACAACTAGGCAGAAGCATTCTCAGAAACTTATTTGAGATGTGTGTACTCAACTAAGAGAATTGAACCACCGTTTTGAAGGAGCAGTTTTGAAACACTCTTTTTCTGGAATCTGCAAGAGGATATTTGCCTAGCCTTGAGGATTTCGTTGGAAACGGGATTGTCTTCAGATCAAATCTAGACAGAAGCATTCTCAGAAACTTCTTTGGGATGTTTGCATTCAAGTCACAGAGTAGAACATTCCCTTTGGTAGAGCAGGTTTGAAACACTCTTTTTTTAGTATATGGAAGTGGACATTTGGAGCGCTTTCAGGCCTACGTTGGAAAAGGAAATATCTTCCCATAACAACTAGACAGAAGCATTCTCAGAAACTAGTTTCTGATGTGTGTCCTCAACTAACACAGTTGAACATTTCTTTAGACAGAACAGTTTTGAAACACTCTTTTTGTGGAATCTGCAAGTGGCTATTTGGCTAGATTTGAGGATTTCGTTGGAAACGGGATTACATATAAAAAGCAGACAGCAGCATTCTCAGAAAGTTCTTTGTGATGATTGCATTCAAGTCACAGAATTGAACATTCCCTTTCACAGAGCAGGTTTGAAACACTCTTTTTGTAGTGTGTGTAAGTGGACATTTGGAGCACTTACCGGCCTAAGGTGAAAAAGGAAATATCTTCCCATAAAAACTAGACAGAAGCATTCTCAGAAACTTACTCGTGATGTGTGTCCTCAACTAAAGGAGTAGAACCTTTCTTTACATAGAGAAGTTTTGAAACGCTCTTTTTGTGGAATCTGCAAGTGGATATTTGGCTAGTTTTGAGGATTTCGTTGGAAGCGGGAATTCATACAAATTGCAGACTGCAGCATTCTCAGAAACTTATTTGAGATGTGTGTACTCAACTAAGAGAATTGAACCACCGTTTTGAAGGAGCAGTTTTGAAACACTCTTTTTCTGGAATCTGCAAGTGGATATTTGGCTAGCTTTGGGGATTTCGCTGGAAGCGGGAATACATATAAAAAGCACACAGCAGCATTCTCAGAAACTTATTTGAGATGTGTGTACTCAACTAAGAGAATTGAACCACCGTTTTGAAGGAGCAGTTTTGAAACACTCTTTTTCTGGAATCTGCAAGTGGATATTTGGCTAGCTTTGGGGATTTCGCTGGAAGCGGGAATACATATAAAAAGCACACAGCAGCGTTCTGAGAAACTGCTTTCTGATGTTTGCATTCAAGTCAAAAGTTGAACACTCCCTTTCATAGAGCAGTCTTGAAACACCCCTTTTGTAGTATCTGGAACTGGACTTTTGGAGCGATTTCAGGGCTAAGGTGAAAAAGGAAATATCTTCCCATAAAAACTGGACAGAAGCATTCTCAGAAACTTGTTTATGCTGTATCTACTCAACTAACAAAGTTGAACCTTTCTTTTGATAGAGCAGTTTTGAAATGGTCTTTTTGTGGAATCTGCAAGTGGATATTTGGCTAGTTTTAAGGATTTCGTTGGAAGCGGGAATTCATACAAATTGCAGACTGCAGCGTTCTGAGAAACATCTTTGTGATGTTTGTATTCAGGACACAGAGTTGAACATTCCCTATCATAGAGCAGGTTGGAATCACTCCTTTTGTAGTATCTGGAAGTGGACATTTGGAGCGCTTTCAGGCCTATGTTGAAAAAGGAAATATCTTCCCATAACAAGTAGACACAAGCATTCTCAGAAACTTGTTTGTGATGTGTGCCCTCTACTGACACAGTTGAATCTTTCTTTTCATAGAGCAGTTTCGAAACACTCTTTTTGTAGAATCTGCAAGAGGATATTTGCATAGCTTTGAGGATTTCGTGGGAAACGGGATTGTCTTCAGGTAAAATCTAGACAGAAGCATTCTCAGAAACTTCTTTGGGATGTTTGCATTCAAGTCACAGAGTAGAACATTCCCTTTGGTAGAGCAGGTTTGAAACACTCTTTTTGTAGTATCTGGAAGTGGACATTTGGAGCGCTTTCAGGCCCATGTTGGAAAGGGAAATATCTTCCCGTAACAACTAGGCAGAAGCATTCTCAGAAACTTATTTGAGATGTGTGTACTCAACTAAGAGAATTGAACCACCGTTTTGAAGGAGCAGTTTTGAAACACTCTTTTTCTGGAATCTGCAAGAGGATATTTGCCTAGCCTTGAGGATTTCGTTGGAAACGGGATTGTCTTCAGATCAAATCTAGACAGAAGCATTCTCAGAAACTTCTTTGGGATGTTTGCATTCAAGTCACAGAGTAGAACATTCCTTTTGGTAGAGCAGGTTTGAAACACTCTTTTTTTAGTATATGGAAGTGGACATTTGGAGCGCTTTCAGGCCTACGTTGGAAAAGGAAATATCTTCCCATAACAACTAGACAGAAGCAATCTCAGAAACTAGTTTCTGATGTGTGTCCTCAACTAACACAGTTGAACATTTCTTTAGACAGAACAGTTTTGAAACACTCTTTTTGTGGAATCTGCAAGTGGATATTTGGCTAGATTTGAGCATTTCGTTGGAAACGGGATTACATATAAAAAGCAGACAGCGGCATTCTCAGAAAGTTCTTTGTGATGATTGCATTCAAGTCACAGAATTGAACATTCCCTTTCACAGAGCAGGTTTGAAACACTCTTTTTGTACTGTGTGTAAGCGGACATTTGGAGCGCTTTCCGGCCTAAGGTGAAAAAGGAAATATCTTCCCATAAAAAGTAGACAGAAGCATTCTCAGAAACTTACTCGTGATGTGTGTACTCAACTAAAGGAGTAGAAACTTTCTTTTCATAGAGAAGTTTTGAAACGCTCTTTTTGTGGAATCTGCAAGTGGATATTTGGCTAGTTTTGAGGCTTTCGTTGGAAGCGGGAATTCATACAAATTGCAGACTGCAGCGTTCTGAGAAACATCTTTGTGATGTTTGTATTCAGGACACAGAGTTGAACATTCCCTATCATAGAGCAGGTTTGAATCACTCCTTTTGTAGTACCTGGAAGTGGACATTTGGAGCGCTTTCAGGCCTATGTTGGAAAAGGAAATATCTTCCCATAACAACTAGACAGAAGCATTCTCAGAAACTTATTTGAGATGTGTGTACTCAACTAAGAGAATTGAACCACCGTTTTGAAGGAGCAGTTTTGAAACACTCTTTTTCTGGAATCTGCAAGTGGATATTTGGCTAGCTTAGGGGATTTCGCTGGAAGCGGGAATACATATAAAAAGCACACAGCAGCGTTCTGAGAAACTTCTTTCTGATGTTCGCATTCAAGTCAAAAGTTGAACACTCCCTTTCATAGAGCAGTCTTGAAACTCCCCTTTTGTGGTATCTGGAAGTGGACATTTGGAGTGCTTTCAGGGCTAAGGTGAAAAAGGAAATATCTTCCCATAAAAACTGGACAGAAGCATTCTCAGAAACTTGTTTATGCTGTAACTACTCAGCTAACAAGTTGAACCTTTCTTTTGATAGAGCAGTTTTGAAATGCTCTTTTTGTGGAGTCTGCAAGTGGATATTGGGTTAGTTTTGAGGAATTCGTTGGAAGCGGGAATTCATACAAATTGCAGACTGCAGCGTTCTGAGAAACATCTTTGTGATGTTTGTATTCAGGACACAGAGTTGAACATTCCCTATCATAGAGCAGGTTGGAATCACTCCTTTTGTAGTATCTGGAAGTGGACATTTGGAGCGCTTTCAGGCCTATTTTGGAAAGGGAAATATCTTCCCGTAACAACTATGCAGAAGCATTCTCAGAAACTTGTTTGTGATGTGTGCCCTCTACTGACAGAGTTGAACCTTTCTTTTCATAGAGCAGTTTTGAAACACTCTTTTTGTAGAATCTGCAAGAGGATATTTGCATAGCTTTGAGGATTTCGTGGGAAACGGGATTGTCTTCAGGTAAAATCTAGACAGAAGCATTCTCAGAAACTTCTTTGGGATGTTTGCATTCAAGTCACAGAGTAGAACATTCCCTTTGGTAGAGCAGGTTTGAAACACTCTTTTTGTAGTATCTGGAAGTGGACATTTGGAGCGCTTTCAGGCCTATGTTGGAAAGGGAAATATCTTCCCGTAACAACTAGGCAGAAGCATTCTCAGAAACTTATTTGAGATGTGTGTACTCAACTAACAGAATTGAACCACCGTTTTGAAGGAGCAGTTTTGAAACACTCTTTTTCTGGAATCTGCAAGAGGATATTTGCCTAGCCTTGAGGATTTCGTTGGAAACGGGATTGTCTTCAGATCAAATCTAGACAGAAGCATTCTCAGAAACTTCTTTGGGATGTTTGCATTCAAGTCACAGAGTAGAACATTCCCTTTGGTAGAGCAGGTTTGAAACACTCTTTTTGTAGTGTGTGTAAGTGGACATTTGGAGCGCTTTCAGGCCTACGTTGGAAAAGGAAATATCTTCCCATAACAACTAGACAGAAGCATTCTCAGAAACTAGTTTCTGATGTGTGTCCTCAACTAACACAGTTGAACATTTCTTTAGACAGAACAGTTTTGAAACACTCTTTTTGTGGAATCTGCAAGTGGATATTTGGCTACATTTGAGGATTTCGTTGGAAACGGGATTACATATAAAAAGCAGACAGCAGCATTCTCAGAAAGTTCTTTGTGATGATTGCATTCAAGTCACAGAATTGAACATTCCCTTTCACAGAGCAGGTTTGAAACACTCTTTTTGTAGTGTGTGTAAGTGGACATTTGGAGCACTTTCCGGCCTAAGGTGAAAAAGGAAATATCTTCCCATAAAAACTAGACAGAAGCATTCTCAGAAACTTACTCGTGATGTGTGTCCTCAACTAAAGGAGTAGAACCTTTCTATTCATAGAGAAGTTTTGAAACGCTCTTTTTGTGGAATCTCCAAGTGGATATTTGGCTAGTTTTGAGGATTTCGTTGGAAGCGGGAATTCATACAAATTGCAGACTGCAGCGTTCTGAGAAACATCTTTGTGATGTTTGTATTCAGGACACAGAGTTGAACATTCCCTATCATAGAGCAGGTTTGAATCACTCCTTTTGTAGTATCTGGAAGTGGACATTTGGAGCGCTTTCAGGCCTATGTTGGAAAAGGAAATATCTTCCCATAACAACTAGACAGAAGCATTCTCAGAAACTTATTTGAGATGTGTGTACTCAACTAAGAGAATTGAACCACCGTTTTGAAGGAGCAGTTTTGAAACTCTCTTTTTCTGGAATCTGCAAGTGGATATTTGGCTAGCTTTGGGGATTTCGCTGGAAGCGGGAATACATATAAAAAGCACACAGCAGCGTTCTGAGAAACTGCTTTCTGATGTTTGCATTCAAGTCAAAAGTTGAACACTCCCTTTCATAGAGCAGTCTTGAAACACCCCTTTTGTAGTATCTGGAACTGGACTTTTGGAGCGATTTCAGGGCTAAGGTGAAAAAGGAAATATCTTCCCATAAAAACTGGACAGAAGCATTCTCAGAAACTTGTTTATGCTGTATCTACTCAACTAACAAAGTTGAACCTTTCTTTTGATAGAGCAGTTTTGAAATGGTCTTTTTGTGGAATCTGCAAGTGGATATTTGGCTAGTTTTGAGGATTTCGTTGGAAGCGGGAATTCATACAAATTGCAGACTGCAGCGTTCTGAGAAACATCTTTGTGATGTTTGTATTCAGGACAGAGAGTTGAACATTCCCTATCATAGAGCAGGTTGGAATCACTCCTTTTGTAGTATCTGGAAGTGGACATTTGGAGCGCATTCAGGCCTATGTTGAAAAAGGAAATATCTTCCCATAACAACTAGACACAAGCATTCTCAGAAACTTGTTTGTGATGTGTGCCCTCTACTGACAGAGTTGAACCTTTCTTTTCATAGAGCAGTTTTGAAACACTCTTTTTGTAGAATCTGCAAGAGGATATTTGCATAGCTTTGAGGATTTCGTGGGAAACGGGATTGTCTTCAGGTAAAATCTAGACAGAAGCATTCTCAGAAACTTCTTTGGGATGTTTGCATTCAAGTCACAGAGTAGAACATTCCCTTTGGTAGAGCAGGTTTGAAACACTCTTTTTGTAGTATCTGGAAGTGGACATTTGGAGCGCTTTCAGGCCTATGTTGGAAAGGGAAATATCTTCCCGTAACAACTAGGCAGAAGCATTCTCAGAAACTTATTTGAGATGTGTGTACTCAACTAAGAGAATTGAACCACCGTTTTGAAGGAGCAGTTTTGAAACACTCTTTTTCTGGAATCTGCAAGAGTATATTTGCCTAGCCTTGAGGATTTCGTTGGAAACGGGATTGTCTTCAGATAAAATCTAGACAGAAGCATTCTCAGAAACTTCTTTGGGATGTTTGCATTCAAGTCACAGAGTAGAACATTCCCTTTGGTAGAGCAGGTTTGAAACACTCTTTTTTTAGTATATGGAAGTGGACATTTGGAGCGCTTTCAGGCCTACGTTGGAAAAGGAAATATCTTCCCATAACAACTAGACAGAAGCATTCTCAGAAACTAGTTTCTGATGTGTGTCCTCAACTAACACAGTTGTACATTTCTTTATACAGAACAGTTTTGAAACACTCTTTTTGTGGAATCTGCAAGTGGATATTGGGCTAGATTTGAGGATTTCGTTGGAAACGGGATTACATATAAAAAGCAGACAGCAGCATTCTCAGAAAGTTCTTTGTGATGATTGCATTCAAGTCACAGAATTGAACATTCCTTTTCACAGAGCAGGTTTGAAACACTCTTTTTGTAGTGTGTGTAAGTGGACATTTGGAGCGCTTTCCGGCCTAAGGTGAAAAAGGAAATATCTTCCCATAAAAACTAGACAGAAGCATTCTCAGAAACTTACTCGTGATGTGTGTCCTCAACTAAAGGAGTAGAACCTTTCTATTCATAGAGAAGTTTTGAAACGCTCTTTTTGTGGAATCTCCAAGTGGATATTTGGCTAGTTTTGAGGATTTCGTTGGAAGCGGGAATTCATCCAAATTGCAGACTGCAGCATTCTCAGAAACTTATTTGAGATGTGTGTACTCAACTAAGAGAATTGAACCACCGTTTTGAAGGAGCAGTTTTGAAACACTCTTTTTCTGGAATCTGCAAGTGGATATTTGGCTAGCTTTGGGGATTTCGCTGGAAGCGGGAATACATATAAAAAGCACACAGCAGCATTCTCAGAAACTTATTTGAGATGTGTGTACTCAACTAAGAGAATTGAACCACCGTTTTGAAGGAGCAGTTTTGAAACACTCTTTTTCTGGAATCTGCAAGTGGATATCTGGCTAGCTTTGGGGATTTCGCTGGAAGCGGGAATACATATAAAAAGCACACAGCAGCGTTCTGAGAAACTGCTTTCTGATGTTTGCATTCAAGTCAAAAGTTGAACACTCCCTTTCATAGAGCAGTCCTGAAACACTCCTTTTGTAGTATCTGGAACTGGACTTTTGGAGCGCTTTCAGGGCTAAGGTGATAAAGGAAATATCTTCCCATAAAAACTGGACAGAAGCATTCTCAGAAACTTGTTTATGCTATATCTACTCAACTAACAAAGTTGAACCTTTCTTTTGATAGAGCAGTTTTGAAATGGTCTTTTTGTGGAATCTGCAAGTGGATATTTGGGTAGTTTTGAGGATTTCGTTGGAAGCGGGAATTCATACAAATTGCAGACTGCAGCGTTCTGAGAAACATCTTTGTGATGTTTGTATTCAGGACACAGAGTTGAACATTCCCTATCATAGAGCAGGTTGGGATCACTCCTTTTGTAGTATCTGGAAGTGGACATTTGGAGCGCTTTCAGGCCTATGTTGAAAAAGGAAAAATCTTCCCATAACAACTAGACAGAAGCATTCTCAGAAACTTGTTTGTGATGTGTGCCCTCTACTGACAGAGTTGAACCTTTCTTTTCATAGAGCAGTTTTGAAACACTCTTTTTGTAGAATCTGCAAGAGGATATTTGCATAGCTTTGAGGATTTCGTGGGAAACGGGATTGTCTTCAGGTAAAATCTAGACAGAAGCATTCTCAGAAACTGCTTTGGGATGTTTGCATTCAAGTCACAGAGTAGAACATTCCCTTTGGTAGAGCAGGTTTGAAACACTCTTTTTGTAGTATCTGGAAGTGGACATTTGGAGCGCTTTCAGGCCTATGTTGGAAAGGGAAATATCTTCCCTTAACAACTAGGCAGAAGCATTCTCAGAAACTTATTTGAGATGTGTGTACTCAACTAAGAGAATTGAACCACCGTTTTGAAGGAGCAGTTTTGAAACACTCTTTTTCTGCAATCTGCAAGAGTATATTTGCCTAGCCTTGAGGATTTCGTTGGAAACGGGATTGTCTTCAGAGAAAATCTAGACAGAAGCATTCTCAGAAACTTCTTTGGGATGCTTGCATTCAAGTCACAGAGTAGAACATTCCCTTTGGTAGAGCAGGTTTGAAACACTCTTTTTTTAGTATCTGGAAGTGGACATTTGGAGCGCTTTCAGGCCTACGTTGGAAAAGGAAATATCTTCCCATAACAACTAGACAGAAGCATTCTCAGAAACTAGTTTCTGATGTGTGTCCTCAACTAACACAGTTGTACATTTCTTTAGACAGAACAGTTTTGAAACACTCTTTTTGTGGAATCTGCAAGTGGATATTGGGCTAGATTTGAGGATTTCGTTGGAAACGGGATTACATATAAAAAGCAGACAGCAGCATTCTCAGAACGTTCTTTGTGATGATTGCATTCAAGTCACAGAATTGAACATTCCCTTTCACAGAGCAGGTTTGAAACACTCTTTTTGTAGTGTGTGTAAGTGGACATTTGGAGCACTTTCCGGCCTAAGGTGAAAAAGGAAATATCTTCCCATAAAAACTAGACAGAAGCATTCTCAGAAACTTACTCGTGATGTGTGTCCTCAACTAAAGGAGTAGAACCTTTCTTTTCATAGAGAAGTTTTGAAACGCTCTTTTTGTGGAATCTGCAAGTGGATATTTGGCTAGTTTTGAGGATTTCGTTGGAAGCGGGAATTCATACAAATTGCAGACTGCAGCATTCCCAGAAACTTATTTGAGATGTGTGTACTCAACTAAGAGAATTGAACCACCGTTTTGAAGGAGCAGTTTGGAAACACTCTTTTTCTGGAATCTGCAAGTGGATATTTGGCTAGCTTTGGGGATTTCGCTGGAAGCGGGAATACATATAAAAAGCACACAGCAGCATTCTCAGAAACTTATTTGAGATGTGTGTACTCAACTAAGAGAATTGAACCACCGTTTTGAAGGAGCAGTTTTGAAACTCTCTTTTTCTGGAATCTGCAAGTGGATATTTGGCTAGCTTTGGGGATTTCGCTGGAAGCGGGAATACATATAAAAAGCACACAGCAGCGTTCTGAGAAACTGCTTTCTGATGTTTGCATTCAAGTCAAAAGTTGAACACTCCCTTTCATAGAGCAGTCTTGAAACACCCCTTTTGTAGTATCTGGAACTGGACTTTTGGAGCGATTTCAGGGCTAAGGTGAAAAAGGAAATATCTTCCCATAAAAACTGGACAGAAGCATTCTCAGAAACTTGTTTATGCTGTATCTACTCAACTAACAAAGTTGAACCTTTCTTTTGATAGAGCAGTTTTGAAATGGTCTTTTTGTGGAATCTGCAAGTGGATATTTGGCTAGTTTTGAGGATTTCGTTGGAAGCGGGAATTCATACAAATTGCAGACTGCAGCGTTCTGAGAAACATCTTTGTGATGTTTGTATTCAGGACACAGAGTTGAACATTCCCTATCATAGAGCAGGTTGGAATCACTCCTTTTCTAGTATCTGGAAGTGGACATTTGGAGCGCTTTCAGGCCCATGTTGAAAAAGGAAATATCTTCCCATAACAACTAGGCAGAAGCATTCTCAGAAACTTGTTTGTGATGTGTGCCCTCTACTGACAGAGTTGAACCTTTCTTTTCATAGAGCAGTTTTGAAACACTCTTTTTGTAGAATCTGCAAGAGGATATTTGCATAGCTTTGAGGATTTCGTGGGAAACGGGATTGTCTTCAGGTAAAATCTAGACAGAAAGCATTCTCAGAAACTTCTTTGGGATGTTTGCATTCAAGTCACAGAGTAGAACATTCCCTTTGGTAGAGCAGGTTTGAAACACTCTTTTTGTAGTATCTGGAAGTGGACATTTGGAGCACTTTCAGGCCCATGTTGGAAAGGGAAATATCTTCCCGTAACAACTAGGCAGAAGCATTCTCAGAAACTTATTTGAGATGTGTGTACTCAACTAAGAGAATTGAACCACCGTTTTGAAGGAGCAGTTTTGAAACACTCTTTTTCTGGAATCTGCAAGAGTATATTTGCCTAGCCTTGAGGATTTCGTTGGAAACGGGATTGTCTTCAGAGAAAATCTAGACAGAAGCATTCTCAGAAACTTCTTTGGGATGCTTGCATTCAAGTCACAGAGTAGAACATTCCCTTTGGTAGAGCAGGTTTGAAACACTCTTTTTGTAGTATCTGGAAGTGGACATTTGGAGCGCTTTCAGGCCTACGTTGGAAAAGGAAATATCTTCCCATAACAACTAGACAGAAGCATTCTCAGAAACTAGTTTCTGATGTGTGTCCTCAACTAACACAGTTGAACATTTCTTTAGACAGAACAGTTTTGAAACACTCTTTTTGTGGAATCTGCAAGTGGCTATTTGGCTAGATTTGAGGATTTCGTTGGAAACGGGATTACATATAAAAAGCAGTCAGCAGCATTCTCAGAAACTTCTTTGTGATGATTGCATTCAAGTCACAGAATTGAACATTCCCTTTCACAGAGCAGGTTTGAAACACTCTTTTTGTAGTGTGTGTAAGTGGACATTTGGAGCGCTTTCCGGCCTAAGGTGAACAAGGAAATATCTTCCCATAAAAACTAGACAGAAGCATTCTCAGAAACTTACTCGTGATGTGTGTACTCAACTAAAGGAGTAGAACCTTTCTTTTCATAGAGAAGTTTTGAAACGCTCTTTTTGTGGAATCTGCAAGTGGATATTTGGCTAGTTTTGAGGATTTCGTTGGAAGCGGGAATTCATACAAATTGCAGACTGCAGCGTTCTGAGAAACATCTTTGTGATGTTTGTATTCAGGACACAGAGTTGAACATTCCCTATCATAGAGCAGGTTTGAATCACTCCTTTTCTAGTATCTGGAAGTGGACATTTGGAGCGCTTTCAGGCCTATGTTGGAAAAGGAAATATCTTCCCATAACAAATAGACAGAAGCATTCTCAGAAACTTATTTGAGATGTGTGTACTCAACTAAGAGAATTGAACCACCGTTTTGAAGGAGCAGTTTTGAAACACTCTTTTTCTGGAATCTGCAAGTGGATATTTGGCTAGCTTTGGGGATTTCGCTGGAAGCGGGAATACATATAAAAAGCACACAGCAGCGTTCTGAGAAACTGCTTTCTGATGTTTGCATTCAAGTCAAAAGTTGAACACTCCCTTTCATAGAGCAGTCTTGAAACACCCCTTTTGTAGTATCTGGAACTGGACTTTTGGAGCGATTTCAGGGCTAAGGTGAAAAAGGAAATATCTTCCCATAAAAACTGGACAGAAGCATTCTCAGAAACTTGTTTATGCTGTATCTACTCAACTAACAAAGTTGAACCTTTCTTTTGATAGAGCAGTTTTGAAATGCTCTTTTTGTGGAATCTGCAAGTGGATATTTGGCTAGTTTTGAGGATTTCGTTGGAAGCGGGAATTCATACAAATTGCAGACTGCAGCGTTCTGAGAAACATCTTTGTGATGTTTGTATTCAGGACACAGAGTTGAACATTCCCTATCATAGAGCAGGTTGGAATCACTCCTTTTGTAGTATCTGGAAGTGGACATTTGGAGCGCTTTCAGGCCTATGTTGGAAAAGGAAATATCTTCCTATAACAACTAGACAGAAGCATTCTCAGAAACTTGTTTGTGATGTGTGCCCTCTACTGACAGAGTTGAACCTTTCTTTTCATAGAGCAGTTTTGAAACACTCTTTTTGTAGAATCCGCAAGAGGATATTTGCATAACTTTGAGGATTTCGTGGGAAACGGGATTGTCTTCAGGTAAAATCTAGACAGAAGCATTCTCAGAAACTTCTTTGGGATGTTTGCATTCAAGTCACAGAGTAGAACATTCCCTTTGGTAGAGCAGGTTTGAAACACTCTTTTTGTAGTATCTGGAAGTGGACATTTGGAGCGCTTTCAGGCCTATGTTGGAAAGGGAAATATCTTCCCGTAACAACTAGGCAGAAGCATTCTCAGAAACTTATTTGAGATGTGTGTACTCAACTAAGAGAATTGAACCACCGTTTTGAAGGAGCAGTTTTGAAACCCTCTTTTTCTGGAATCTGCAAGAGTATATTTGCCTAGCCTTGAGGAATTCGTTGGAAACGGGATTGTCTTCAGATAAAATCTAGACAGAAGCATTCTCAGAAACTTATTTGGGATGTTTGCATTCAAGTCACAGAGTAGAACATTCCCTTTGGTAGAGCAGGTTTGAAACAGTCTTTTTTTAGTATATGGAAGTGGACATTTGGAGCGCTTTCAGGCCTACGTTGGAAAAGGAAATATCTTCCCATAACAACTAGACAGAAGCATTCTCAGAAACTAGTTTCTGATGTGTGTCCTCAACTAACACAGTTGTACATTTCTTTAGACAGAACAGTTTTGAAACACTCTTTTTGTGGAATCTGCAAGTGGATATTGGGCTAGATTTGAGGATTTCGTTGGAAACGGGATTACATATAAATAGCAGTCAGCAGCATTCTCAGAAAGTTCTTTGTGATGATTGCATTCAAGTCACAGAATTGAACATTCCCTTTCATAGAGCAGGTTGGAAACACTCTTTTTGTAGTGTGTGTAAGTGGACATTTGGAGCGCTTTCCGGCCTAAGGTGAAAAAGGACATATCTTCCCATAAAAACTAGACAGAAGCATTCTCAGAAACTTACTCGTGATGTGTGTCCTCAACTAAAGGAGTAGAACCTTTCTTTTCATAGAGAAGTTTTGAAACGCTCTTTTTGTGGAATCTGCAAGTGGATATTTGGCTAGTTTTGAGGATTTCGTTGGAAGCGGGAATTCATACAAATTGCAGACTGCAGCATTCTCAGAAACTTATTTGAGATGTGTCTACTCAACTAAGAGAATTGAACCACCGTTTTGAAGGAGCAGTTTTGAAACACTCTTTTTCTGGAATCTGCAAGTGGATATTTGGCTAGCTTTGGGGATTTCGCTGGAAGCGGGAATACATATAAAAAGCACACAGCAGCGTTCTGAGAAACTGCTTTCTGATGTTTGCATTCAAGTCAAAAGTTGAACACTCCTTTTCATAGAGCAGTCTTGAAATACCCCTTTTGTAGTATCTGGAACTGGACATTTGGAGCGCTTTCAGGGCTAAGGTGAAAAAGGAAATATCTTCCCATAAAAACTGGACAGAAGCATTCTCAGAAACTTGTTTATGCTGTATCTACTCAACTAACAAAGTTGAACCTTTCTTTTGATAGAGCAGTTTTGAAATGCTCTTTTTGTGGAATCTGCAAGTGGATATTTGGCTAGGTTTGAGGATTTCGTTGGAAGCGGGAATTCATACAAATTGCAGACTGCAGCGTTCTGAGAAACATCTTTGTGATGTTTGTATTCAGGACACAGAGTTGAACATTCCCTATCATAGAGCAGGTTGGAATCACTCCTTGTGTAGTATCTGGAAGTGGACATTTGGAGCGCTTTCAGGCCTATGTTGAAAAAGGAAATATCTTCCCATAACAACTAGGCAGAAGCATTCTCAGAAACTTGTTTGTGATGTGTGCCCTCTACTGACAGAGTTGAACCTTTCTTTTCATAGAGCAGTTTTGAAACACTCTTTTTGTAGAATCCGCAAGAGGATATTTGCATAGCTTTGAGGATTTCGTGGGAAACGGGATTGTCTTCAGGTAAAATCTAGACAGAAGCATTCTCAGAAACTTCTTTGGGATGTTTGCATTCAAGTCACAGAGTAGAACATTCCCTTTGGTAGAGCAGGTTTGAAACACTCTTTTTGTAGTATCTGGAAGTGGACATTTGGAGCGCTTTCAGGCCTATGTTGGAAAGGGAAATATCTTCCCGTAACAACTAGGCAGAAGCATTCTCAGAAACTTATTGGAGATGTGTGTACTCAACTAAGAGAATTGAACCACCGTTTTGAAGGAGCAGTTTTGAAACACTCTTTTTCTGGAATATGCAAGAGGATATTTGCCTAGCTTTGAGGATTTCGTTGGAAACGGGATTGTCTTCAGATCAAATCTAGACAGAAGCATTCTCAGAAACTTCTTTGGGATGTTTGCATTCAAGTCACAGAGTAGAACATTCCCTTTGGTAGAGCAGGTTTGAAACACTCTTTTTTTAGTATATGGAAGTGGACATTTGGAGCGCTTTCAGGCCTACGTTGGAAAAGGAAATATCTTCCCATAACAATTAGACAGAAGCATTCTCAGAAACTAGTTTCTGATGTGTGTCCTCAACTAACACAGTTGAACATTTCTTTAGACAGAACAGTTTTGAAACACTCTTTTTGTGGAATCTGCAAGTGGCTATTTGGCTAGATTTGAGGATTTCGTTGGAAACGGGATTACATATAAAAAGCAGTCAGCAGCATTCTCAGAAAGTTCTTTGTGATGATTGCATTCAAGTCACAGAATTGAACATTCCCTTTCACAGAGCAGGTTTGAAACACTCTTTTTGTAGTGTGTGTAAGTGGACATTTGGAGCGCTTTCCGGCCTAAGGTGAAAAAGGAAATATCTTCCCATAAAAACTAGACAGAAGCATTCTCAGAAACTTACTCGTGATGTGTGTCCTCAACTAAAGGAGTAGAACCTTCCTTTTCATAGAGAAGTTTTGAAACGCTCTTTTTGTGGTATCTGCAAGTGGATATTTGGCTAGTTTTGAGGATTTCGTTGGAAGCGGGAATTCATACAAATTGCAGACTGCAGCGTTCTGAGAAACATCTTTGTGATGTTTGTATTCAGGACACAGAGTTGAACATTCCCTATCATAGAGCAGGTTTGAATCACTCCTTTTGTAGTATCTGGAAGTGGACATTTGGAGCGCTTTCAGGCCTATGTTGGAAAAGGAAATATCTTCCCATAACAACTAGACAGAAGCATTCTCAGAAACTTATTTGAGATGTGTGTACTCAACTAAGAGAATTGAACCACCGTTTTGAAGGAGCAGTTTTGAAACACTCTTTTTCTGGAATCTGCAAGTGGATATTTGGCTAGCTTTGGGGATTTCGCTGGAAGCGGGAATACATATAAAAAGCACACAGCAGCGTTCTGAGAAACTGCTTTCTGATGTTTGCATTCAAGTCAAAAGTTGAACACTCCCTTTCATAGAGCAGTCCTGAAACACCCCTTTTGTAGTATCTGGAACTGGACTTTTGGAGCGATTTCAGGGCTAAGGTGAAAAAGGAAATATCTTCCCATAAAAACTGGACAGAAGCATTCTCAGAAACTTGTTTATGCTGTATCTACTCAACTAACAAAGTTGAACCTTTCTTTTGATAGAGCAGTTTTGAAATGGTCTTTTTGTGGAATCTGCAAGTGGATATTTGGCTAGTTTTGAGGATTTCGTTGGAAGCGGGAATTCATACAAATTGCAGACTGCAGCGTTCTGAGAAACATCTTTGTGATGTTTGTATTCAAGACACAGAGATGAACATTCCCTATCATAGAGCATGTTGGAATCACTCCTTTTGTAGTATCTGGAAGTGGACATTTGGAGCGCTTTCAGGCCTATGTTGAAAAAGGAAATATCTTCCCATAACAGCTAGACACAAGCATTCTCAGAAACTTGTTTGTGATGTGTGCCCTCTACTGACAGAGTTGAACCTTTCTTTTCATAGAGCTGTTTTGAAACACTCTTTTTGTAGAATCCGCAAGAGGATATTTGCATAGCTTTGAGGATTTCGTGGGAAACGGGATTGTCTTCAGGTAAAATCTAGACAGAAGCATTCTCAGAAACTGCTTTGGGATGTTTGCATTCAAGTCACAGAGTAGAACATTCCCTTTGGTAGAGCAGGTTTGAAACACTCTTTTTGTAGTATCTGGAAGTGGACATTTGGAGCGCTTTCAGGCCCATGTTGGAAAGGGAAATATCTTCCCGTAACAACTAGGCAGAAGCATTCTCAGAAACTTATTTGAGATGTGTGTACTCAACTAAGAGAATTGAACCACCGTTTTGAAGGAGCAGTTTTGAAACACTCTTTTTCTGGAATCTGCAAGAGTATATTTGCCTAGCCTTGAGGATTTCGTTGGAAACCGGATTGTCTTCAGATAAAATCTAGACAAAGAAGCATTCTCAGAAACTTCTTTGGGATGTTTGCATTCAAGTCACAGAGTAGAACATTCCCTTTGGTAGAGCAGGTTTGAAACACTCTTTTTTTAGTATATGGAAGTGGACATTTGGAGCGCTTTCAGGCCTACGTTGGAAAAGGAAATATCTTCCCATAACAACTAGACAGAAGCATTCTCAGAAACTAGTTTCTGATATGTGTCCTCAACTAACACAGTTGTACATTTCTTTAGACAGAACAGTTTTGAAACACTCTTTTTGTGGAATCTGCAAGTGGATATTGGGCTAGATTTGAGGATTTCGTTGGAAACGGGATTACATATAAAAAGCAGACAGCAGCATTCTCAGAAAGTTCTTTGTGATGATTGCATTCAAGTCACAGAATTGAACATTCCCTTTCACAGAGCAGGTTTCAAAAACACTCTTTTTGTAGTGTGTGTAAGTGGACATTTGGAGCACTTTCCGGCCTAAGGTGAAAAAGGAAATATCTTCCCATAAAAACTAGACAGAAGCATTCTCAGAAACTTACTCGTGATGTGTGTCCTCAACTAAAGGAGTAGAACCTTTCTTTTCATAGAGAAGTTTTGAAACGCTCTTTTTGTGGAATCTGCAAGTGGATATTTGGCTAGTTTTGAGGATTTCGTTGGAAGCGGGAATTCATACAAATTGCAGACTGCAGCGTTCTGAGAAACATCTTTGTGATGTTTGTATTCAGGACACAGAGTTGAACATTCCCTATCATAGAGCAGGTTGGAATCACTCCTTTTGTAGTATCTGGAAGTGGACATTTGGAGCGCTTTCAGGCCTACGTTGGAAAAGGAAATATCTTCCCATAACAACTAGACAGAAGCATTCTCAGAAACTAGTTTCTGATGTGTGTCCTCAACTAACACAGTTGAACATTTCTTTAGACAGAACAGTTTTGAAACACTCTTTTTGTGGAATCTGCAAGTGGCTATTTGGCTAGATTTGAGGATTTCGTTGGAAACGGGATTACATATAAAAAGCAGACAGCAGCATTCTCAGAAAGTTCTTTGTGATGATTGCATTCAAGTCACAGAATTGAACATTCCCTTTCACAGAGCAGGTTTGAAACACTCTTTTTGTAGTGTGTGTAAGTGGACATTTGGAGCGCTTTCCGGCCTAAGGTGAAAAAGGACATATCTTCCCATAAAAACTAGACAGAAGCATTCTCAGAAACTTACTCGTGATGTGTGTCCTCAACTAAAGGAGTAGAACCTTTCTTTTCATAGAGAAGTTTTGAAACGCTCTTTTTGTGGAATCTGCAAGTGGATATTTGGCTAGTTTTGAGGATTTCGTTGGAAGCGGGAATTCATACAAATTGCAGACTGCAGCGTTCTGAGAAACATCTTTGTGATGTTTGTATTCAGGACACAGAGTTGAACATTCCCTATCATAGAGCAGGTTTGAATCACTCCTTTTGTAGTATCTGGAAGTGGACATTTGGAGCGCTTTCAGGCCTATGTTGGAAAAGGAAATATCTTCCCATAACAACTAGACAGAAAGCATTCCCAGAAAACTTATTTGAGATGTGTGTACTCAACTAAGAGAATTGAACCACCGTTTTGAAGGAGCAGTTTGGAAACACTCTTTTTCTGGAATCTGCAAGTGGATATTTGGCTAGCTTTGGGGATTTCGCTGGAAGCGGGAATACATATAAAAAGCACACAGCAGCGTTCTGAGAAACTGCTTTCTGATGTTTGCATTCAAGTCAAAAGTTGAACACTCCCTTTCATAGAGCAGTCTTGAAACACCCCTTTTGTAGTATCTGGAACTGGACTTTTGGAGCGATTTCAGGGCTAAGGTGAAAAAGGAAATATCTTCCCATAAAAACTGGACAGAAGCATTCTCAGAAACTTGGTTATGCTGTATCTACTCAACTAACAAAGTTGAACCTTTCTTTTGATAGAGCAGTTTTGAAATGGTCTTTTTGTGGAATCTGCAAGTGGATATTTGGCTAGTTTTGAGGATTTCGTTGGAAGCGGGAATTCATACAAATTGCAGACTGCAGCGTTCTGAGAAACATCTTTGTGATGTTTGTATTCAGGACAGAGAGTTGAACATTCCCTATCATAGAGCAGGTTGGAATCACTCCTTTTGTAGTATCTGGAAGTGGACATTTGGAGCGCTTTCAGGCCTATCTTGAAAAAGGAAATATCTTCCCATAACAACTAGACACAAGCATTCTCAGAAACTTTTTTGTGATGTGTGCCTTCTACTGACACAGTTGAACCTTTCTTTTCATAGAGTAGTTTCGAAACACTCTTTTTGTAGAATCTGCAAGAGGATATTTGCATAGCTTTGAGGATTTCGTGGGAAACGGGATTTTCTTCAGGTAAAATCTAGACAGAAGCATTCTCAGAAACTTCTTTGGGATGTTTGCATTCAAGTCACAGAGTAGAACATTCACTTTGGTAGAGCAGGTTTGAAACACTCTTTTTGTAGTGTGTGTAAGTGGACATTTGGAGCGCTTTCAGGCCTACGTTGGAAAAGGAAATATCTTCCCATAACAACTAGACAGAAGCATTCTCAGAAACTAGTTTCTGATGTGTGTCCTCAACTAACACAGTTGAACATTTCTTTAGACAGAACAGTTTTGAAACACTCTTTTTGTGGAATCTGCAAGTGGATATTTGGCTAGATTTGAGGATTTCGTTGGAAACGGGATTACATATAAAAAGCAGACAGCAGCATTCTCAGAAAGTTCTTTGTGATGATTGCATTCAAGTCACAGAATTGAACATTCCCTTTCACAGAGCAGGTTTGAAACACTCTTTTTGTAGTGTGTGTAAGTGGACATTTGGAGCACTTTCCGGCCTAAGGTGAAAAAGGACATATCTTCCCATAAAAACTAGACAGAAGCATTCTCAGAAACTTACTCGTGATGTGTGTCCTCAACTAAAGGAGTAGAACCTTTCTATTCATAGAGAAGTTTTGAAACGCTCTTTTTGTGGAATCTGCAAGTGGATATTTGGCTAGTTTTGAGGATTTCGTTGGAAGCGGGAATTCATACAAATTGCAGACTGCAGCGTTCTGAGAAACATCTTTGTGATGTTTGTATTCAGGACACAGAGTTGAACATTCCCTATCATAGAGCAGGTTGGAATCACTCCTTTTGTAGTATCTGGAAGTGGACATTTGGAGCGCTTTCAGGCCTATGTGGATAAAGGAAATATCTTCCCATAACAACTAGACACAAGCATTCTCAGAAACTTGTTTGTGATGTGTGCCCTCTACTGACAGAGTTGAACCTTTCTTTTCATAGAGCAGTTTTGAAACACTCTTTTTGTAGAATCTGCAAGAGGATATTTGCATAGCTTTGAGGATTTCGTGGGAAACGGGATTGTCTTTAGGTAAAATCTAGACAGAAGCATTCTCAGAAACTTCTTTGGGATGTTTGCATTCAAGTCACAGAGTAGAACATTCCCTTTGGTAGAGCAGGTTTGAAACACTCTTTTTTTAGTATATGGAAGTGGACATTTGGAGCGCTTTCAGGCCTACGTTGGAAAAGGAAATATCTTCCCATAACAACTAGACAGAAGCATTCTCAGAAACTAGTTTCTGATGTGTGTCCTCAACTAATACAGTTGTACCTTTCTTTAGACAGAACAGTTTTGAAACACTCTTTTTGTGGAATCTGCAAGTGGCTATTTGGCTAGATTTGAGGATTTCGTTGGAAACGGGATTACATATAAAAAGCAGACAGCAGCATTCTCAGAAAGTTCTTTGTGATGACTGCATTCTAGTCACAGGATTGAACATTCCCTTTCACAGAGCAGGTTTGAAACACTCTTTTTGTAGTGTGTGTAAGTGGACATTTGGAGCGCTTTCCGGCCTAAGGTGAAAAAGGAAATATCTTCCCATAAAAACTAGACAGAAGCATTCTCAGAAACTTATTTGAGATGTGTGTACTCAACTAAGAGAATTGAACCACCGTTTTGAAGGAGCAGTTTTGAAACACTCTTTTTCTGGAAGCTGCAAGTGGCTATTTGGCTAGCTTTGGGGATTTCGCTGGAAGCGGGAATACATATAAAAAGCACACAGCAGGGTTCTGAGAAACTTCTTTCTGATGTTCGCATTCAAGTCAAAAGTTGAACACTCCCTTTCATAGAGCAGTCTTGAAACTCCCCTTTTGTGGTATCTGGAAGTGGACATTTGGAGTGCTTTCAGGGCTAAGGTGAAAAAGGAAATATCTTCCCATAAAAACTGGACAGAAGCATTCTCAGAAACTTGTTTATGCTGTATCTACTCAGCTAACAAAGTTGAACCTTTCTTTTGATAGAGCAGTTTTGAAATGCTCTTTTTGTGGAGTCTGCAAGTGGATATTTGGTTAGTTTTGAGGATTTCGTTGGAAGGGGGAATTCATACAAATTGCAGACTGCAGCGTTCTGAGAAACATCTTTGTGATGTTTGTATTCAGGACACAGAGTTGAACATTCCCTATCATAGAGCAGGTTTGAATCACTCCTTTTGTAGTATCTGGAAGTGGACATTTGGAGCGCTTTCAGGCCCTATGTTGGAAAAGGAAATATCTTCCCATAACAACTAGACAGAAGCATTCTCAGAAACTTATTTGAGATGTGTGTACTCAACTAAGAGAATTGAACCACCGTTTTGAAGGAGCAGTTTTGAAACTCTCTTTTTCTGGAATCTGCAAGTGGATATTTGGCTAGCTTTGGGGATTTCGCTGGAAGCGGGAATACATATAAAAAGCACACAGCAGCGTTCTGAGAAACTGCTTTCTGATGTTTGCATTCAAGTCAAAAGTTGAACACTCCCTTTCATAGAGCAGTCCTGAAACACTCCTTTTGTAGTATCTGGAACTGGACTTTTGGAGCGCTTTCAGGGCTAAGGTGAAAAAGGAAATATCTTCCCATAAAAACTGGACAGAAGCATTCTCAGAAACTTGTTTATGCTGTATCTACTCAACTAACAAAGTTGAACCTTTCTTTTGATAGAGCAGTTTTGAAATGGTCTTTTTGTGGAATCTGCAAGTGGATATTTGGCTAGTTTTGAGGATTTCGTTGGAAGCGGGAATTCATACAAATTGCAGACTGCAGCGTTCTGAGAAACATCTTTGTGATGTTTGTATTCAGGACACAGAGATGAACATTCCCTATCATAGAGCAGGTTGGAATCACTCCTTTTGTAGTATCTGGAAGTGGACATTTGGAGCGCTTTCAGGCCTATGTTGAAAAAGGAAATATCTTCCCATAACAACTAGACACAAGCATTCTCAGAAACTTGTTTGTGATGTGTGCCCTCTACTGACAGAGTTGAACCTTTCTTTTCATAGAGCAGTTTTGAAACACTCTTTTTGTAGAATCCGCAAGAGGATATTTGCATAGCTTTGAGGATTTCGTGGGAAACGGGATTGTCTTTAGGTAAAATCTAGACAGAAGCATTCTCAGAAACTTCTTTGGGATGTTTGCATTCAAGTCACAGAGTAGAACATTCCCTTTGGTAGAGCAGGTTTGAAACACTCTTTTTGTAGTATCTGGAAGTGGACATTTGGAGCGCTTTCAGGCCCATGTTGGAAAGGGAAATATCTTCCCGTAACAACTAGGCAGAAGCATTCTCAGAAACTTATTTGAGATGTGTGTACTCAACTAAGAGAATTGAACCACCGTTTTGAAGGAGCAGTTTTGAAACACTCTTTTTCTGGAATCTGCAAGAGTATATTTGCCTAGCCTTGAGGATTTCGTTGGAAACGGGATTGTCTTGAGATAAAATCTAGACAGAAGCATTCTCAGAAACTTCTTTGGGATGTTTGCATTCAAGTCACAGAGTAGAACATTCCCTTTGGTAGAGCAGGTTTGAAACACTCTTTTTTTAGTATATGGAAGTGGACATTTGGAGCGCTTTCAGGCCTACGTTGGAAAAGGAAATATCTTCCCATAACAATTAGACAGAAGCATTCTCAGAAACTAGTTTCTGATGTGTGTCCTCAACTAACACAGTTGAACATTTCTTTAGACAGAACAGTTTTGAAACACTCTTTTTGTGGAATCTGCAAGTGGCTATTTGGCTAGATTTGAGGATTTCGTTGGAAACGGGATTACATATAAAAAGCAGACAGCAGCATTCTCAGAAAGTTCTTTGTGATGATTGCATTCAAGTCACAGAATTGAACATTCCCTTTCACAGAGCAGGTTTGAAACACTCTTTTTGTAGTGTGTGTAAGTGGACATTTGGAGCGCTTTCCGGCCTAAGGTGAAAAAGGACATATCTTCCCATAAAAACTAGACAGAAGCATTCTCAGAAACTTACTCGTGATGTGTGTCCTCAACTAAAGGAGTAGAACCTTTCTTTTCATAGAGAAGTTTTGAAACGCTCTTTTTGTGGAATCTGCAAGTGGATATTTGGCTAGTTTTGAGGATTTCGTTGGAAGCGGGAATTCATACAAATTGCAGACTGCAGCGTTCTGAGAAACTGCTTTCTGATGTTTGCATTCAAGTCAAAAGTTGAACACTCCCTTTCATAGAGCAGTCCTGAAACACTCCTTTTGTAGTATCTGGAACTGGACTTTTGGAGCGCTTTCAGGGCTAAGGTGAAAAAGGAAATATCTTCCCATAAAAACTGGACAGAAGCATTCTCAGAAACTTGTTTATGCTGTATCTACTCAACTAACAAAGTTGAACCTTTCTTTTGATAGAGCAGTTTTGAAATGCTCTTTTTGTGGAATCTGCAAGTGGATATTTGGCTAGTTTTGAGGATTTCGTTGGAAGCGGGAATTCATACAAATTGCAGACTGCAGCGTTCTGAGAAACATCTTTGTGATGTTTGTATTCAGGACAGAGAGTTGAACATTCCCTATCATAGAGCAGGTTGGAATCACTCCTTTGGTAGTATCTGGAAGTGGACATTTCGAGCGCTTTCAGGCCTATGTTGAAAAAGGAAATATCTTCCCATAACAACTAGACACAAGCATTCTCAGAAACTTGTTTGTGATGTGTGCCCTCTACTGACAGAGTTGAACCTTTCTTTTCATAGAGCAGTTTTGAAACACTCTTTTTGTAGAATCTGCAAGAGGATATTTGCATAGCTTTGAGGATTTCGTGGGAAACGGGATTGTCTTCAGGTAAAATCTAGACAGAAGCATTCTCAGAAACTTCTTTGGGATGTTTGCATTCAAGTCACAGAGTAGAACATTCCCTTTGGTAGAGCAGGTTTCAAACACTCTTTTTGTAGTATCTGGAAGTGGACATTTGAAGCGCTTTCAGGCCTATGTTGGAAAGGGAAATATCTTCCCGTAACAACTAGGCAGAAGCATTCTCAGAAACTTATTTGAGATGTGTGTACTCAACTAAGAGAATTGAACCACCGTTTTGAAGGAGCAGTTTTGAAACACTCTTTTTCTGGAATCTGCAAGAGTATATTTGCCTAGCCTTGAGGATTTCGTTGGAAACGGGATTGTCTTCAGAGAAAATCTAGACAGAAGCATTCTCAGAAACTTCTTTGGGATGTTTGCATTCAAGTCACAGAGTAGAACATTCCCTTTGGTAGAGCAGGTTTGAAACACTCTTTTTTTAGTATATGGAAGTGGACATTTGGAGCGCTTTCAGGCCTACGTTGGAAAAGGAAATATCTTCCCATAACAACTAGACAGAAGCATTCTCAGAAACTAGTTTCTGATGTGTGTCCTCAACTAACACAGTTGAACATTTCTTTAGACAGAACAGTTTTGAAACACTCTTTTTGTGGAATTTGCAAGTGGATATTTGGCTAGATTTGAGCATTTCGTTGGAAACGGGATTACATATAAAAAGCAGACAGCGGCATTCTCAGAAAGTTCTTTGTGATGATTGCATTCAAGTCACAGAATTGAACATTCCCTTTCACAGAGCAGGTTTGAAACACTCTTTTTGTAGTGCGTGTAAGTGGACATTTGGAGCGCTTTCCGGCCTAAGGTGAAAAAGGAAATATCTTCCCATAAAAACTAGACAGAAGCATTCTCAGAAACTTACTCGTGATGTGTGTACTCAAGTAAAGGAGTAGAAACTTTCTTTTCATAGAGAAGTTTTGAAACGCTCTTTTTGTGGAATCTGCAAGTGGATATTTGGCTAGTTTTGAGGATTTCGTTGGAAGCGGGAATTCATACAAATTGCAGACTGCAGCGTTCTGAGAAACATCTTTGTGATGTTTGTATTCAGGACACAGAGTTGAACATTCCCTATCATAGAGCAGGTTGGAATCACTCCTTTTGTAGTATCTGGAAGTGGACATTTGGAGCGCTTTCAGGCCTATGTTGGAAAAGGAAATATCTTCCCATAACAAATAGACAGAAGCATTCTCAGAAACTTATTTGAGATGTGTGTACTCAACTAAGAGAATTGAACCACCGTTTTGAAGGAGCAGTTTTGAAACACTCTTTTTCTGGAATCTGCAAGTGGATATTTGGCTAGCTTTGGGGATTTCGCTGGAAGCGGGAATACATATAAAAAGCACACAGCAGCGTTCTGAGAAACTGCTTTCTGATGTTTGCATTCAAGTCAAAAGTTGAACACTCCCTTTCATAGAGCAGTCTTGAAACACCCCTTTTGTAGTATCTGGAACTGGACTTTTGGAGCGATTTCAGGGCTAAGGTGAAAAAGGAAATATCTTCCCATAAAAACTGGACAGAAGCATTCTCAGAAACTTGGTTATGCTGTATCTACTCAACTAACAAAGTTGAACCTTTCTTTTGATAGAGCAGTTTTGAAATGGTCTTTTTGTGGAATCTGCAAGTGGATATTTGGCTAGTTTTGAGGATTTCGTTGGAAGCGGGAATTCATACAAATTGCAGACTGCAGCGTTCTGAGAAACATATTTGTGATGTTTGTATTCAGGACAGAGAGTTGAACATTCCCTATCATAGAGCAGGTTGGAATCACTCCTTTTGTAGTATCTGGAAGTGGACATTTGGAGCGCTTTCAGGCCTATGTTGAAAAAGGAAATATCTTCCCATAACAACTAGACACAAGCATTCTCAGAAACTTGTTTGTGATGTGTGCCCTCTACTGACAGAGTTGAACCTTTCTTTTCATAGAGCAGTTTTGAAACACTCTTTTTGTAGAATCTGCAAGAGGATATTTGCATAGCTTTGAGGATTTCGTGGGAAACGGGATTGTCTTCAGGTAAAATCTAGACAGAAGCATTCTCAGAAACTTCTTTGGGATGTTTGCATTCAAGTCACAGAGTAGAACATTCCCTTTGGTAGAGCAGGTTTGAAACACTCTTTTTGTAGTATCTGGAAGTGGACATTTGGAGCGCTTTCAGGCCTATGTTGGAAAGGGAAATATCTTCCCGTAACAACTAGGCAGAAGCATTCTCAGAAACTTATTTGAGATGTGTGTACTCAACTAAGAGAATTGAACCACCGTTTTGAAGGAGCAGTTTTGAAACACTCTTTTTCTGGAATCTGCAAGAGTATATTTGCCTAGCCTTGAGGATTTCGTTGGAAACGGGATTGTCTTCAGATCAAATCTAGACAGAAGCATTCTCAGAAACTTCTTTGGGATGTTTGTATTCAAGTCACAGAGTAGAACATTCCCTTTGATAGAGCAGGTTTGAAACACTCTTTTTTTAGTATATGGAAATGGACATTTGGAGCGCTTTCAGGCCTACGTTGGAAAAGGAAATATCTTCCCGTAACAACTAGACAGAAGCATTCTCAGAAACTAGTTTCTGATGTGTGTCCTCAACTAACACAGTTGAACATTTCTTTAGACAGAACAGTTTTGAAACACTCTTTTTGTGGAATCTGCAAGTGGCTATTTGGCTAGATTTGAGGATTTCGTTGGAAACGGGATTACATATAAAAAGCAGACAGCAGCATTCTCAGTAAAGTTCTTTGTGATGATTGCATTCAAGTCACAGAATTGAACATTCCCTTTCACAGAGCAGGTTTGAAACACTCTTTTTGTAGTGTGTGTAAGTGGACATTTGGAGCGCTTTCCGGCCTAAGGTGAAAAAGGACATATCTTCCCATAAAAACTAGACAGAAGCATTCTCAGAAACTTACTCGTGATGTGTGTCCTCAACTAAAGGAGTAGAACCTTTCTTTTCATAGAGAAGTTTTGAAACGCTCTTTTTGTGGAATCTGCAAGTGGATATTTGGCTAGTTTTGAGGATTTCGTTGGAAGCGGGAATTCATACAAATTGCAGACTGCAGCGTTCTGAGAAACATCTTTGTGATGTTTGTATTCAGGACACAGAGTTGAACATTCCCTATCATAGAGCAGGTTGGAATCACTCCTTTTGTAGTATCTGGAAGTGGACATTTGGAGCGCTTTCAGGCCTATGTTGGAAAAGGAAATATCTTCCCATAACAACTAGACAGAAGCATTCTCAGAAACTTATTTGAGATGTGTGTACTCAACTAAGAGAATTGAACCACCGTTTTGAAGGAGCAGTTTTGAAACACTCTTTTTCTGGAATCTGCAAGTGGATATTTGGCTAGCTTTGGGGATTTCGCTGGAAGCGGGAATACATATAAAAAGCACACAGCAGCGTTCTGAGAAACTGCTTTCTGATGTTTGCATTCAAGTCAAAAGTTGAACACTCCCTTTCATAGAGCAGTCTTGAAACACCCCTTTTGTAGTATCTGGAACTGGACTTTTGGAGCGATTTCAGGGCTAAGGTGAAAAAGGAAATATCTTCCCATAAAAACTGGACAGAAGCATTCTCAGAAACTTGTTTATGCTGTATCTACTCAACTAACAAAGTTGAACCTTTCTTTTGATAGAGCAGTTTTGAAATGGTCTTTTTGTGGAATCTGCAAGTGGATATTTGGCTAGTTTTGAGGATTTCGTTGGAAGCGGGAATTCATACAAATTGCAGACTGCAGCGTTCTGAGAAACATCTTTGTGATGTTTGTATTCAGGACACAGAGTTGAACATTCCCTATCATAGAGCAGGTTGGAATCACTCCTTTTGTAGTATCTGGAAGTGGACATTTGGAGCGCTTTCAGGCCTATTTTGGAAAGGGAAATATCTTCCCGTAACAACTATGCAGAAGCATTCTCAGAAACTTGTTTGTGATGTGTGCCCTCTACTGACAGAGTTGAACCTTTCTTTTCATAGAGCAGTTTTGAAACACTCTTTTTGTAGAATCTGCAAGAGGATATTTGCATAGCTTTGAGGATTTCGTGGGAAACGGGATTGTCTTCAGGTAAAATCTAGACAGAAGCATTCTCAGAAACTTCTTTGGGATGTTTGCATTCAAGTCACAGAGTAGAACATTCCCTTTGGTAGAGCAGGTTTGAAACACTCTTTTTGTAGTATCTGGAAGTGGACATTTGGAGCGCTTTCAGGCCTATGTTGGAAAGGGAAATATCTTCCCTTAACAACTAGGCAGAAGCATTCTCAGAAACTTATTTGAGATGTGTGTACTCAACTAAGAGAATTGAACCACCGTTTTGAAGGAGCAGTTTTGAAACACTCTTTTTCTGGAATCTGCAAGAGTATATTTGCCTAGCCTTGAGGATTTCGTTGGAAACGGGATTGTCTTCAGATCAAATCTAGACAGAAGCATTCTCAGAAACTTCTTTGGGATGTTTGCATTCAAGTCACAGAGTAGAACATTCCCTTTGGTAGAGCAGGTTTGAAACACTCTTTTTTTAGTATATGGAAGTGGACATTTGGAGCGCTTTCAGGCCTACGTTGGAAAAGGAAATATCTTCCCATAACAACTAGACAGAAGCATTCTCAGAAACTAGTTTCTGATGTGTGTCCTCAACTAACACAGTTGAACATTTCTTTAGACAGAACAGTTTTGAAACACTCTTTTTGTGGAATCTGCAAGTGGCTATTTGGCTAGATTTGAGGATTTCGTTGGAAACGGGATTACATATAAAAAGCAGACAGCAGCATTCTCAGAAACTTCTTTGTGATGATTGCATTCAAGTCACAGAATTGAACATTCCCTTTCACAGAGCAGGTTTGAAACACTCTTTTTGTAGTGTGTGTAAGTGGACATTTGGAGCACTTTCCGGCCTAAGGTGAAAAAGGAAATATCTTCCCATAAAAACTAGACAGAAGCATTCTCAGAAACTTACTCGTGATGTGTGTCCTCAACTAAAGGAGTAGAACCTTTCTTTTCATAGAGAAGTTTTGAAACGCTCTTTTTGTGGAATCTGCAAGTGGATATTTGGCTAGTTTGGAGGATTTCGTTGGAAGCGGGAATTCATACAAATTGCAGACTGCAGCGTTCTGAGAAACATCTTTGTGATGTTTGTATTCAGGACACAGAGTTGAACATTCCCTATCATAGAGCAGGTTTGAATCACTCCTTTTGTAGTATCTGGAAGTGGACATTTGGAGCGCTTTCAGGCCTATGTTGGAAAAGGAAATATCTTCCCATAACAACTAGACAGAAGCATTCTCAGAAACTTATTTGAGATGTGTGTACTCAACTAAGAGAATTGAACCACCGTTTTGAAGGAGCAGTTTTGAAACACTCTTTTTCTGGAATCTGCAAGTGGATATTTGGCTAGCTTTGGGGATTTCGCTGGAAGCGGGAATACATATAAAAAGCACACAGCAGCGTTCTGAGAAACTGCTTTCTGATGTTTGCATTCAAGTCAAAAGTTGAACACTCCCTTTCATAGAGCAGTCCTGAAACACCCCTTTTGTAGTATCTGGAACTGGACTTTTGGAGCGATTTCAGGGCTAAGGTGAAAAAGGAAATATCTTCCCATAAAAACTGGACAGAAGCATTCTCAGAAACTTGTTTATGCTGTATCTACTCAACTAACAAAGTTGAACCTTTCTTTTGATAGAGCAGTTTTGAAATGCTCTTTTTGTGGAATCTGCAAGTGGATATTTGGCTAGTTTTGAGGATTTCGGTTGGAAGCGGGAATTCATACAAATTGCAGACTGCAGCGTTCTGAGAAACATCTTTGTGATGTTTGTATTCAGGACACAGAGTTGAACATTCCCTATCATAGAGCAGGTTGGAATCACTCCTTTTGTAGTATCTGGAAGTGGACATTTGGAGCGCTTTCAGGCCTATTTTGGAAAGGGAAATATCTTCCCGTAACAACTATGCAGAAGCATTCTCAGAAACTTGTTTGTGATGTGTGCCCTCTACTGACAGAGTTGAACCTTTCTTTTCATAGAGCAGTTTTGAAACACTCTTTTTGTAGAATCTGCAAGAGGATATTTGCATAGGTTTGAGGATTTCGTTGGAAACGGGATTACATATAAAAAGCAGACAGCAGCATTCTCAGAAACTTCTTTGGGATGTTTGCATTCAAGTCACAGAGTAGAACATTCCCTTTGGTAGAGCAGGTTTGAAACACTCTTTTTGTAGTATCTGGAAGTGGACATTTGGAGCGCTTTCAGGCCCATGTTGGAAAGGGAAATATCTTCCCGTAACAACTAGGCAGAAGCATTCTCAGAAACTTATTTGAGATGTGTGTACTCAACTAAGAGAATTGAACCACCGTTTTGAAGGAGCAGTTTTGAAACACTCTTTTTCTGGAATCTGCAAGAGTATATTTGCCTAGCCTTGAGGATTTCGTTGGAAACGGGATTGTCTTCAGAGAAAATCTAGACAGAAGCATTCTCAGAAACTTCTTTGGGATGTTTGCATTCAAGTCACAGAGTAGAACATTCCCTTTGGTAGAGCAGGTGTGAAACACTCTTTTTTTAGTATATGGAAGTGGACATTTGGAGCGCTTTCAGGCCTACGTTGGAAAAGGAAATATCTTCCCATAACAACTAGACAGAAGCATTCTCAGAAACTAGTTTCTGATGTGTGTCCTCAACTAACACAGTTGTACATTACTTTAGACAGAACAGTTTTGAAACACTCTTTTTGTGGAATCTGCAAGTGGATATTGGGCTAGATTTGAGGATTTCGTTGGAAACGGGATTACATATAAAAAGCAGTCAGCAGCATTCTCAGAAAGTTCTTTGTGATGATTGCATTCAAGTCACAGAATTGAACATTCCCTTTCACAGAGCAGGTTTGAAACACTCTTTTTGTAGTGTGTGTAAGTGGACATTTGGAGCACTTTCCGGCCTAAGGTGAAAAAGGAAATATCTTCCCATAAAAACTAGACAGAAGCATTCTCAGAAACTTACTCGTGATGTGTGTCCTCAACTAAAGGAGTAGAACCTTTCTATTCATAGAGAAGTTTTGAAACGCTCTTTTTGTGGAATCTCCAAGTGGATATTTGGCTAGTGTTGAGGATTTCGTTGGAAGCGGGAATTCATACAAATTGCAGACTGCAGCGTTCTGAGAAACATCTTTGTGATGTTTGTATTCAGGACACAGAGTTGAACATTCCCTATCATAGAGCAGGTTTGAATCACTCCTTTTGTAGTATCTGGAAGTGGACATTTGGAGCGCTTTCAGGCCTATGTTGGAAAAGGAAATATCTTCCCATAACAACTAGACAGAAGCATTCCCAGAAACTTATTTGAGATGTGTGTACTCAACTAAGAGAATTGAACCACCGTTTTGAAGGAGCAGTTTGGAAACACTCTTTTTCTGGAATCTGCAAGTGGATATTTGGCTAGCTTTGGGGATTTCGCTGGAAGCGGGAATACATATAAAAAGCACACAGCAGCGTTCTGAGAAACTGCTTTCTGATGTTTGCATTCAAGTCAAAAGTTGAACACTCCCTTTCATAGAGCAGTCTTGAAACACCCCTTTTGTAGTATCTGGAACTGGACTTTTGGAGCGATTTCAGGGCTAAGGTGAAAAAGGAAATATCTTCCCATAAAAACTGGACAGAAGCATTCTCAGAAACTTGGTTATGCTGTATCTACTCAACTAACAAAGTTGAACCTTTCTTTTGATAGAGCAGTTTTGAAATGGTCTTTTTGTGGAATCTGCAAGTGGATATTTGGCTAGTTTTGAGGATTTCGTTGGAAGCGGGAATTCATACAAATTGCAGACTGCAGCGTTCTGAGAAACATCTTTGTGATGTTTGTATTCAGGACACAGAGTTGAACATTCCCTATCATAGAGCAGGTTGGAATCACTCCTTTTGTAGTATCTGGAAGTGGACATTTGGAGCGCTTTCAGGCCTATTTTGGAAAGGGAAATATCTTCCCGTAACAACTATGCAGAAGCATTCTCAGAAACTTGTTTGTGATGTGTGCCCTCTACTGACAGAGTTGAACCTTTCTTTTCATAGAGCAGTTTTGAAACACTCTTTTTGTAGAATCTGCAAGAGGATATTTGCATAGCTTTGAGGATTTCGTGGGAAACGGGATTGTCTTCAGGTAAAATCTAGACAGAAGCATTCTCAGAAACTTCTTTGGGATGTTTGCATTCAAGTCACAGAGTAGAACATTCCCTTTGGTAGAGCAGGTTTGAAACACTCTTTTTGTAGTATCTGGAAGTGGACATTTGGAGCGCTTTCAGGCCCATGTTGGAAAGGGAAATATCTTCCCGTAACAACTAGGCAGAAGCATTCTCAGAAACTTATTTGAGATGTGTGTACTCAACTAAGAGAATTGAACCACCGTTTTGAAGGAGCAGTTTTGAAACACTCTTTTTCTGGAATCTGCAAGAGTATATTTGCCTAGCCTTGAGGATTTCGTTGGAAACGGGATTGTCTTCAGAGAAAATCTAGACAGAAGCATTCTCAGAAACTTCTTTGGGATGTTAGCATTCAAGTCACAGAGTAGAACATTCCCTTTGGTAGAGCAGGTTTGAAACACTCTTTTTGTAGTGTGGGTAAGTGGACATTTGGAGCGCTTTCAGGCCTACGTTGGAAAAGGAAATATCTTCCCATAACAACTAGACAGAAGCATTCTCAGAAACTAGTTTCTGATGTGTGTCCTCAACTAACACAGTTGAACTTTTCTTTAGACAGAACAGTTTTGAAACACTCTTTTTGTGGAATCTGCAAGTGGATATTGGGCTAGATTTGAGGATTTCGTTGGAAACGGGATTACATATAAAAAGCAGACAGCAGCATTCTCAGAAAGTTCTTTGTGATGATTGCATTCAAGTCA
This sequence comes from Homo sapiens, assembly GCF_000001405.40. Classification (NCBI taxonomy): domain Eukaryota; kingdom Metazoa; phylum Chordata; class Mammalia; order Primates; family Hominidae; genus Homo; species Homo sapiens. The sequence goes on from NC_000018.10 coordinate 20,398,855, forward strand.
CAGAATTGAACATTCCCTTTCACAGAGCAGGTTTGAAACACTCTTTTTGTAGTGTGTGTAAGTGGACATTTGGAGCACTTACCGGCCTAAGGTGAAAAAGGAAATATCTTCCCATAAAAACTAGACAGAAGCATTCTCAGAAACTTACTCGTGATGTGTGTCCTCAACTAAAGGGGTAGAACCTTTCTTTTCATAGAGAAGTTTTGAAACGCTCTTTTTGTGGAATCTGCAAGTGGATATTTGGCTAGTTTTGAGGATTTCGTTGGAAGCGGGAATTCATACAAATTGCAGACTGCAGCGTTCTGAGAAACATCTTTGTGATGTTTGTATTCAGGACACAGAGTTGAACATTCCCTATCATAGAGCAGGTTGGAATCACTCCTTTTGTAGTATCTGGAAGTGGACATTTGGAGCGCCTTCAGGCCTATGTTGGAAAAGGAAATATCTTCCCATAACAACTAGACAGAAGCATTCTCAGAAACTTATTTGAGATGTGTGTACTCAACTAAGAGAATTGAACCACCGTTTTGAAGGAGCAGTTTTGAAACACTCTTTTTCTGGAATCTGCAATTGGATATTTGGCTAGCTTTGGGGATTTCGCTGGAAGCGGGAATACATATAAAAAGCACACAGCAGCGTTCTGAGAAACTGCTTTCTGATGTTTGCATTCAAGTCAAAAGTTGAACACTCCCTTTCATAGGGCAGTCCTGAAACACCCCTTTTGTAGTATCTGGAACTGGACTTTTGGAGCGATTTCAGGGCTAAGGTGAAAAAGGAAATATCTTCCCATAAAAACTGGACAGAAGCATTCTCAGAAACTTGTTTATGCTGTATCTACTCAACTAACAAAGTTGAACCTTTCTTTTGATAGAGCAGTTTTGAAATGGTCTTTTTGTGGAATCTGCAAGTGGATATTTGGCTAGTTTTGAGGATTTCGTTGGAAGCGGGAATTCATACAAATTGCAGACTGCAGCGTTCTGAGAAACATCTTTGTGATGTTTGTATTCAGGACAGAGAGTTGAACATTCCCTATCATAGAGCAGGTTGGAATCACTCCTTTTGTAGTATCTGGAAGTGGACATTTGGAGCGCTTTCAGGCCTATGTTGAAAAAGGAAATATCTTCCCATAACAACTAGACACAAGCATTCTCAGAAACTTGTTTGTGATGTGTGCCCTCTACTGACAGAGTTGAACCTTTCTTTTCATAGAGCAGTTTTGAAACACTCTTTTTGTAGAATCTGCAAGAGGATATTTGCATAGCTTTGAGGATTTCGTGGGAAACGGGATTGTCTTCAGGTAAAATCTAGACAGAAGCATTCTCAGAAATTTCTTTGGGATGTTTGCATTCAAGTCACAGAGTAGAACATTCCCTTTGGTAGAGCAGGTTTGAAACACTCTTTTTGTAGTATCTGGAAGTGGACATTTGGAGCGCTTTCAGGCCCATGTTGGAAAGGGAAATATCTTCCCGTAACAACTAGGCAGAAGCATTCTCAGAAACTTATTTGAGATGTGTGTACTCAACTAAGAGAATTGAACCACCGTTTTGAAGGAGCAGTTTTGAAACCCTCTTTTTCTGGAATCTGCAAGAGTATATTTGCCTAGCCTTGAGGATTTCGTTGGAAACGGGATTGTCTTCAGATAAAATCTAGACAGAAGCATTCTCAGAAACTTCTTTGGGATGTTTGCATTCAAGTCACAGAGTAGAACATTCCCTTTGGTAGAGCAGGTTTGAAACACTCTTTTTTTAGTATATGGAAGTGGACATTTGGAGCGCTTTCAGGCCTACGTTGGAAAAGGAAATATCTTCCCATAACAACTAGACAGAAAGCATTCTCAGTAAACTAGTTTCTGATGTGTGTCCTCAACTAACACAGTTGTACATTTCTTTATACAGAACAGTTTTGAAACACTCTTTTTGTGGAATCTGCAAGTGGATATTGGGCTAGATTTGAGGATTTCGTTGGAAACGGGATTACATATAAAAAGCAGTCAGCAGCATTCTCAGAAAGTTCTTTGTGATGATTGCATTCAAGTCACAGAATTGAACATTCCCTTTCACAGAGCAGGTTTGAAACACTCTTTTTGTAGTGTGTGTAAGTGGACATTTGGAGCACTTTCCGGCCTAAGGTGAAAAAGGAAATATCTTCCCATAAAAACTAGACAGAAGCATTCTCAGAAACTTACTCGTGATGTGTGTCCTCAACTAAAGGAGTAGAACCTTTCTATTCATAGAGAAGTTTTGAAACGCTCTTTTTGTGGAATCTCCAAGTGGATATTTGGTTAGTTTTGAGGATTTCGTTGGAAGCGGGAATTCATACAAATTGCAGACTGCAGCGTTCTGAGAAACATCTTTGTGATGTTTGTATTCAGGACACAGAGATGAACATTCCCTATCATAGAGCAGGTTGGAATCACTCCTTTTGTAGTATCTGGAAGTGGACATTTGGAGCGCTTTCAGGCCTATGTTGAAAAAGGAAATATCTTCCCATAACAACTAGACACAAGCATTCTCAGAAACTTATTTGAGATGTGTGTACTCAACTAAGAGAATTGAACCACCGTTTTGAAGGAGCAGTTTTGAAACACTCTTTTTCTGGAATCTGCAAGTGGATATTTGGCTAGCTTTGGGGATTTCGCTGGAAGCGGGAATACATATAAAAAGCACACAGCAGCGTTCTGAGAAACTGCTTTCTGATGTTTGCATTCAAGTCAAAAGTTGAACACTCCCTTTCATAGAGCAGTCTTGAAACACCCCTTTTGTAGTATCTGGAACTGGACTTTTGGAGCGATTTCAGGGCTAAGGTGAAAAAGGAAATATCTTCCCATAAAAACTGGACAGAAGCATTCTCAGAAACTTGTTTATGCTGTATCTACTCAACTAACAAAGTTGAACCTTTCTTTTGATAGAGCAGTTTTGAAATGGTCTTTTTGTGGAATCTGCAAGTGGATATTTGGCTAGTTTTGAGGATTTCGTTGGAAGCGGGAATTCATACAAATTGCAGACTGCAGCGTTCTGAGAAACATCTTTGTGATGTTTGTATTCAGGACACAGAGTTGAACATTCCCTATCATAGAGCAGGTTTGAATCACTCCTTTTGTAGTATCTGGAAGTGGACATTTGGAGCGCTTTCAGGCCTATGTTGGAAAAGGAAATATCTTCCCATAACAACTAGACAGAAGCATTCTCAGAAACTTATTTGAGATGTGTGTACTCAACTAAGAGAATTGAACCACCGTTTTGAAGGAGCAGTTTAGAAACTCTCTTTTTCTGGAATCTGCAAGTGGATATTTGGCTAGCTTTGGGGATTTCGCTGGAAGCGGGAATACATATAAAAAGCACACAGCAGCATTCTCAGAAACTTATTTGAGATGTGTGTACTCAACTAAGAGAATTGAACCACCGTTTTGAAGGAGCAGTTTTGAAACACTCTTTTTCTGGAATCTGCAAGTGGATATTTGGCTAGCTTTGGGGATTTCGCTGGAAGCGGGAATACATATAAAAAGCACACAGCAGCGTTCTGAGAAACTGCTTTCTGATGTTTGCATTCAAGTCAAAAGTTGAACACTCCCTTTCATAGAGCAGTCCTGAAACACCCCTTTTGTAGTATCTGGAACTGGACTTTTGGAGCGATTTCAGGGCTAAGGTGAAAAAGGAAATATCTTCCCATAAAAACTGGACAGAAGCATTCTCAGAAACTTTTTTATGCTGTATCTACTCAACTAACAAAGTTGAACCTTTCTTTTGATAGAGCAGTTTTGAAATGCTCTTTTTGTGGAATCTGCAAGTGGATATTTGGCTAGTTTTGAGGATTTCGTTGGAAGCGGGAATTCATACAAATTGCAGACTGCAGCGTTCTGAGAAACATCTTTGTGATGTTTGTATTCAGGACACAGAGATGAACATTCCCTATCATAGAGCAGGTTGGAATCACTCCTTTTGTAGTATCTGGAAGTGGACATTTGGAGCGCTTTCAGGCCTATGTTGAAAAAGGAAATATCTTCCCATAACAACTAGACACAAGCATTCTCAGAAACTTGTTTGTGATGTGTGCCCTCTACTGACAGAGTTGAACCTTTCTTTTCATAGAGCAGTTTTGAAACACTCTTTTTGTAGAATCTGCAAGAGGATATTTGCATAGCTTTGAGGATTTCGTGGGAAACGGGATTGTCTTCAGGTAAAATCTAGACAGAAGCATTCTCAGAAACTTCTTTGGGATGTTTGCATTCAAGTCACAGAGTAGAACATTCCCTTTGGTAGAGCAGGTTTGAAACACTCTTTTTGTAGTATCTGGAAGTGGACATTTGGAGCGCTTTCAGGCCCATGTTGGAAAGGGAAATATCTTCCCGTAACAACTAGGCAGAAGCATTCTCAGAAACTTATTTGAGATGTGTGTACTCAACTAAGAGAATTGAACCACCGTTTTGAAGGAGCAGTTTTGAAACACTCTTTTTCTGTATTCTGCAAGTATATATTTGCCTAGCCTTGAGGATTTCGTTGGATACGGGATTGTCTTCAGATAAATTCTAGACAGAAGCATTCTCAGAAACTTCTTTGGGATGTTTGCATTCAAGTCACAGAGTAGAACATTCCCTTTGGTAGAGCAGGTTTGAAACACTCTTTTTTTAGTATATGGAAGTGGACATTTGGAGCGCTTTCAGGCCTACGTTGGAAAAGGAAATATCTTCCCATAACAACTAGACAGAAGCATTCTCAGAAACTAGTTTCTGATGTGTGTCCTCAACTAACACAGTTGAACATTTCTTTAGACAGAACAGTTTTGAAACACTCTTTTTGTGGAATCTGCAAGTGGCTATTTGGCTAGATTTGAGGATTTCGTTGGAAACGGGATTACATATAAAAAGCAGTCAGCAGCATTCTCAGAAAGTTCTTTGTGATGATTGCATTCAAGTCACAGAATTGAACATTCCCTTTCACAGAGCAGGTTTGAAACACTCTTTTTGTAGTGTGTGTAAGTGGACATTTGGAGCACTTACCGGCCTAAGGTGAAAAAGGAAATATCTTCCCATAAAAACTAGACAGAAGCATTCTCAGAAACTTACTCGTGATGTGTGTCCTCAACTAAAGGAGTAGAACATTTCTTTTCATAGAGAAGTTTTGAAACACTCTTTTTGTGGAATCTGCAAGTGGCTATTTGGCTAGATTTGAGGATTTCGTTGGAAACGGGATTACATATAAAAAGCAGACAGCAGCATTCTCAGAAACTTGTTTATGCTGTATCTACTCAGCTAACAAAGTTGAACCTTTCTTTTGATAGAGCAGTTTTGAAATGCTCTTTTTGTGGAGTCTGCAAGTGGATATTTGGTTAGTTTTGAGGATTTCTTTGGAAGCGGGAATTCATACAAATTGCAGACTGCAGCGTTCTGAGAAACATCTTTGTGATGTTTGTATTCAGGACACAGAGTTGAACATTCCCTATCATAGAGCAGGTTGGAATCACTCCTTTTGTAGTATCTGGAAGTGGACATTTGGAGCGCTTTCAGGCCTATGTTGAAAAAGGAAATATCTTCCCATAACAAGTAGACACAAGCATTCTCAGAAACTTGTTTGTGATGTGTGCCCTCTACTGACAGAGTTGAACCTTTCTTTTCATAGAGCAGTTTTGAAACACTCTTTTTGTAGAATCTGCAAGAGGATATTTGCATAGCTTTGAGGATTTCGTGGGAAACGGGATTGTCTTCAGGTAAAATCTAGACAGAAGCATTCTCAGAAACTTCTTTGGGATGTTTGCATTCAAGTCACAGAGTAGAACATTCCCTTTGGTAGAGCAGGTTTGAAACACTCTTTTTGTAGTATCTGGAAGTGGACATTTGGAGCGCTTTCAGGCCCATGTTGGAAAGGGAAATATCTTCCCGTAACAACTAGGCAGAAGCATTCTCAGAAACTTATTTGAGATGTGTGTACTCAACTAAGAGAATTGAACCACCGTTTTGAAGGAGCAGTTTTGAAACACTCTTTTTCTGGAATCTGCAAGAGTATATTTGCCTAGCCTTGAGGATTTCGTTGGAAACCGGATTGTCTTCAGATAAAATCTAGACAAAAGCATTCTCAGAAACTTCTTTGGGATGTTTGCATTCAAGTCACAGAGGAGAACATTCCCTTTGGTAGAGCAGGTTTGAAACACTCTTTTTGTAGTATCTGGAAGTGGACATTTGGAGCGCTTCCAGTCCTACGTTGGAAAAGGAAATATCTTCCCATAACAACTAGACAGAAGCATTCTCAGAAACTAGTTTCTGATGTGTGTCCTCAACTAACACAGTTGAACATTTCTTTAGACAGAACAGTTTTGAAACACTCTTTTTGTGGAATCTGCAAGTGGCTATTTGGCTAGATTTGAGGATTTCGTTGGAAACGGGATTACATATAAAAAGCAGTCAGCAGCATTCTCAGAAACTTCTTTGTGATGATTGCATTCAAGTCACAGAATTGAACATTCCCTTTCACAGAGCAGGTTTGAAACACTCTTTTTGTAGTGTGTGTAAGTGGACATTTGGAACGCTTTCCGGCCTAAGGTGAACAAGGAAATATCTTCCCATAAAAACTAGACAGAAGCATTCTCAGAAACTTACTCGTGATGTGTGTCCTCAACTAAAGGAGTAGAACCTTTCTATTCATAGAGAAGTTTTGAAACGCTCTTTTTGTGGAATCTCCAAGTGGATATTTGGCTAGTTTTGGGGATTTCGTTGGAAGCGGGAATTCATACAAATTGCAGACTGCAGCGTTCTGAGAAACATCTTTGTGATGTTTGTATTCAGGACACAGAGTTGAACGTTCCCCTATCATAGAGCAGGTTTGAATCACTCCTTTTGTAGTATCTGGAAGTGGACATTTGGAGCGCTTTCAGGCCTATGTTGGAAAAGGAAATATCTTCCCATAACAAATAGACAGAAGCATTCTCAGAAACTTATTTGAGATGTGTGTACTCAACTAAGAGAATTGAACCACCGTTTTGAAGGAGCAGTTTTGAAACTCTCTTTTTCTGGAATCTGCAAGTGGATATTTGGCTAGCTTTGGGGATTTCGCTGGAAGCGGGAATACATATAAAAAGCACACAGCAGCGTTCTGAGAAACTGCTTTCTGATGTTTGCATTCAAGTCAAAAGTTGAACACTCCCTTTCATAGAGCAGTCCTGAAACACTCCTTTTGTAGTATCTGGAACTGGACTTTTGGAGCGCTTTCAGGGCTAAGGTGAAAAAGGAAATATCTTCCCATAAAAACTGGACAGAAGCATTCTCAGAAACTTGGTTATGCTGTATCTACTCAACTAACAAAGTTGAACCTTTCTTTTGATAGAGCAGTTTTGAAATGGTCTTTTTGTGGAATCTGCAAGTGGATATTTGGCTAGTTTTGAGGATTTCGTTGGAAGCGGGAATTCATACAAATTGCAGACTGCAGCGTTCTGAGAAACATCTTTGTGATGTTTGTATTCAGGACAGAGAGTTGAACATTCCCTATCATAGAGCAGGTTGGAATCACTCCTTTTGTAGTATCTGGAAGTGGACATTTGGAGCGCTTTCAGGCCTATGTTGAAAAAGGAAATATCTTCCCATAACAACTAGACACAAGCGTTCTCAGAAACTTGTTTGTGATGTGTGCCCTCCACTGACAGAGTTGAACCTTTCTTTTCATAGAGCAGTTTTGAAACACTCTTTTTGTAGAATCTGCAAGAGGATATTTGCATAGCTTTGAGGATTTCGTGGGAAACGGGATTGTCTTCAGGTAAAATCTAGACAGAAGCATTCTCAGAAACTTCTTTGGGATGTTTGCATTCAAGTCACAGAGTAGAACATTCCCTTTGGTAGAGCAGGTTTGAAACACTCTTTTTGTAGTATCTGGAAGTGGACATTTGGAGCGCTTTCAGGCCTATGTTGGAAAGGGAAATATCTTCCCGTAACAACTAGGCAGAAGCATTCTCAGAAACTTATTTGAGATGTGTGTACTCAACTAAGAGAATTGAACCACCGTTTTCAAGGAGCAGTTTTGAAACACTCTTTTTATGGAATCTGCAAGAGTATATTTGCCTAGCCTTGAGGATTTCGTTGGAAACGGGATTGTCTTCAGATAAAATCTAGACAGAAGCATTCTCAGAAACTTCTTTGGGATGTTTGCATTCAAGTCACAGAGTAGAACATTCCCTTTGGTAGAGCAGGTTTGAAACACTCTTTTTTTAGTATATGGAAGTGGACATTTGGAGCGCTTTCAGGCCTACGTTGGAAAAGGAAATATCTTCCCATAACAACTAGACAGAAGCATTCTCAGAAACTTATTTGTGATGTGTGTCCTCAACTGACAGAGTTGAACATTTCTTTTGAGAGAGCAGTTTTGAAACACTCTTTTTGTGGAATCTGCAAGTGGATATTTGGCTGGCTTTGAGGATTTCGTTGGAAACGGGAATACATATAAAAAGCAGACAGCAGCATTCTCAGAAAGTTCTTTGTGATGATTGCATTCAAGTCACAGAATTGAACATTCCCTTTCACAGAGCAGGTTTGAAACACTCTTTTTGTAGTGTGTGTAAGTGGACATTTGGAGCACTTACCGGCCTAAGGTGAAAAAGGAAATATCTTCCCATAAAAACTAGACAGAAGCATTCTCAGAAACTTACTCGTGATGTGTGTCCTCAACTAAAGGAGTAGAACCTTTCTATTCATAGAGAAGTTTTGAAACGCTCTTTTTGTGGAATCTCCAAGTGGATATTTGGCTAGTTTTGAGGATTTCGTTGGAAGCGGGAATTCATACAAATTGCAGACTGCAGCGTTCTGAGAAACAACTTTGTGATGTTTGTATTCAGGACACAGAGTTGAACATTCTCTATCATAGAGCAGGTTGGAATCACTCCTTTTGTAGTATCTGGAAGTGGACATTTGGAGCGCTTTCAGGCCTATGTTGAAAAAGGAAATATCTTCCCATAACAACTAGGCAGAAGCATTCTCAGAAACTTATTTGAGATGTGTGTACTCAACTAAGAGAATTGAACCACCGTTTTGAAGGAGCAGTTTTGAAACACTCTTTTTCTGGAATCTGCAAGTGGATATTTGGCTAGCTTTGGGGATTTCGCTGGAAGCGGGAATACATATAAAAAGCACACAGCAGCGTTCTGAGAAACTGCTTTCTGATGTTTGCATTCAAGTCAAAAGTTGAACACTCCCTTTCATAGAGCAGTCTTGAAACACCCCTTTTGTAGTATCTGGAACTGGACTTTTGGAGCGATTTCAGGGCTAAGGTGAAAAAGGAAATATCTTCCCATAAAAACTGGACAGAAGCATTCTCAGAAACTTGTTTATGCTGTATCTACTCTACTAACAAAGTTGAACCTTTCTTTTGATAGAGCAGTTTTGAAATGCTCTTTTTGTGGAATCTGCAAGTGGATATTTGGCTAGTTTTGAGGATTTCGTTGGAAGCTGGAATTCATACAAATTGCAGACTGCAGCGTTCTGAGAAACATCTTTGTGATGTTTGTATTCAGGACAGAGAGTTGAACATTCCCTATCATAGAGCAGGTGGGAATCACTCCTTTTGTAGTATCTGGAAGTGGACATTTGGAGCGCTTTCAGGCCTATGTTGAAAAAGGAAATATCTTCCCATAACAACTAGACACAAGCATTCTCAGAAACTTGTTTGTGATGTGTGCCCTCTACTGACAGAGTTGAACCTTTCTTTTCATAGAGCAGTTTTGAAACACTCTTTTTGTAGAATCTGCAAGAGGATATTTGCATAGCTTTGAGGATTTCGTGGGAAACGGGATTGTCTTCAGGTAAAATCTAGACAGAAGCATTCTCAGAAACTTCTTTGGGATGTTTGCATTCAAGTCACAGAGTAGAACATTCCCTTTGGTAGAGCAGGTTTGAAACACTCTTTTTGTAGTATCTGGAAGTGGACATATGGAGCGCTTTCAGGCTCATGTTGGAAAGGGAAATATCTTCCCTTAACAACTAGGCAGAAGCATTCTCAGAAACTTATTTGAGATGTGTGTACTCAACTAAGAGAATTGAACCACCGTTTTGAAGGAGCAGTTTGGAAACACTCTTTTTCTGGAATCTGCAAGAGGATATTTGCCTAGCTTTGAGGATTTCGTTGGAAAAGGGATTGTCTTCAGATCAAATCTAGACAGAAACATTCTCAGAAACTTCTTTGGGATGCTTGCATTCCAGTCACAGAGTAGAACATTCCCTTTGGTAGAGCAGGTTTGAAACACTCTTTTTGTAGTATCTGGAAGTGGACATTTGGAGCGCTTTCAGGCCTACGTTGGAAAAGGAAATATCTTCCCATAACAACTAGACAGAAGCATTCTCAGAAACTAGTTTCTGATGTGTGTCCTCAACTAACACAGTTGAACATTTCTTTAGACAGAACAGTTTTGAAACACTCTTTTTGTGGAATCTGCAAGTGGCTATTTGGCTAGATTTGAGGATTTCGTTGGAAACGGGATTACATATAAAAAGCAGACAGCAGCATTCTCAGAAACTTCTTTGTGATGATTGCATTCAAGTCACAGAATTGAACATTCCCTTTCACAGAGCAGGTTTGAAACACTCTTTTTGTAGTGTGTGTAAGTGGACATTTGGAGTGCTTTCCGGCCTAAGGTGAACAAGGAAATATCTTCCCATAAAAACTAGACAGAAGCATTCTCAGAAACTTACTCGTGATGTGTGTCCTCAACTAAAGGAGTAGAACCTTTCTATTCATAGAGAAGTTTTGAAACGCTCTTTTTGTGGAATCTCCAAGTGGATATTTGGTTAGTTTTGAGGATTTCGTTGGAAGCGGGAATTCATACAAATTGCAGACTGCAGCGTTCTGAGAAACATCTTTGTGATGTTTGTATTCAGGACACAGAGATGAACATTCCCTATCATAGAGCAGGTTGGAATCACTCCTTTTGTAGTATCTGGAAGTGGACATTTGGAGCGCTTTCAGGCCTATGTTGAAAAAGGAAATATCTTCCCATAACAACTAGACACAAGCATTCCCAGAAACTTATTGGAGATGTGTGTACTCAACTATGAGAATTGAACCACCGTTTTGAAGGAGCAGTTTGGAAACACTCTTTTTCTGGAATCTGCAAGTGGATATTTGGCTAGCTTTGGGGATTTCGCTGGAAGCGGGAATACATATAAAAAGCACACAGCAGCGTTCTGAGAAACTGCTTTCTGATGTTTGCATTCAAGTCAAAAGTTGAACACTCCCTTTCATAGAGCAGTCTTGAAACACCCCTTTTGTAGTATCTGGAACTGGACTTTTGGAGCGATTTCAGGGCTAAGGTGAAAAAGGAAATATCTTCCCATAAAAACTGGACAGAAGCATTCTCAGAAACTTGGTTATGCTGTATCTACTCAACTAACAAAGTTGAACCTTTCTTTTGATAGAGCAGTTTTGAAATGGTCTTTTTGTGGAATCTGCAAGTGGATATTTGGCTAGTTTTGAGGATTTCGTTGGAAGCGGGAATTCATACAAATTGCAGACTGCAGCGTTCTGAGAAACATCTTTGTGATGTTTGTATTCAGGACACAGAGATGAACATTCCCTATCATAGAGCAGGTTGGAATCACTCCTTTTGTAGTATGTGGAAGTGGACATTTGGAGCGCTTTCAGGCCTATGTTGAAAAAGGAAATATCTTCCCATAACAACTAGACACAAGCATTCTCAGAAACTTGTTTGTGATGTGTGCCCTCTACTGACAGAGTTGAACCTTTCTTTTCATAGAGCAGTTTTGAAACACTCTTTTTGTAGAATCTGCAAGAGGATATTTGCATAGCTTTGAGGATTTCGTGGGAAACGGGATTGTCTTCAGGTAAAATCTAGACAGAAGCATTCTCAGAAACTTCTTTGGGATGTTTGCATTCAAGTCACAGAGTAGAACATTCCCTTTGTTAGAGCAGGTTTGAAACACTCTTTTTATAGTATCTGGAAGTGGACATTTGGAGCGCTTTCAGGCCTATGTTGGAAAGGGAAATATCTTCCCGTAACAACTAGGCAGAAGCATTCTCAGAAACTTATTTGAGATGTGTGTACTCAACGAAGAGAATTGAACCATCGTTTTGAAGGAGCAGTTTTGAAACCCTCTTTTTCTGGAATCTGCAAGAGTATATTTGCCTAGCCTTGAGGATTTCGTTGGAAACGGGATTGTCTTCAGATAAAATCTAGACAGAAGCATTCTCAGAAACTTCTTTGGGATGTTTGCATTCAAGTCACAGAGTAGAACATTCCCTTTGGTAGAGCAGGTTTGAAACAATCTTTTTTTAGTATATGGAAGTGGACATTTGGAGCGCTTTCAGGCCTACGTTGGAAAAGGAAATATCTTCCCATCACAACTAGACAGAAGCATTCTCAGAAACTAGTTTCTGATGTGTGTCCTCAACTAACACAGTTGAACATTTCTTTAGACAGAACAGTTTTGAAACACTCTTTTTGTGGAATCTGCAAGTGGCTATTTGGCTAGATTTGAGGATTTCGTTGGAAACGGGATTACATATAAAAAGCAGACAGCAGCATTCTCAGAAAGTTCTTTGTGATGATTGCATTCAAGTCACAGAATTGAACATTCCCTTTCACAGAGCAGGTTTGAAACACTCTTTTTGTAGTGTGTGTAAGTGGACATTTGGAGCACTTTCCGGCCTAAGGTGAAAAAGGAAATATCTTCCCATAAAAACTAGACAGAAGCATTCTCAGAAACTTACTCGTGATGTGTGTCCTCAACTAAAGGAGTAGAACCTTTCTTTTCATAGAGAAGTTTTGAAACGCTCTTTTTGTGGAATCTGCAAGTGGATATTTGGCTAGTTTTGAGGATTTCGTTGGAAGCGGGAATTCATACAAATTGCAGACTGCAGCGTTCTGAGAAACTGCTTTCTGATGTTTGCATTCAAGTCAAAAGTTGAACACTCCCTTTCATAGAGCAGTCTTGAAACACCCCTTTTGTAGTATCTGGAACTGGACTTTTGGAGCGATTTCAGGGCTAAGGTGAAAAAGGAAATATCTTCCCATAAAAACTGGACAGAAGCATTCTCAGAAACTTGTTTATGCTGTATCTACTCAACTAACAAAGTTGAACCTTTCTTTTGATAGAGCAGTTTTGAAATGGTCTTTTTGTGGAATCTGCAAGTGGATATTTGGCTAGTTTTGAGGATTTCGTTGGAAGCGGGAATTCATACAAATTGCAGACTGCAGCGTTCTGAGAAACATCTTTGTGATGTTTGTATTCAGGACACAGAGTTGAACATTCCCTATCATAGAGCAGGTTGGAATCACTCCTTTTGTAGTATCTGGAAGTGGACATTTGGAGCGCTTTCAGGCCTATGTTGGAAAGGGAAATATCTTCCCGTAACAACTATGCAGAAGCATTCTCAGAAACTTGTTTGTGATGTGTGCCCTCTAGTGACAGAGTTGAACCTTTCTTTTCATAGAGCAGTTTTGAAACACTCTTTTTGTAGAATCTGCAAGAGGATATTTGCATAGCTTTGAGGATTTCGTGGGAAACGGGATTGTCTTCAGGTAAAATCTAGACAGAAGCATTCTCAGAAACTTCTTTGGGATGTTTGCATTCAAGTCACAGAGTAGAACATTCCCTTTGGTAGAGCAGGTTTGAAACACTCTTTTTGTAGTATCTGGAAGTGGACATTTGGAGCGCTTTCAGGCCCATGTTGGAAAGGGAAATATCTTCCCGTAACAACTAGGCAGAAGCATTCTCAGAAACTTATTTGAGATGTGTGTACTCAACTAAGAGAATTGAACCACCCTTTTGAAGGAGCAGTTTTGAAACACTCTTTTTCTGGAATCTGCAAGAGTATATTTGCCTAGCTTTGAGGATTCCGTTGGAAACGGGATTGTCTTCAGATCAAATCTAGACAGAAGCATTCTCAGAAACTTCTTTGGGATGTTTGCATTCAAGTCACAGAGTAGAACATTCCCTTTGGTAGAGCAGGTTTGAAACACTCTTTTTTTAGTATATGGAAGTGGACATTTGGAGCGCTTTCAGGCCTACGTTGGAAAAGGAAATATCTTCCCATAACAACTAGACAGAAGCATTCTCAGAAACTAGTTTCTGATGTGTGTCCTCAACTAACACAGTTGTACATTTCTTTATACAGAACAGTTTTGAAGCACTCTTTTTGTGGAATCTGCAAGTGGATATTGGGCTAGATTTGAGGATTTCGTTGGAAACGGGATTACATATAAAAAGCAGACAGCAAGCATTCTCAGAAAGTTCTTTGTGATGATTGCATTCAAGTCACAGAATTGAACATTCCCTTTCACAGAGCAGGTTTGAAACACTCTTTTTGTAGTGTGTGTAAGTGGACATTTGGAGCACTTTCCGGCCTAAGGTGAAAAAGGAAATATCTTCCCATAAAAACTAGACAGAAGCATTCTCAGAAACTTACTCGTGATGTGTGTCCTCAACTAAAGGAGTAGAACCTTTCTTTTCATAGAGAAGTTTTGAAACGCTCTTTTTGTGGAATCTGCAAGTGGATATTTGCCTAGTTTTGAGGATTTCGTTGGAAGCGGGAATTCATACAAATTGCAGACTGCAGCATTCTCAGAAACTTGTTTATGCTGTATCTACTCAGCTAACAAAGTTGAACCTTTCTTTTGATAGAGCAGTTTTGAAATGCTCTTTTTGTGGAGTCTGCAAGTGGATATTTGGTTAGTTTTGAGGATTTCTTTGGAAGCGGGAATTCATACAAATTGCAGACTGCAGCATTCTCAGAAACTTATTTGAGATGTGTGTACTCAACTAAGAGAATTGAACCACCGTTTTGAAGGAGCAGTTTTGAAACTCTCTTTTTCTGGAATCTGCAAGTGGATATTTGGCTAGCTTTGGGGATTTCGCTGGAAGCGGGAATACATATAAAAAGCACACAGCAGCGTTCTGAGAAACTGCTTTCTGATGTTTGCATTCAAGTCAAAAGTTGAACACTCCCTTTCATAGAGCAGTCTTGAAACACCCCTTTTGTAGTATCTGGAACTGGACTTTTGGAGCGATTTCAGGGCTAAGGTGAAAAAGGAAATATCTTCCCATAAAAACTGGACAGAAGCATTCTCAGAAACTTGTTTATGCTGTATCTACTCTACTAACAAAGTTGAACCTTTCTTTTGATAGAGCAGTTTTGAAATGCTCTTTTTGTGGAATCTGCAAGTGGATATTTGGCTAGTTTTGAGGATTTCGTTGGAAGCTGGAATTCATGCAAATTGCAGACTGCAGCGTTCTGAGAAACATCTTTGTGATGTTTGTATTCAGGACAGAGAGTTGAACATTCCGTATCATAGAGCAGGTTGGAATCACTCCTTTTGTAGTATCTGGAAGTGGACATTTGGAGCACTTTCCGGCCTAAGGTGAAAAAGGAAATATCTTCCCATAAAAACTAGACAGAAGCATTCTCAGAAACTTACTCGTGATGTGTGTCCTCCACTAAATGAGTAGAACCTTTCTTTTCATAGAGCAGTTTTGAAACACTCTTTTTGTAGAATCTGCAAGAGGATATTTGCATAGCTTTGAGGATTTCGTGGGAAACGGGATTGTCTTCAGGTAAAATCTAGACAGAAGCATTCTCAGAAACTTCTTTGGGATGTTTGCATTCAAGTCACAGAGTAGAACATTCCCTTTGGTAGAGCAGGTTTGAAACACTCTTTTTGTAGTATCTGGAAGTGGACATTTGGAGCGCTTTCAGGCCTATGTTGGAAAGGGAAATATCTTCCCGTAACAACTAGGCAGAAGCATTCTCAGAAACTTATTTGAGATGTGTGTACTCAACTAAGAGAATTGAACCACCGTTTTGAAGGAGCAGTTTTGAAACACTCTTTTTCTGGAATCTGCAAGAGGATATTTGCCTAGCCTTGAGGATTTCGTTGGAAACGGGATTGTCTTCAGATCAAATCTAGACAGAAGCATTCTCAGAAACTTCTTTGGGATGTTTGCATTCAAGTCACAGAGTAGAACATTCCCTTTGGTAGAGCAGGTTTGAAACACTCTTTTTTTAGTATATGGAAGTGGACATTTGGAGCGCTTTCAGGCCTACGTTGGAAAAGGAAATATCTTCCCATAACAACTAGACAGAAGCATTCTCAGAAACTAGTTTCTGATGTGTGTCCTCAACTAACACAGTTGAACATTTCTTTAGACAGAACAGTTTTGAAACACTCTTTTTGTGGAATCTGCAAGTGGATATTTGGCTAGATTTGAGGATTTCGTTGGAAACGGGATTACATTTAAAAAGCAGACAGCAGCATTCTCAGAAACTTCTTTGTGATGATTGCATTCAAGTCACAGAATTGAACATTCCCTTTCACAGAGCAGGTTTGAAACACTCTTTTTGTAGTGTGTGTAAGTGGACATTTGGAGCGCTTTCCGGCCTAAGGTGAACAAGGAAATATCTTCCCATAAAAACTAGACAGAAGCATTCTCAGAAACTTACTCGTGATGTGTGTCCTCAACTAAAGGAGTAGAACCTTTCTTTTCATAGAGAAGTTTTGAAACGCTCTTTTTGTGGAATCTGCAAGTGGATATTTGGCTAGTTTTGAGGATTTCGTTGGAAGCGGGAATTCATACAAATTGCAGACTGCAGCATTCTCAGAAACTTGTTTATGCTGTATCTACTCTACTAAGAAAGTTGAACCTTTCTTTTGACAGAGCAGTTTTGAAATGCTCTTTTTGTGGAATCTGCAAGTGGATATTTGGCTAGATTTGAGGATTTCGTTGGAAGCTGGAATTCATACAAATTGCAGACTGCAGCATTCTCAGAAACTTATTTGAGATGTGTGTACTCAACTAAGAGAATTGAACCACCGTTTTGAAGGAGCAGTTTTGAAACTCTCTTTTTCTGGAATCTGCAAGTGGATATTTGGCTAGCTTTGGGGATTTCGCTGGAAGCGGGAATACATATAAAAAGCACACAGCAGCGTTCTGAGAAACTGCTTTCTGATGTTTGCATTCAAGTCAAAAGTTGAACACTCCCTTTCATAGAGCAGTCTTGAAACACCCCTTTTGTAGTATCTGGAACTGGACTTTTGGAGCGATTTCAGGGCTAAGGTGAAAAAGGAAATATCTTCCCATAAAAACTGGACAGAAGCATTCTCAGAAACTTGTTTATGCTGTATCTACTCAACTAACAAAGTTGAACCTTTCTTTTGATAGAGCAGTTTTGAAATGGTCTTTTTGTGGAATCTGCAAGTGGATATTTGGCTAGTTTTGAGGATTTCGTTGGAAGCGGGAATTCATACAAATTGCAGACTGCAGCGTTCTGAGAAACATCTTTGTGATGTTTGTATTCAGGACAGAGAGTTGAACATTCCCTATCATAGAGCAGGTTGGAATCACTCCTTTTGTAGTATCTGGAAGTGGACATTTGGAGCGCTTTCAGGCCTATGTTGAAAAAGGAAATATCTTCCCATAACAACTAGACACAAGCATTCTCAGAAACTTGTTTGTGATGTGTGCCCTCTACTGACAGAGTTGAACCTTTCTTTTCATAGAGCAGTTTTGAAACACTCTTTTTGTAGAATCTGCAAGAGGATATTTGCATAGCTTTGAGGATTTCGTGGGAAACGGGATTGTCTTCAGGTAAAATCTAGACAGAAGCATTCTCAGAAACTTCTTTGGGATGTTTGCATTCAAGTCACAGAGTAGAACATTCCCTTTGGTAGAGCAGGTTTGAAACACTCTTTTTGTAGTATCTGGAAGTGGACATTTGGAGCGCTTTCAGGCCCATGTTGGAAAGGGAAATATCTTCCCGTAACAACTAGGCAGAAGCATTCTCAGAAACTTATTTGAGATGTGTGTACTCAACTAAGAGAATTGAACCACCGTTTTGAAGGAGCAGTTTTGAAACACTCTTTTTCTGGAATCTGCAAGAGGATATTTGCCTAGCCTTGAGGATTTCGTTGGAAACGGGATTGTCTTCAGATCAAATCTAGACAGAAGCATTCTCAGAAACTTCTTTGGGATGTTTGCATTCAAGTCACAGAGTAGAACATTCCCTTTGGTAGAGCAGGTTTGAAACACTCTTTTTTTAGTATATGGAAGGACATTTGGAGCGCTTTCAGGCCTACGTTGGAAAAGGAAATCTCTTCCCATAACAACTAGACAGAAGCATTCTCAGAAACTAGTTTCGGATGTGTGTCCTCAACTAACACAGTTGTACATTTCTTTAGACAGAACAGTTTTGAAACACTCTTTTTGTGGAATCTGCAAGTGGATATTTGGCTAGATTTGAGGATTTCGTTGGAAACGGGATTACATATAAAAAGCAGTCAGCAGCATTCTCAGAAAGTTCTTTGTGATGATTGTATTCAAGTCACAGAATTGAACATTCCCTTTCACAGAGCAGGTTTGAAACACTCTTTTTGTAGTGTGTGCAAGTGGACATTTGGAGCGCTTTCTGGCCTAAGGTGAAAAAGGAAATATCTTCCCATAAAAACTAGACAGAAGCATTCTCAGAAACTTACTCGTGATGTGTGTCCTCAACTAAAGGAGTAGAACCTTTCTTTTCATAGAGAAGTTTTGAAACGCTCTTTTTGTGGAATCTGCAAGTGGATATTTGGCTAGTTTTGAGGATTTCGTTGGAAGCGGGAATTCATACAAATTGCAGACTGCAGCGTTCTGAGAAACATCTTTGTGATGTTTGTATTCAGGACACAGAGTTGAACATTCCCTATCATAGAGCAGGTTGGAATCACTCCTTTTGTAGTATCTGGAAGTGGACATTTGGAGCGCTTTCAGGCCTATGTTGGAAAAGGAAATATCTTCCCATAACAACTAGACAGAAGCATTCTCAGAAACTTATTTGAGATGTGTGTACTCAACTAAGAGAATTGAACCACCGTTTTGAAGGAGCAGTTTTGAAACACTCTTTTTCTGGAATCTGCAAGTGGATATTTGGCTGGCTTTGGGGATTTCGCTGGAAGCGGGAATACATATAAAAAGCACACAGCAGCGTTCTGAGAAACTGCTTTCTGATGTTTGCATTCAAGTCAAAAGTTGAACACTCCCTTTCATAGAGCAGTCTTGAAACACCCCTTTTGTAGTATCTGGAACTGGACTTTTGGAGCGATTTCAGGGCTAAGGTGAAAAAGGAAATATCTTCCCATAAAAACTGGACAGAAGCATTCTCAGAAACTTGTTTATGCTGTATCTACTCAACTAACAAAGTTGAACCTTTCTTTTGATAGAGCAGTTTTGAAATGGTCTTTTTGTGGAATCTGCAAGTGGATATTTGGCTAGTTTTGAGGATTTCGTTGGAAGCGGGAATTCATACAAATTGCAGACTGCAGCGTTCTGAGAAACATCTTTGTGATGTTTGTATTCAGGACAGAGAGTTGAACATTCCCTATCATAGAGCAGGTTGGAATCACTCCTTTTTTAGTATCTGGAAGTGGACATTTGGAGCGCTTTCAGGCCTATGTTGAAAAAGGAAATATCTTCCCATAACAACTAGACAGAAGCATTCTCAGAAACTTGTTTGTGATGTGTGCCCTCTACTGACACAGTTGAACCTTTCTTTTCATAGAGCAGTTTCGAAACACTCTTTTTGTAGAATCTGCAAGAGGATATTTGCATAGCTTTGAGGATTTCGTGGGAAACGGGATTGTCTTCAGGTAAAATCTAGACAGAAGCATTCTCAGAAACTTCTTTGGGATGTTTGCATTCAAGTCACAGAGTAGAACATTCCCTTTGGTAGAGCAGGTTTGAAACACTCTTTTTGTAGTATCTGGAAGTGGACATTTGGAGCGCTTTCAGGCCCATGTTGGAAAGGGAAATATCTTCCCGTAACAACTAGGCAGAAGCATTCTCAGAAACTTATTTGAGATGTGTGTACTCAACTAAGAGAACTGAACCACCGTTTTGAAGGAGCAGTTTGGAAACACTCTTTTTCTGGAATCTGCAAGAGGATATTTGCCTAGCTTTGAGGATTTCGTTGGAAAAGGGATTGTCTTCAGATCAAATCTAGACAGAAGCATTCTCAGAAACTTCTTTGGGATGTTTGCATTCAAGTCACAGAGTAGAACATTCCTTTGGTAGAGCAGGTTTGAAACACTCTTTTTTTAGTATATGGAAGTGGACATTTGGAGCGCTTTCAGGCCTACGTTGGAAAAGGAAATATCTTCCCATAACAACTAGACAGAAGCATTCTCAGAAACTAGTTTCTGATGTGTGTCCTCAACTAACACAGTTGAACATTTCTTTAGACAGAACAGTTTTGAAACACTCTTTTTGTGGAATCTGCAAGTGGCTATTTGGCTAGATTTGAGGATTTCGTTGGAAACGGGATTACATATAAAAAGCAGTCAGCAGCATTCTCAGAAAGTTCTTTGTGATGATTGCATTCAAGTCACAGAATTGAACATTCCCTTTCACAGAGCAGGTTTGAAACACTCTTTTTGTAGTGTGTGTAAGTGGACATTTGGAGCACTTACCGGCCTAAGGTGAAAAAGGAAATATCTTCCCATAAAAACTAGACAGAAGCATTCTCAGGAACTTACTCGTGATGTGTGTACTCAACTAAAGGAGTAGAAACTTTCTTTTCATAGAGAAGTTTTGAAACGCTCTTTTTGTGGAATCTGCAAGTGGATATTTGGCTAGTTTTGAGGATTTCGTTGGAAGCGGGAATTCATACAAATTGCAGAATGCAGCGTTCTGAGAAACTTCTTTGTGATGTTTGTATTCAGGACACAGAGTTGAACATTCCCTATCATAGAGCAGGTTTGAATCACTCCTTTTGTAGTATCTGGAAGTGGACATTTGGAGCGCTTTCAGGCCTATGTTGGAAAAGGAAATATCTTCCCATAACAAATAGACAGAAGCATTCTCAGAAACTTATTTGAGATGTGTGTACTCAACTAAGAGAATTGAACCACCGTTTTGAAGGAGCAGTTTTGAAACACTCTTTTTCTGGAATCTGCAAGTGGATATTTGGCTAGCTTTGGGGATTTCGCTGGAAGCGGGAATACATATAAAAAGCACACAGCAGCGTTCTGAGAAACTGCTTTCTGATGTTTGCATTCAAGTCAAAAGTTGAACACTCCCTTTCATAGAGCAGTCTTGAAACACCCCTTTTGTAGTATCTGGAACTGGACTTTTGGAGCGATTTCAGGGCTAAGGTGAAAAAGGAAATATCTTCCCATAAAAACTGGACAGAAGCATTCTCAGAAACTTGTTTATGCTGTATCTACTCAACTAACAAAGTTGAACCTTTCTTTTGATAGAGCAGTTTTGAAATGGTCTTTTTGTGGAATCTGCAAGTGGATATTTGGCTAGTTTTGAGGATTTCGTTGGAAGCGGGAATTCATACAAATTGCAGACTGCAGCGTTCTGAGAAACATCTTTGTGATGTTTGTATTCAGGACACAGAGTTGAACATTCCCTATCATAGAGCAGGTTGGAATCACTCCTTTTGTAGTATCTGGAAGTGGACATTTGGAGCGCTTTCTGGCCTATGTTGAAAAAGGAAATATCTTCCCATAACAACTAGACACAAGCATTCTCAGAAACTTATTTGTGATGTGTGTCCTCAACTGACAGAGTTGAACATTTCTTTTGAGAGAGCAGTTTCGAAACACTCTTTGTGTGGAATCTGCAAGAGGATATTTGCATAGCTTTGAGGATTTCGTTGGAAACGGGATTGTCTTCAGATCAAATCTAGACAGAAGCATTCTCAGAAACTTCTTTGGGATGTTTGCATTCAAGTCACAGAGTAGAACATTCCCTTTGGTAGAGCAGGTTTGAAACACTCTTTTTGTAGTATCTGGAAGTGGACATTTGGAGCGCTTTCAGGCCCATGTTGGAAAGGGAAATATCTTCCCGTAACAACTAGGCAGAAGCATTCTCAGAAACTTATTTGAGATGTGTGTACTCAACTAAGAGAATTCAACCACCGTTTTGAAGGAGCAGTTTTGAAACACTCTTTTTCTGGAATCTGCAAGAGGATATTTGCATAGATTTGAGGGTTTCGTTGGAAACGGGATTGTCTTCAGATCAAATCTAGACAGATGCATTCTCAGAAACTTCTTTGGGATGTTTGCATTCAAGTCACAGAGTAGAACATTCCCTTTGGTACAGCAGGTTTGAAACACTCTTTTTTTCGTATATGGAAGTGGACATTTGGAGCGCTTTCAGGCCTACGTTGGAAAAGGAAATATCTTCCCATAACAACTAGACAGAAGCATTCTCAGAAACTAGTTTCTGATGTGTGTCCTCAACTAACACAGTTGAACATTTCTTTAGACAGAACAGTTTTGAAACACTCTTTTTGTGGAATCTGCAAGTGGCTATTTGGCTAGATTTGAGGATTTCGTTGGAAACGGGATTACATATAAAAAGCAGTCAGCAGCATTCTCAGAAAGTTCTTTGTGATGATTGCATTCAAGTCACAGAATTGAACATTCCCTTTCACAGAGCAGGTTTGAAACACTCTTTTTGTAGTGTGTGTAAGTGGACATTTGGAGCGCTTTCCGGCCTAAGGTGAAAAAGGACATATCTTACCATAAAAACCAGACAGAAGCATTCTCAGAAACTTACTCGTGATGTGTGTCCTCAACTAAAGGAGTAGAACCTTTCTTTTCATAGAGAAGTTTTGAAACGCTCTTTTTGTGGAATCTGCAAGTGGATATTTGGCTAGTTTTGAGGATTTCGTTGGAAGCGGGAATTCATACAAATTGCAGACTGCAGCATTCTCAGAAACTTGTTTATGCTGTATCTACTCAACTAACAAAGTTGAACCTTTCTTTTGATAGAGCAGTTTTGAAATGCTCTTTTTGTGGAATCTGCAAGTGGATATTTGGCTAGTTTTGAGGATTTCGTTGGAAGCGGGAATTCATACAAATTGCAGACTGCAGCGTTCTGAGAAACATCTTTGTGATGTTTGTATTCAGGACAGAGAGTTGAACATTCCCTATCATAGAGCAGGTTGGAATCACTCCTTTTGTAGTATCTGGAAGTGGACATTTGGAGCGCTTTCAGGCCTATGTTGAAAAAGGAAATATCTTCCCATAACAACTAGACACAAGCATTCTCAGAAACTTGTTTGTGATGTGTGCCCTCTACTGACAGAGTTGAACCTTTCTTTTCATAGAGCAGTTTTGAAACACTCTTTTTGTAGAATCTGCAAGAGGATATTTGCATAGCTTTGAGGATTTCGTGGGAAACGGGATTGTCTTCAGGTAAAATCTAGACAGAAGCATTCTCAGAAACTTCTTTGGGATGTTTGCATTCAAGTCACAGAGTAGAACATTCCCTTTGGTAGAGCAGGTTTGAAACACTCTTTTTGTAGTATCTGGAAGTGGACATTTGGAGCGCTTTCAGGCCCATGTTGGAAAGGGAAATATCTTCCCGTAACAACTAGGCAGAAGCATTCTCAGAAACTTATTTGAGATGTGTGTACTCAACTAAGAGAATTGAACCACCGTTTTGAAGGAGCAGTTTTGAAACACTCTTTTTCTGGAATCTGCAAGAGTATATTTGCCTAGCCTTGAGGATTTCGTTGGAAACGGGATTGTCTTCAGAGAAAATCTAGACAGAAGCATTCTCAGAAACTTCTTTGGGATGTTTGCATTCAAGTCACAGAGTAGAACATTCCCATTGGTAGAGCAGGTTTGAAACACTCTTTTTTTAGTATATGGAAGTGGACATTTGGAGCGCTTTCAGGCCTACGTTGGAAAAGGAAATATCTTCCCATAACAACTAGACAGAAGCATTCTCAGAAACTAGTTTCTGATGTGTGTCCTCAACTAACACAGTTGAACTTTTCTTTAGACAGAACAGTTTTGAAACACTCTTTTTGTGGAATCTGCAAGTGGATATTTGGCTAGATTTGAGGATTTCGTTGGAAACGGGATTACATATAAAAAGCAGACAGCAGCATTCTCAGAAAGTTCTTTGTGATGATTGCATTCAAGTCACAGAATTGAACATTCCCTTTCACAGAGCAGGTTTGAAACACTCTTTTTGTAGTGTGTGTAAGTGGACATTTGGAGCGCTTTCCGGCCTAAGGTGAAAAAGGACATATCTTCCCATAAAAACTAGACAGAAGCATTCTCAGAAACTTACTCGTGATGTGTGTCCTCAACTAAAGGAGTAGAACCTTTCTTTTCATAGAGAAGTTTTGAAACGCTCTTTTTGTGGAATCTGCAAGTGGATATTTGGCTAGTTTGGAGGATTTCGTTGGAAGCGGGAATTCATACAAATTGCAGACTGCAGCGTTCTGAGAAACATCTTTGTGATGTTTGTATTCAGGACACAGAGTTGAACATTCCCTATCATAGAGCAGGTTGGAATCACTCCTTTTGTAGTATCTGGAAGTGGACATTTGGAGCGCTTTCAGGCCTATGTTGGAAAAGGAAATATCTTCCCATAACAACTAGACAGAAGCATTCTCAGAAACTTATTTGAGATGTGTGTACTCAACTAAGAGAATTGAACCACCGTTTTGAAGGAGCAGTTTTGAAACACTCTTTTTCTGGAATCTGCAAGTGGATATTTGGCTAGCTTTGGGGATTTCGCTGGAGGCGGGAATACATATAAAAAGCACACAGCAGCGTTCTGAGAAACTGCTTTCTGATGTTTGCATTCAAGTCAAAAGTTGAACACTCCCTTTCATAGAGCAGTCTTGAAACACCCCTTTTGTAGTATCTGGAACTGGACTTTTGGAGCGATTTCAGGGCTAAGGTGAAAAAGGAAATATCTTCCCATAAAAACTGGACAGAAGCATTCTCAGAAACTTGTTTATGCTGTATCTACTCAACTAACAAAGTTGAACCTTTCTTTTGATAGAGCAGTTTTGAAATGCTCTTTTTGTGGAATCTGCAAGTGGATATTTGGCTAGTTTTGAGGATTTCGTTGGAAGCGGGAATTCATACAAATTGCAGACTGCAGCGTTCTGAGAAACATCTTTGTGATGTTTGTATTCAGGACACAGAGTTGAACTTTCCCTATCGTAGAGCAGGTTGGAATCACTCCTTTTGCAGTATCTGGAAGTGGACATTTGGAGCGCTTTCAGGCCTATTTTGGAAAGGGAAATATCTTCCCGTAACAACTAGGCAGAAGCGTTCTCAGAAACTTGTTTGTGATGTGTGCCCTCTACTGACAGAGTTGAACCTTTCTTTTCATAGAGCAGTTTTGAAACACTCTTTTTGTAGAATCCGCAAGAGGATATTTGCATAGCTTTGAGGATTTCGTGGGAAACGGGATTGTCTTCAGGTAAAATCTAGACAGAAGCATTCTCAGAAACTTTTTTGGGATGTTTGCATTCAAGTCACAGAGTAGAACATTCCCTTTGGTAGAGCAGGTTTGAAACACTCTTTTTGTAGTATCTGGAAGTGGACATTTGGAGCACTATCAGGCCCATGTTGGAAAGGGAAATATCTTCCCGTAACAACTAGGCAGAAGAATTCTCTGAAACTTTTTTGAGATGTGTGTACTCAACTAAGAGAATTGAACCACCGTTTTGAAGGAGCAGTTTTGAAACACTCTTTTTCTGGAATCTGCTAGAGGATATTTGCCTAGCTTTGAGGATTTCGTTGGAAACGGGATTGTCTTCAGATAAAATCTAGACAGAAGCATTCTCAGAAACTTCTTTGGGATGTTTGTATTCAAGTCACAGAGTAGAATATTCCCTTTGGTAGAGCAGGTTTGAAACACTCTTTTTTTAGTATATGGAAGTGGACATTTGGAGCGCTTTCAGGCCTACGTTGGAAAAGGAAATATCTTCCCATAACAACTAGACAGAAGCATTCTCAGAAACTAGTTTCTGATGTGTGTCCTCAACTAACACAGTTGTACATTTCTTTAGACAGAACAGTTTTGAAACACTCTTTTTGTGGAATCTGCAAGTGGATATTTGGCTAGATTTGAGGATTTCGTTGGAAACGGGATTACATATAAAAAGCAGACAGCAGCATTCTCAGAAAGTTCTTTGTGATGATTGCATTCAAGTCACAGAATTGAACATTCCCTTTCACAGAGCAGGTTTGAAACACTCTTTTTGTAGTGTGTGTAAGTGGACATTTGGAGCACTTTCCGGCCTAAGGTGAAAAAGGAAATATCTTCCCATAAAAACTAGACAGAAGCATTCTCAGAAACTTACTCGTGATGTGTGTCCTCAACTAAAGGAGTAGAACCTTTCTTTTCATAGAGAAGTTTTGAAACGCTCTTTTTGTGGAATCTGCAAGTGGATATTTGGCTAGTTTTGAGGATTTCGTTGGAAGCGGGAATTCATACAAATTGCAGACTGCAGCCTTCTGAGAAACATCTTTGTGATGTTTGTATTCAGGACACAGAGTTGAACATTCCCTATCATAGAGCAGGTTGGAATCACTGCTTTTGTCGTATCTGGAAGTGGACATTTGTAGCGCTTTCAGGCCTATGTTGGAAAAGGAAATATCTTCCCATAACAGCTAGACAGAAGCATTCTCAGAAACTTATTTGAGATGTGTGTACTCAACTAAGAGAATTGAACCACCGTTTTGAAGGAGCAGTTTTGAAACACTCTTTTTCTGGAATCTGCAAGTGGATATTTGGCTAGCTTTGGGGATTTCGCTGGAAGCGGGAATACATATAAAAAGCACACAGCAGCGTTCTGAGTAAACTGCTTTCTGATGTTTGCATTCAAGTCAAAAGTTGAACACTCCCTTTCATAGAGCAGTCCTGAAACACTCCTTTTGTAGTATCTGGAACTGGACTTTTGGAGCGCTTTCAGGGCTAAGGTGAAAAAGGAAATATCTTCCCATAAAAACTGGACAGAAGCATTCTCAGAAACTTGTTTATGCTGTATCTACTCAACTAACAAAGTTGAACCTTTCTTTTGATAGAGCAGTTTTGAAATGCTCTTTTTGTGGAATCTGCAAGTGGATATTTGGCTAGTTTTGAGGATTTCGTTGGAAGCGGGAATTCATACAAATTGCAGACTGCAGCGTTATGAGAAACATCTTTGTGATGTTTGTATTCAGGACACAGAGTTGAACATTCCCTATCATAGAGCAGGTTGGAATCACTCCTTTTGTAGTATCTGGAAGTGGACATTTGGAGCGCTTTCAGGCCTATTTTGGACAGGGAAATATCTTCCCATAACAACTATGCAGAAGCATTCTCAGAAACTTGTTGGTGATGTGTTTCCTCTACTGACAGAGTTGAACCTTTCTTTTCATAGAGCAGTTTCGAAACACTCTTTTTGTAGAATCTGCAAGAGGATATTTGCATAGCTCTGAGGATTTCGTGGGAAACGGGATTGTCTTCAGGTAAAATCTAGACAGAAGCATTCTCAGAAACTTCTTTGGGATGTTTGCATTCAAGTCACAGAGTAGAACATTCCCTTTGGTAGAGCAGGTTTGAAACACTCTTTTTGTAGTATCTGGAAGTGGACATTTGGAGCGCTTTCAGGCCTATGTTGGAAAGGGAAATATCTTCCCGTAACAACTAGGCAGAAGCATTCTCAGAAACTTATTTGAGATGTGTGTACTCAACTAAGAGAATTGAACCACCGTTTTGAAGGAGCAGTTTTGAAACACTCTTTTTCTGGAATCTGCAAGAGTATATTTGCCTAGCCTTGAGGATTTCGTTGGAAACGGGATTGTCTTCAGAGAAAATCTAGACAGAAGCATTCTCAGAAACTTCTTTGGGATGTTTGCATTCAAGTCACAGAGTAGAACATTCCCTTTGGTAGAGCAGGTGTGAAACACTCTTTTTTTAGTATATGGAAGTGGACATTTGGAGCGCTTTCAGGCCTACTTTGGAAAACGAAATATCTTCCCATAACAACTAGACAGAAGCATTCTCAGAAACTAGTTTCTGATGTGTGTCCTCAACTAACACAGTTGAACATTTCTTTAGACAGAACAGTTTTGAAACACTCTTTTTGTGGAATCTGCAAGTGGCTATTTGGCTAGATTTGAGGATTTCGTTGGAAACGGGATTACATATAAAAAGCAGACAGCAGCATTCTCAGAAAGTTCTTTGTGATGATTGCATTCAAGTCACAGAATTGAACATTCCCTTTCACAGAGCAGGTTTGAAACACTCTTTTTGTAGTGTGTGTAAGTGGACATTTGGAGCACTTACCGGCCTAAGGTGAAAAAGGAAATATCTTCCCATAAAAACTAGACAGAAGCATTCTCAGAAACTTACTCGTGATGTGTGTCCTCAACTAAAGGAGTAGAACCTTTCTTTTCATAGAGAAGTTTTGAAACGCTCTTTTTGTGGAATCTGCAAGTGGATATTTGGCTAGTTTTGAGGATTTCGTTGGAAGCGGGAATTCATACAAATTGCAGACTGCAGCGTTCTGAGAAACATCTTTGTGATGTTTGTATTCAGGACACAGAGTTGAACATTCCCTATCATAGAGCAGGTTTGAATCACTCCTTTTGTAGTATCTGGAAGTGGACATTTGGAGCGCTTTCAGGCCTATGTTGGAAAAGGAAATATCTTCCCATAACAACTAGACAGAAGCATTCTCAGAAACTTATTTGAGATGTGTGTACTCAACTAAGAGAATTGAACCACCGTTTTGAAGGAGCAGTTTTGAAACACTCTTTTTCTGGAATCTGCAAGTGGATATTTGGCTAGCTTTGGGGATTTCGCTGGAAGCGGGAATACATATAAAAAGCACACAGCAGCGTTCTGAGAAACTGCTTTCTGATGTTTGCATTCAAGTCAAAAGTTGAACACTCCCTTTCATAGAGCAGTCTTGAAACACCCCTTTTGTAGTATCTGGAACTGGACTTTTGGAGCGATTTCAGGGCTAAGGTGAAAAAGGAAATATCTTCCCATAAAAACTGGACAGAAGCATTCTCAGAAACTTGGTTATGCTGTATCTACTCAACTAACAAAGTTGAACCTTTCTTTTGATAGAGCAGTTTTGAAATGGTCTTTTTGTGGAATCTGCAAGTGGATATTTGGCTAGTTTTGAGGATTTCGTTGGAAGCGGGAATTCATACAAATTGCAGACTGCAGCGTTCTGAGAAACATCTTTGTGATGTTTGTATTCAGGACACAGAGTTGAACATTCCCTATCATAGAGCAGGTTGGAATCACTCCTTTTGTAGTATCTGGAAGTGGACATTTGGAGCGCTTTCAGGCCTATTTTGGAAAGGGAAATATCTTCCCGTAACAACTATGCAGAAGCATTCTCAGAAACTTGTTTGTGATGTGTGCCCTCTACTGACAGAGTTGAACCTTTCTTTTCATAGAGCAGTTTTGAAACACTCTTTTTGTAGAATCTGCAAGAGGATATTTGCATAGCTTTGAGGATTTCGTGGGAAACGGGATTGTCTTCAGGTAAAATCTAGACAGAAGCATTCTCAGAAACTTCTTTGGGATGTTTGCATTCAAGTCACAGAGTAGAACATTCCCTTTGGTAGAGCAGGTTTGAAACACTCTTTTTGTAGTATCTGGAAGTGGACATTTGGAGCGCTTTCAGGCCCATGTTGGAAAGGGAAATATCTTCCCGTAACAACTAGGCAGAAGCATTCTCAGAAACTTATTTGAGATGTGTGTACTCAACTAAGAGAATTGAACCACCGTTTTGAAGGAGCAGTTTGGAAACACTCTTTTTCTGGAATCTGCAAGAGGATATTTGCCTAGCTTTGAGGATTTCGTTGGAAAAGGGATTGTCTTCAGATCAAATCTAGACAGAAGCATTCTCAGAAACTTCTTTGGGATGTTTGCATTCAAGTCACAGAGTAGAACATTCCCCTTTGGTAGAGCAGGTTTGAAACACTCTTTTTTTAGTATATGGAAGTGGACATTTGGAGCGCTTTCAGGCCTACGTTGGAAAAGGAAATATCTTCCCATAACAACTAGACAGAAGCATTCTCAGAAACTAGTTTCTGATGTGTGTCCTCAACTAACACAGTTGAACTTTTCTTTAGACAGAACAGTTTTGAAACACTCTTTTTGTGGAATCTGCAAGTGGATATTTGGCTAGATTTGAGGATTTCGTTGGAAACGGGATTACATATAAAAAGCAGACAGCAGCATTCTCAGAAAGTTCTTTGTGATGATTGCATTCAAGTCACAGAATTGAACATTCCCTTTCACAGAGCAGGTTTGAAACACTCTTTTTATAGTGTGTGTAAGTGGACATTTGGAGCACTTTCCGGCCTAAGGTGAAAAAGGTAATATCTTCCCATAAAAACTAGACAGAAGCATTCTCAGAAACTTACTCGTGATGTGTGTCCTCAACTAAAGGAGTAGAACCTTTCTTTTCATAGAGAAGTTTTGAAACGCTCTTTTTGTGGAATCTGCAAGTGGATATTTGGCTAGTTTTGAGGATTTCGTTGGAAGCGGGAATTCATACAAATTGCAGACTGCAGCGTTCTGAGAAACTGCTTTCTGATGTTTGCATTCAAGTCAAAAGTTGAACACTCCCTTTCATAGAGCAGTCTTGAAACACCCCTTTTGTAGTATCTGGAACTGGACTTTTGGAGCGATTTCAGGGCTAAGGTGAAAAAGGAAATATCTTCCCATAAAAACTGGACAGAAGCATTCTCAGAAACTTGTTTATGCTGTATCTACTCAACTAACAAAGTTGAACCTTTCTTTTGATAGAGCAGTTTTGAAATGGTCTTTTTGTGGAATCTGCAAGTGGATATTTGGCTAGTTTTGAGGATTTCGTTGGAAGCGGGAATTCATACAAATTGCAGACTGCAGCGTTCTGAGAAACATCTTTGTGATGTTTGTATTCAGGACACAGAGTTGAACATTCCCTATCATAGAGCAGGTTGGAATCACTCCTTTTGTAGTATCTGGAAGTGGACATTTGGAGCGCTTTCAGGCCTATTTTGGAAAGGGAAATATCTTCCCGTAACAACTATGCAGAAGCATTCTCAGAAACTTGTTTGTGATGTGTGCCCTCTACTGACAGAGTTGAACCTTTCTTTTCATAGAGCAGTTTTGAAACACTCTTTTTGTAGAATCTGCAAGAGGATATTTGCATAGCTTTGAGGATTTCGTGGGAAACGGGATTGTCTTCAGGTAAAATCTAGACAGAAGCATTCTCAGAAACTTCTTTGGGATGTTTGCATTCAAGTCACAGAGTAGAACATTCCCTTTGGTAGAGCAGGTTTGAAACACTCTTTTTGTAGTATCTGGAAGTGGACATTTGGAGCGCTTTCAGGCCTATGTTGGAAAGGGAAATATCTTCCCGTAACAACTAGGCAGAAGCATTCTCAGAAACTTATTTGAGATGTGTGTACTCAACTAAGAGAATTGAACCACCGTTTTGAAGGAGCAGTTTTGAAACACTCTTTTTCTGGAATCTGCAAGAGGATATTTGCCTAGCCTTGAGGATTTCGTTGGAAACGGGATTGTCTTCAGATCAAATCTAGACAGAAGCATTCTCAGAAACTTCTTTGGGATGTTTGCATTCAAGTCACAGAGTAGAACATTCCCTTTGGTAGAGCAGGTTTGAAACACTCTTTTTTTAGTATATGGAAGTGGACATTTGGAGCGCTTTCAGGCCTACGTTGGAAAAGGAAATATCTTCCCATAACAACTAGACAGAAGCATTCTCAGAAACTAGTTTCTGATGTGTGTCCTCAACTAACACAGTTGAACATTTCTTTAGACAGAACAGTTTTGAAACACTCTTTTTGTGGAATCTGCAAGTGGCTATTTGGCTAGATTTGAGGATTTCGTTGGAAACGGGATTACATATAAAAAGCAGTCAGCAGCATTCTCAGAAAGTTCTTTGTGATGATTGCATTCAAGTCACAGAATTGAACATTCCCTTTCACAGAGCAGGTTTGAAACACTCTTTTTGTAGTGTGTTTAAGTGGACATTTGGAGCGCTTTCCGGCCTAAGGTGAAAAAGGAAATATCTTCCCATAAAAACTAAACAGAAGCATTCTCAGAAACTTACTCGTGATGTGTGTCCTCAACTAAAGGAGTAGAACCTTTCTATTCGTAGAGAAGTTTTGAAATGCTCTTTTTGTGGAATCTCCAAGTGGATATTTGGCTAGTTTTGAGGATTTCGTTGGAAGCGGGAATTCATACAAATTGCAGACTGCAGCGTTCTGAGAAACATCTTTGTGATGTTTGTATTCAGGACACAGAGAGGAACATTCCCTATCATAGAGCAGGTTGGAATCACTCCTTTTGTAGTATCTGGAAGTGGACATTTGGAGCGCTTTCAGGCCTATGTTGAAAAAGGAAATATCTTCCCATAACAGCTAGACACAAGCATTCTCAGAAACTTATTTGAGATGTGTGTACTCAACTAAGAGAATTGAACCACCGTTTTGAAGGAGCAGTTTTGAAACTCTCTTTTTCTGGAATCTGCAAGTGGATATTTGGCTAGCTTTGGGGATTTCGCTGGAAGCGGGAATACATATAAAAAGC
Source organism: Homo sapiens (assembly GCF_000001405.40). Classification (NCBI taxonomy): domain Eukaryota; kingdom Metazoa; phylum Chordata; class Mammalia; order Primates; family Hominidae; genus Homo; species Homo sapiens. Next base: position 20,431,187 of record NC_000018.10, read on the forward strand.
ACACAGCAGCGTTCTGAGAAACTGCTTTCTGATGTTTGCATTCAAGTCAAAAGTTGAACACTCCCTTTCATAGAGCAGTCCTGAAACACCCCTTTTGTAGTATCTGGAACTGGACTTTTGGAGCGATTTCAGGGCTAAGGTGAAAAAGGAAATATCTTCCCATAAAAACTGGACAGAAGCATTCTCAGAAACTTGGTTATGCTGTATCTACTCAACTAACAAAGTTGAACCTTTCTTTTGATAGAGCAGTTTTGAAATGGTCTTTTTGTGGAATCTGCAAGTGGATACTTGGCTAGTTTTGAGGATTTCGTTGGAAGCGGGAATTCATACAAATTGCAGACTGCAGCGTTCTGAGAAACATCTTTGTGATGTTTGTATTCAGGACACAGAGTTGAACATTCCCTATCATAGAGCAGGTTGGAATCACTCCTTTTGTAGTATCTGGAAGTGGACATTTGGAGCGCTTTCAGGCCTATTTTGGAAAGGGAAATATCTTCCCGTAACAACTATGCAGAAGCATTCTCAGAAACTTGTTTGTGATGTGTGCCCTCTACTGACACAGTTGAACCTTTCTTTTCATAGAGCAGTTTCGAAACACTCTTTTTGTAGAATCTGCAAGAGGATATTTGCATAGCTTTGAGGATTTCGTGGGAAACGGGATTGTCTTCAGGTAAAATCTAGACAGAAGCATTCTCAGAAACTTCTTTGGGATGTTTGCATTCAAGTCACAGAGTAGAACATTCCCTTTGGTAGAGCAGGTTTGAAACACTCTTTTTGTAGTATCTGGAAGTGGACATTTGGAGCGCTTTCAGGCCTATGTTGGAAAGGGAAATATCTTCCCGTAACAACTAGGCAGAAGCATTCTCAGAAACTTATTTGAGATGTGTGTACTCAACTAAGAGAATTGAACCACCGTTTTGAAGGAGCAGTTTTGAAACACTCTTTTTCTGGAATCTGCAAGAGTATATTTGCCTAGCCTTGAGGATTTCGTTGGAAACGGGATTGTCTTCAGAGAAAATCTAGACAGAAGCATTCTCAGAAACTTCTTTGGGATGTTTGCATTCAAGTCACAGAGTAGAACATTCCCTTTGGTAGAGCAGGTTTGAAACACTCTTTTTTTAGTATATGGAAGTGGACATTTGGAGCGCTTTCAGGCCTACGTTGGAAAAGGAAATATCTTCCCATAACAACTAGACAGAAGCATTCTCAGAAACTAGTTTCTGATGTGTGTCCTCAACTAACACAGTTGAACATTTCTTTAGACAGAACAGTTTTGAAACACTCTTTTTGTGGAATCTGCAAGTGGATATTTGGCTACATTTGAGGATTTCGTTGGAAACGGGATTACATATAAAAAGCAGACAGCAGCATTCTCAGAAAGTTCTTTGTGATGATTGCATTCAAGTCACAGAATTGAACATTCCCTTTCACAGAGCAGGTTTGAAACACTCTTTTTGTAGTGTGTGTAAGTGGACATTTGGAGCACTTACCGGCCTAAGGTGAAAAAGGAAATATCTTCCCATAAAAACTAGACAGAAGCATTCTCAGAAACTTACTCGTGATGTGTGTCCTCAACTAAAGGAGTAGAACCTTTCTTTTCATAGAGAAGTTTTGAAACGCTCTTTTTGTGGAATCTGCAAGTGGATATTTGGCTAGTTTGGAGGATTTCGTTGGAAGCGGGAATTCATACAAATTGCAGACTGCAGCGTTCTGAGAAACATCTTTGTGATGTTTGTATTCAGGACACAGAGTTGAACATTCCCTATCATAGAGCAGGTTGGAATCACTCCTTTTGTAGTATCTGGAAGTGGACATTTGGAGCGCTTTCAGGCCTATGTTGGAAAAGGAAATATCTTCCCATAACAACTAGACAGAAGCATTCTCAGAAACTTATTTGAGATGTGTGTACTCAACTAAGAGAATTGAACCACCGTTTTGAAGGAGCAGTTTTGAAACTCTCTTTTTCTGGAATCTGCAAGTGGATATTTGGCTAGCTTTGGGGATTTCGCTGGAAGCGGGAATACATATAAAAAGCACACAGCAGCGTTCTGAGAAACTGCTTTCTGATGTTTGCATTCAAGTCAAAAGTTGAACACTCCCTTTCATAGAGCAGTCTTGAAACACCCCTTTTGTAGTATCTGGAACTGGACTTTTGGAGCGATTTCAGGGCTAAGGTGAAAAAGGAAATATCTTCCCATAAAAACTGGACAGAAGCATTCTCAGAAACTTGTTTATGCTGTATCTACTCAACTAACAAAGTTGAACCTTTCTTTTGATAGAGCAGTTTTGAAATGGTCTTTTTGTGGAATCTGCAAGTGGATATTTGGCTAGTTTTGAGGATTTCGTTGGAAGCGGGAATTCATACAAATTGCAGACTGCAGCGTTCTGAGAAACATCTTTGTGATGTTTGTATTCAGGACACAGAGTTGAACATTCCCTATCATAGAGCAGGTTGGAATCACTCCTTTTGTAGTATCTGGAAGTGGACATTTGGAGCGCTTTCTGGCCTATGTTGAAAAAGGAAATATCTTCCCATAACAACTAGACACAAGCATTCTCAGAAACTTGTTTGTGATGTGTGCCCTCTACTGACAGAGTTGAACCTTTCTTTTCATAGAGCAGTTTTGAAACACTCTTTTTGTAGAATCTGCAAGAGGATATTTGCATAGCTTTGAGGATTTCGTGGGAAACGGGATTGTCTTCAGGTAAAATCTAGACAGAAGCATTCTCAGAAACTTCTTTGGGATGTTTGCATTCAAGTCACAGAGTAGAACATTCCCTTTGGTAGAGCAGGTTTGAAACACTCTTTTTCTAGTATCTGGAAGTGGACATTTGGAGCGCTTTCAGGCCCATGTTGGAAAGGGAAATATCTTCCCGTAACAACTAGGCAGAAGCATTCTCAGAAACTTATTTGAGATGTGTGGACTCAACTAAGAGAATTGAACCACCGTTTTGAAGGAGCAGTTTTGAAACCCTCTTTTTCTGGAATCTGCAAGAGTATATTTGCCTAGCCTTGAGGATTTCGTTGGAAACGGGATTGTCTTCAGATAAAATCTAGACAGAAGCATTCTCAGAAACTTCTTTGGGATGTTTGCATTCAAGTCACAGAGTAGAACATTCCCTTTGGTAGAGCAGGTTTGAAACACTCTTTTTTTAGTATATGGAAGTGGACATTTGGAGCGCTTTCAGGCCTACGTTGGAAAAGGAAATATCTTCCCATAACAACTAGACAGAAGCATTCTCAGAAACTAGTTTCTGATGTGTGTCCTCAACTAACACAGTTGAACTTTTCTTTAGACAGAACAGTTTTGAAACACTCTTTTTGTGGAATCTGCAAGTGGCTATTTGGCTAGATTTGAGGATTTCGTTGGAAACGGGATTACATATAAAAAGCAGTCAGCAGCATTCTCAGAAAGTTCTTTGTGATGATTGCATTCAAGTCACAGAATTGAACATTCCCTTTCACAGAGCAGGTTTGAAACACTCTTTTTGTAGTGTGTGTAAGTGGACATTTGGAGCGCTTACCGGCCTAAGGTGAAAAAGGAAATATCTTCCCATAAAAACTAGACAGAAGCATTCTCAGAAACTTACTCGTGATGTGTGTCCTCAACTAAAGGAGTAGAACCTTTCTTTTCATAGAGAAGTTTTGAAACGCTCTTTTTGTGGAATCTGCAAGTGGATATTTGGCTAGTTTTGAGGATTTCGTTGGAAGCGGGAATTCATACAAATTGCAGACTGCAGCGTTCTGAGAAACATCTTTGTGATGTTTGTATTCAGGACACAGAGATGAACATTCCCTATCATAGAGCAGGTTGGAATCACTCCTTTTGTAGTATCTGGAAGTGGACATTTGGAGCGCTTTCAGGCCTATGTTGAAAAAGGAAATATCTTCCCATAACAACTAGACACAAGCATTCTCAGAAACTTATTTGAGATGTGTGTACTCAACTAAGAGAATTGAACCACCGTTTTGAAGGAGCAGTTTTGAAACACTCTTTTTCTGGAATCTGCAAGTGGATATTTGGCTAGCTTTGGGGATTTCGCTGGAAGCGGGAATACATATAAAAAGCACACAGCAGCGTTCTGAGTAAACTGCTTTCTGATGTTTGCATTCAAGTCAAAAGTTGAACACTCCCTTTCATAGAGCAGTCCTGAAACACTCCTTTTGTAGTATCTGGAACTGGACTTTTGGAGCGCTTTCAGGGCTAAGGTGAAAAAGGAAATATCTTCCCATAAAAACTGGACAGAAGCATTCTCAGAAACTTGTTTATGCTGTATCTACTCAACTAACAAAGTTGAACCTTTCTTTTGATAGAGCAGTTTTGAAATGCTCTTTTTGTGGAATCTGCAAGTGGATATTTGGCTAGTTTTGAGGATTTCGTTGGAAGCTGGAATTCATACAAATTGCAGACTGCAGCGTTCTGAGAAACATCTTTGTGATGTTTGTATTCAGGACACAGAGTTGAACATTCCCTATCATAGAGCAGGTTGGAATCACTCCTTTTGTAGTATCTGGAAGTGGACATTTGGAGCGCTTTCAGGCCTATTTTGGAAAGGGAAATATCTTCCCGTAACAACTATGCAGAAGCATTCTCAGAAACTTGTTTGTGATGTGTGCCCTCTACTGACAGAGTTGAACCTTTCTTTTCATAGAGCAGTTTTGAAACACTCTTTTTGTAGAATCTGCAAGAGGATTTTTGCATAGCTTTGAGGATTTCGTGGGAAACGGGATTGTCTTCAGGTAAAATCTAGACAGAAGCATTCTCAGAAACTTCTTTGGGATGTTTGCATTCAAGTCACAGAGTAGAACATTCCCTTTGGTAGAGCAGGTTTGAAACACTCTTTTTGTAGTATCTGGAAGTGGACATTTGGAGCGCTTTCAGGCCCATGTTGGAAAGGGAAATATCTTCCCGTAACAACTAGGCAGAAGCATTCTCAGAAACTTATTTGAGATGTGTGTACTCAACTAAGAGAATTGAACCACCGTTTTGAAGGAGCAGTTTTGAAACACTCTTTTTCTGGAATCTGCAAGAGGATATTTGCCTAGCCTTGAGGATTTCGTTGGAAACGGGATTGTCTTCAGAGAAAATCTAGACAGGAAGCATTCTCAGAAACTTCTTTGGGATGTTTGCATTCAAGTCACAGAGTAGAACATTCCCTTTGGTAGAGCAGGTTTGAAACACTCTTTTTGTAGTATCTGGAAGTGGACATTTGGAGCGCTTTCAGGCCTACGTTGGAAAAGGAAATATCTTCCCATAACAACTAGACAGAAGCATTCTCAGAAACTAGTTTCTGATGTGTGTCCTCAACTAACACAGTTGTACATTTCTTTAGACAGAACAGTTATGAAACACTCTTTTTGTGGAATCTGCAAGTGGATATTTGGCTAGATTTGAGGATTTCGTTGGAAACGGGATTACATATAAAAAGCAGTCAGCAGCATTCTCAGAAAGTTCTTTGTGATGATTGCATTCAAGTCACAGAATTGAACATTCCCTTTCACAGAGCAGGTTTGAAACACTCTTTTTGTAGTGTGTGTAAGTGGACATTTGGAGCGCTTTCCGGCCTAAGGTGAAAAAGGAAATATCTTCCCATAAAAACTAGACAGAAGCATTCTCAGAAACTTACTCGTGATGTGTGTCCTCAACTAAACGAGTAGAACCTTTCTTTTCATAGAGAAGTTTTGAAACGCTCTTTTTGTGGAATCTGCAAGTGGATATTTGGCTAGTTTTGAGGATTTCGTTGGAAGCGGGAATTCATACAAATTGCAGACTGCAGCGTTCTGAGAAACATCTTTGTGATGTTTGTATTCAAGACACAGAGATGAACATTCCCTATCATAGAGCATGTTGGAATCACTCCTTTTGTAGTATCTGGAAGTGGACATTTGGAGCGCTTTCAGGCCTATGTTGAAAAAGGAAATATCTTCCCATAACAACTAGACACAAGCATTCTCAGAAACTTATTTGAGATGTGTGTACTCAACTAAGAGAATTGAACCACCGTTTTGAAGGAGCAGTTTTGAAACACTCTTTTTCTGGAATCTGCAAGTGGATATTTGGCTAGCTTTGGGGATTTCGCTGGAAGCGGGAATACATATAAAAAGCACACAGCAGCGTTCTGAGAAACTGCTTTCTGATGTTTGCATTCAAGTCAAAAGTTGAACACTCCCTTTCATAGAGCAGTCTTGAAACACCCCTTTTGTAGTATCTGGAACTGGACTTTTGGAGCGATTTCAGGGCTAAGGTGAAAAAGGAAATATCTTCCCATAAAAACTGGACAGAAGCATTCTCAGAAACTTGTTTATGCTGTATCTACTCAACTAACAAAGTTGAACCTTTCTTTTGATAGAGCAGTTTTGAAATGGTCTTTTTGTGGAATCTGCAAGTGGATATTTGGCTAGTTTTGAGGATTTCGTTGGAAGCGGGAATTCATACAAATTGCAGACTGCAGCGTTCTAAAAAACATCTTTGTGATGTTTGTATTCAGGACACAGAGATGAACATTCCCTATCATAGAGCAGGTTGGAATCACTCCTTTTGTAGTATCTGGGACATTTGGAGCGCTTTCAGGCCTATGTTGAAAAAGGAAATATCTTCCCATAACAACTAGACACAAGCATTCTCAGAAACTTGTTTGTGATGTGTATCCTGTACTGACAGAGTTGAATCTTTCTTTTCATAGAGCAGTTTTGAAACACTCTTTTTGTAGAATCTGCAAGAGGATATTTGCATAGCTTTGAGGATTTCGTGGGAAACGGGATTGTCTTCAGGTAAAATCTAGACAGAAGCATTCTCAGAAACTTCTTTGGGATGTTTGCATTCAAGTCACAGAGTAGAACATTCCCTTTGGTAGAGCAGGTTTGAAACACTCTTTTTGTAGTATCTGGAAGTGGACATTTGGAGCGCTTTCAGGCCCATGTTGGAAAGGGAAATATCTTCCCGTAACAACTAGGCAGAAGCATTCTCAGAAACTTATTTGAGATGTGTGTACTCAACTAAGAGAATTGAACCACCGTTTTGAAGGAGCAGTTTTCAAACACTCTTTTTCTGGAATCTGCAAGAGTATATTTGCCTAGCCTTGAGGATTTCGTTGGAAACGGGATTGTCTTCAGATAAAATCTAGACAGAAGCATTCTCAGAAACTTCTTTGGGATGTTTGCATTCAAGTCACAGAGTAGAACATTCCCTTTGGTAGAGCAGGTTTGAAACACTCTTTTTTTAGTATATGGAAGTGGACATTTGGAGCGCTTTCAGGCCTACGTTGGAAAAGGAAATATCTTCCCATAACAACTAGACAGAAGCATTCTCAGAAACTAGTTTCTGATGTGTGTCCTCAACTAACACAGTTGAACATTTCTTTAGACAGAACAGTTTTGAAACACTCTTTTTGTGGAATCTGCAAGTGGCTATTTGGCTAGATTTGAGGATTTCGTTGGAAACGGGATTACATATAAAAAGCAGTCAGCAGCATTCTCAGAAAGTTCTTTGTGATGATTGCATTCAAGTCACAGAATTGAACATTCCCTTTCACAGAGCAGGTTTGAAACACTCTTTTTGTAGTGTGTGTAAGTGGACATTTGGAGCACTTACCGGCCTAAGGTGAAAAAGGAAATATCTTCCCATAAAAACTAGACAGAATCATTCTCAGAAACTTACTCGTGATGTGTGTCCTCAACTAAAGGAATAGAACCTTTCTATTCATAGAGAAGTTTTGAAACGCTCTTTTTGTGGAATCTCCAAGTGGATATTTGGCTAGTTTTGAGGATTTCGTTGGAAGCGGGAATTCATACAAATTGCAGACTGCAGCGTTCTGAGAAACTGCTTTCTGATGTTTGCATTCAAGTCAAAAGTTGAACACTCCCTTTCATAGAGCAGTCTTGAAACACCCCTTTTGTAGTATCGGGAACTGGACATTTGGAGCGCTTTCAGGGCTAAGGTGAAAAAGGAAATATCTTCCCATAAAAACTGGACAGAAGCATTCTCAGAAACATGTTTATGCTGTATCTACTCAACTAACAAAGTTGAACCTTTCTTTTGATAGAGCAGTTTTGAAATGCTCTTTTTGTGGAATCTGCAAGTGGATATTTGGCTAGTTTTGAGGATTTCATTGGAAGCGGGAATTCATACAAATTGCAGACTGCAGCGTTCTGAGAAACGTCTTTGTGATGTTTGTATTCAGGACACAGAGTTGAACATTCCCTATCATAGAGAAGGCTGGAATCACTCCTTTTGTAGTATCTGGAAGTCGACATTTGGAGCGCTTTCAGGCCTATGTTGAAAAAGGAAATATCTTCCCATAACAACTAGGCAGAAGCATTCTCAGAAACTTGTTTGTGATGTGTGCCCTCTACTGACAGAGTTGAACCTTTCTTTTCATAGAGCAGTTTTGAAACACTCTTTTTGTAGAATCTGCAAGAGGATATTTGCATAGCTTTGAGGATTTCGTGGGAAACGGGATTGTCTTCAGGTAAAATCTAGACAGAAGCGTTCTCAGAAACTTCTTTGGGATGTTTGCATTCAAGTCACAGAGTAGAACATTCCCTTTGGTAGAGCAGGTTTGAAACACTCTTTTTGTAGTATCTGGAAGTGGACATTTGGAGCGCTTTCAGGCCCATGTTGGAAAGGGAAATATCTTCCCGTAACAACTAGGCAGAAGCATTCTCAGAAACTTATTTGAGATGTGTGTACTCAACTAAGAGAATTGAACCATCGTTTTGAAGGAGCAGTTTTGAAACACTCTTTTTCTGGAATCTGCAAGAGGATATTTGCCTAGCCTTGAGGATTTCGTTGGAAACGGGATTGTCTTCAGATCAAATCTAGACAGAAGCATTCTCAGAAACTTCTTTGGGATGTTTGCATTCAAGTCACAGAGTAGAACATTCCCTTTGGTAGAGCAGGTTTGAAACACTCTTTTTTTAGTATATGGAAGTGGACATTTGGAGCGCTTTCAGGCCTACGTTGGAAAAGGAAATATCTTCCCATAACAACTAGACAGAAGCATTCTCAGAAACTAGTTTCTGATGTGTGTCCTCAACTAACACAGTTGTACATTTCTTTAGACAGAACAGTTTTGAAACACTCTTTTTGTGGAATCTGCAAGTGGATATTGGGCTAGATTTGAGGATTTCGTTGGAAACGGGATTACATATAAAAAGCAGTCAGCAGCATTCTCAGAAAGTTCTTTGTGATGATTGCATTCAAGTCACAGAATTGAACATTCCCTTTCACAGAGCAGGTTTGAAACACTCTTTTTGTAGTGTGTGTAAGTGGACATTTGGAGCGCTTTCCGGCCTAAGGTGAAAAAGGACATATCTTACCATAAAAACCAGACAGAAGCATTCTCAGAAACTTACTCGTGATGTGTGTCCTCAACTAAAGGAGTAGAACCTTTCTATTCATAGAGAAGTTTTGAAACGCTCTTTTTGTGGAATCTCCAAGTGGATATTTGGCTAGTTTTGAGGATTTCGTTGGAAGCGGGAATTCATACAAATTGCAGACTGCAGCATTCTCAGAAACTTATTTGAGATGTGTGTACTCAACTAAGAGAATTGAACCACCGTTTTGAAGGAGCAGTTTTGAAACACTCTTTTTCTGGAATCTGCAAGTGGATATTTGGCTAGCTTTGGGGATTTCGCTGGAAGCGGGAATACATATAAAAAGCACACAGCAGCATTCTCAGAAACTTATTTGAGATGTGTGTACTCAACTAAGAGAATTGAACCACCGTTTTGAAGGAGCAGTTTTGAAACACTCTTTTTCTGGAATCTGCAAGTGGATATTTGGCTAGCTTTGGGGATTTCGCTGGAAGCGGGAATACATATAAAAAGCACACAGCAGCGTTCTGAGAAACTGCTTTCTGATGTTTGCATTCAAGTCAAAAGTTGAACACTCCCTTTCATAGAGCAGTCCTGAAACACTCCTTTTGTAGTATCTGGAACTGGACTTTTGGAGCGCTTTCAGGGCTAAAGTGAAAAAGGAAATATCTTCCCATAAAAACTGGACAGAAGCATTCTCAGAAACTTGTTTATGCTGTATCTACTCAACTAACAAAGTTGAACCTTTCTTTTGATAGAGCAGTTTTGAAATGCTCTTTTTGTGGAATCTGCAAGTGGATATTTGGCTAGTTTTGAGGATTTCGTTGGAAGCGGGAATTCATACAAATTGCAGACTGCGTTCTGAGAAAACATTTTGTGATGTTTGTATTCAGGACACAGAGTTGAACATTCCCTATCATAGAGCATTTTTGATTCACTCCTTTTGTAGTATCTGGAAGTGGACATTTGGAGCGCTTTCAGGCCTATGTTGAAAAAGGAAATATCTTCCCATAACAACTAGACAGAAGTATTCTCAGAAACTTGTTTGTGATGTGTGCCCTCTACTGACAGAGTTGAACCTTTCTTTTCATAGAGCAGTTTTGAAACACTCTTTTTGTAGAATCTGCAAGAGGATATTTGCATAGCTTTGAGGATTTCGTGGGAAACGGGATTGTCTTCAGGTAAAATCTAGACAGAAGCATTCTCAGAAACTTCTTTGGGATGTTTGCATTCAAGTCACAGAGTAGAACATTCCCTTTGGTAGAGCAGGTTTGAAACACTCTTTTTGTAGTATCTGGAAGTGGACATTTGGAGCGCTTTCAGGCCCATGTTGGAAAGGGAAATATCTTCCCGTAACAACTAGGCAGAAGCATTCTCAGAAACTTATTTGAGATGTGTGTACTCAACTAAGAGAATTGAACCACCGTTTTGAAGGAGCAGTTTTGAAACACTCTTTTTCTGGAATCTGCAAGAGTATATTTGCCTAGCCTTGAGGATTTCGTTGGAAACGGGATTGTCTTCAGAGAAAATCTAGACAGAAGCATTCTCAGAAACTTCTTTGGGATGTTTGCATTCAAGTCACAGAGTAGAACATTCCCTTTGGTAGAGCAGGTTTGAAACACTCTTTTTTTAGTATATGGAAGTGGACATTTGGAGCGCTTTCAGGCCTACGTTGGAAAAGGAAATATCTTCCCATAACAACTAGACAGAAGCATTCTCAGAAACTAGTTTCTGATGTGTGTCCTCAACTAACACAGTTGAACATTTCTTTAGACAGAACAGTTTTGAAACACTCTTTTTGTGGAATTTGCAAGTGGATATTTGGCTAGATTTGAGCATTTCGTTGGAAACGGGATTACATATAAAAAGCAGACAGCGGCATTCTCAGAAAGTTCTTTGTGATGATTGCATTCAAGTCACAGAATTGAACATTCCCTTTCACAGAGCAGGTTTGAAACACTCTTTTTGTAGTGTGTGTAAGTGGACATTTGGAGCGCTTTCCGGCCTAAGGTGAAAAAGGAAATATCTTCCCATAAAAACTAGACAGAAGCATTCTCAGAAACTTACTCGTGATGTGTGTACTCAAGTAAAGGAGTAGAAACTTTCTTTTCATAGAGAAGTTTTGAAACGCTCTTTTTGTGGAATCTGCAAGTGGATATTTGGCTAGTTTTGAGGATTTCGTTGGAAGCGGGAATTCATACAAATTGCAGACTGCAGCGTTCTGAGAAACATCTTTGTGATGTTTGTATTCAGGACACAGAGTTGAACATTCCCTATCATAGAGCAGGTTGGAATCACTCCTTTTGTAGTATCTGGAAGTGGACATTTGGAGCGCTTTCAGGCCTATGTTGGAAAAGGAAATATCTTCCCATAACAAATAGACAGAAGCATTCTCAGAAACTTATTTGAGATGTGTGTACTCAACTAAGAGAATTGAACCACCGTTTTGAAGGAGCAGTTTTGAAACTCTCTTTTTCTGGAATCTGCAAGTGGATATTTGGCTAGCTTTGGGGATTTCGCTGGAAGCGGGAATACATATAAAAAGCACACAGCAGCGTTCTGAGAAACTGCTTTCTGATGTTTGCATTCAAGTCAAAAGTTGAACACTCCCTTTCATAGAGCAGTCCTGAAACACCCCTTTTGTAGTATCTGGAACTGGACTTTTGGAGCGATTTCAGGGCTAAGGTGAAAAAGGAAATATCTTCCCATAAAAACTGGACAGAAGCATTCTCAGAAACTTGTTTATGCTGTATCTACTCAACTAACAAAGTTGAACCTTTCTTTTGATAGAGCAGTTTTGAAATGGTCTTTTTGTGGAATCTGCAAGTGGATATTTGGCTAGTTTTGAGGATTTCGTTGGAAGCGGGAATTCATACAAATTGCAGACTGCAGCGTTCTGAGAAACATCTTTGTGATGTTTGTATTCAGGACACAGAGTTGAACATTCCCTATCATAGAGCAGGTTTGAATCACTCCTTTTGTAGTATCTGGAAGTGGACATTTGGAGCGCTTTCAGGCCTATGTTGGAAAAGGAAATATCTTCCCATAACAACTAGACAGAAGCATTCTCAGAAACTTATTTGAGATGTGTGTACTCAACTAAGAGAATTGAACCACCGTTTTGAAGGAGCAGTTTTGAAACACTCTTTTTCTGGAATCTGCAAGTGGATATTTGGCTAGCTTTGGGGATTTCGCTGTAAGCGGGAATACATATAAAAAGCACACAGCAGCATTCTCAGAAACTTATTTGAGATGTGTGTACTCAACTAAGAGAATTGAACCACCGTTTTGAAGGAGCAGTTTTGAAACACTCTTTTTCTGGAATCTGCAAGTGGATATTTGGCTAGCTTTGGGGATTTCGCTGGAAGCGGGAATACATATAAAAAGCACACAGCAGCGTTCTGAGAAACTGCTTTCTGATGTTTGCATTCAAGTCAAAAGTTGAACACTCCCTTTCATAGAGCAGTCTTGAAACACCCCTTTTGTAGTATCTGGAACTGGACTTTTGGAGCGATTTCAGGGCTAAGGTGAAAAAGGAAATATCTTCCCATAAAAACTGGACAGAAGCATTCTCAGAAACTTGTTTATGCTGTATCTACTCAACTAACAAAGTTGAACCTTTCTTTTGATAGAGCAGTTTTGAAATGCTCTTTTTGTGGAATCTGCAAGTGGATATTTGGCTAGTTTTGAGGATTTCGTTGGAAGCGGGAATTCATACAAATTGCAGACTGCAGCGTTCTGAGAAACATCTTTGTGATGTTTGTATTCAGGACACAGAGTTGAACATTCCCTATCATAGAGCAGGTTGGAATCACTCCTTTTGTAGTATCTGGAAGTGGACATTTGGAGCGCTTTCAGGCCCATGTTGGAAAGGGAAATATCTTCCCGTAACAACTAGGCAGAAGCATTCTCAGAAACTTGTTTGTGATGTGTGACCTCTACTGACAGAGTTGAACCTTTCTTTTCATAGAGCAGTTTTGAAACACTCTTTTTGTAAAATCTGCAAGAGGATATTTGCATAGCTTTGAGGATTTCGTGGGAAACGGGATTGTCTTCAGGTAAAATCTAGACAGAAGCATTCTCAGAAACTTCTTTGGGATGTTTGCATTCAAGTCACAGAGTAGAACATTCCCTTTGGTAGAGCAGGTTTGAAACACTCTTTTTGTAGTATCTGGAAGTGGACATTTGGAGCGCTTTCAGGCCCATGTTGGAAAGGGAAATATCTTCCCGTAACAACTAGGCAGAAGCATTCTCAGAAACTTATTTGAGATGTGTGTACTCAACTAAGAGAATTGAACCACCGCTTTGAAGGACCAGTTTTGAAACACTCTTTTTCTGGAATCTGCTAGAGGATATTTGCCAGCTTTGAGGATTTCGTTGGAAACGGGATTGTCTTCAGATCAAATCTAGACAGAAGCATTCTCAGAAACTTCTTTGGGATGTTTGCATTCAAGTCACAGAGTAGAACATTCCCTTTGGTACAGCAGGTTTGAAACACTCTTTTTGTAGTATCTGGAAGTGGACATTTGGAGCGCTATCAGGCCTATGTTGGAAAGGGAAATATCTTCCCGTAACAACTAGGCAGAAGCCTTCTCAGAAACTTTTTGAGATGTGTGTACTCAACTAAGAGAATTGAACCACCCTTTTGAAGGAGCAGTTTTGAAACACTCTTTTTCTGGAATCTGAAAGAGTATATTTGCCTAGCTTTGAGGATTTCGTTGGAAACGGGATTGTCTTCAGATATAATCTAGACAGAAGCATTCTCAGAAACTTCTTTGGGATGTTTGCATTCAAGGCCCAGAGTAGAACATTCCCTTTGGTAGAGCAGGTTTGAAACACTCTTTTTTTCGTATATGGAAGTGGACATTTGGAGCGCTTTCAGGCCTACGTTGGAAAAGGAAATATCTTCCCATAACAACTAGACAGAAGCATTCTCAGAAACTTATTTGAGATGTGTGTACTCAACTAAGAGAATTGAACCACCGTTTTGAAGGAGCAGTTTTGAAACACTCTTTTTCTGGAATCTGCAAGTGGATATTTAGCTAGATTTGAGGATTTCGTTGGAAACGGGATTACATATACAAAGCAGACAGCAGCGTTCTGAGAAACTGCTTTCTGATGTTTGCATTCAAGTCAAAAGTTGAACACTCCCTTTCATAGAGCAGTCTTGAAACACCCCTTTTGTAGTATCTGGAACTGGACTTTTGGAGCGATTTCAGGGCTAAGGTGAAAAAGGAAATATCTTCCCATAAAAACTGGACAGAAGCATTCTCAGAAACTTGTTTATGCTGTATCTACTCAACTAACAAAGTTGAACCTTTCTTTTGATAGAGCAGTTTTGAAATGGTCTTTTTGTGGAATCTGCAAGTGGATATTTGGCTAGTTTTGAGGATTTCGTTGGAAGCGGGAATTCATACAAATTGCAGACTGCAGCGTTCTGAGAAACATCTTTGTGATGTTTGTATTCAGGACACAGAGTTGAACATTCCCTATCATAGAGCAGGTTGGAATCACTCCTTTTGTAGTATCTGGAAGTGGACATTTGGAGCGCTTTCAGGCCTATTTTGGAAAGGGAAATATCTTCCCGTAACAACTATGCAGAAGCATTCTCAGAAACTTGTTTGTGATGTGTGCCCTCTACTGACAGAGTTGAACCTTTCTTTTCATAGAGCAGTTTTGAAACACTCTTTTTGTAGAATCTGCAAGAGGATATTTGCATAGCTTTGAGGATTTCGTGGGAAACGGGATTGTCTTCAGGTAAAATCTAGACAGAAGCATTCTCAGAAACTTCTTTGGGATGTTTGCATTCAAGTCACAGAGTAGAACATTCCCTTTGGTAGAGCAGGTTTGAAACACTCTTTTTGTAGTATCTGGAAGTGGACATTTGGAGCGCTTTCAGGCCCATGTTGGAAAGGGAAATATCTTCCCGTAACAACTAGGCAGAAGCATTCTCAGAAACTTATTTGAGATGTGTGTACTCAACTAAGAGAGTTGAACCACCGTTTTGAAGGAGCAGTTTTGAAACACTCTTTTTCTGGAATCTGCAAGAGTATATTTGCCTAGCCTTGAGGATTTCGTTGGAAACGGGATTGTCTTCAGAGAAAATCTAGACAGAAGCATTCTCAGAAACTTCTTTGGGATGTTTGCATTCAAGTCACAGAGTAGAACATTCCCTTTGGTAGAGCAGGTTTGAAACACTCTTTTTTTAGTATATGGAAGTGGACATTTGGAGCGCATTCAGGCCTACGTTGGAAAAGGAAATATCTTCCCATAACAACTAGACAGAAGCATTCTCAGAAACTAGTTTCTGATGTGTGTCCTCAACTAACACAGTTGAACATTTCTTTAGACAGAACAGTTTTGAAACACTCTTTTTGTGGAATCTGCAAGTGGCTATTTGGCTAGATTTGAGGATTTCGTTGGAAACGGGATTACATATAAAAAGCAGTCAGCAGCATTCTCAGAAAGTTCTTTGTGATGATTGCATTCAAGTCACAGAATTGAACATTCCCTTTCACAGAGCAGGTTTGAAACACTCTTTTTGTAGTGTGTGTAAGTGGACATTTGGAGCGCTTTCCGGCCTAAGGTGAAAAAGGAAATATCTTCCCATAAAAACTAGACAGAAGCATTCTCAGAAACTTACTCGTGATGTGTGTCCTCAACTAAAGTAGTAGAACCTTTCTTTTCATAGAGAAGTTTTGAAACGCTCTTTTTGTGGAATCTGCAAGTGGATATTTGGCTAGTTTTGAGGATTTCGTTGGAAGCGGGAATTCATACAAATTGCAGACTGCAGCGTTCTGAGAAACATCTTTGTGATGTTTGTATTCAGGACACAGAGTTGAACATTCCCTATCATAGAGCAGGTTGGAATCACTCCTTTTGTAGTATCTGGAAGTGGACATTTGGAGCGCTTTCAGGCCTATGTTGGAAAAGGAAATATCTTCCCATAACAACTAGACAGAAGCATTCTCAGAAACTTATTTGAGATGTGTGTACTCAACTAAGAGAATTGAACCACCGTTTTGAAGGAGCAGTTTTGAAACACTCTTTTTCTGGAATCTGCAAGTGGATATTTGGCTAGCTTTGGGGATTTCGCTGGAAGCGGGAATACATATAAAAAGCACACAGCAGCCGTTCTGAGAAACTGCTTTCTGATGTTTGCATTCAAGTCAAAAGTTGAACACTCCCTTTCATAGAGCAGTCTTGAAACACCCGTTTTGTAGTATCTGGAACTGGACTTTTGGAGCGATTTCAGGGCTAAGGTGAAAAAGGAAATATCTTCCCATAAAAACTGGACAGAAGCATTCTCAGAAACTTGTTTATGCTGTATCTACTCAACTAACAAAGTTGAACCTTTCTTTTGATAGAGCAGTTTTGAAATGGTCTTTTTGTGGAATCTGCAAGTGGATATTTGGCTAGTTTTGAGGATTTCGTTGGAAGCGGGAATTCATACAAATTGCAGACTGCAGCGTTCTGAGAAACATCTTTGTGATGTTTGTATTCAGGACACAGAGTTGAACATTCCCTATCATAGAGCAGGTTGGAATCACTCCTTTTGTAGTATCTGGAAGTGGACATTTGGAGCGCTTTCAGGCCTATGTTAAAAAAGGAAATATCTTCCCATAACAACTAGACACAAGCATTCTCAGAAACTTGTTTGTGATGTGTGCCCTCTACTGACAGAGTTGAACCTTTCTTTTCATAGAGCAGTTTTGAAACACTCTTTTTGTAGAATCTGCAAGAGGATATTTGCATAGCTTTGAGGATTTCGTGGGAAACGGGATTGTCTTCAGGTAAAATCTAGACAGAAGCATTCTCAGAAACTTCTTTGGGATGTTTGCATTCAAGTCACAGAGCAGAACATTCCCTTTGGTAGAGCAGGTTTGAAACACTCTTTTTGTAGTATCTGGAAGTGGACATTTGGAGCGCTTTCAGGCCTATGTTGGAAAGGGAAATATCTTCCCGTAACAACTAGGCAGAAGCATTCTCAGAAACTTATTTGAGATGTGTGTACTCAACTAAGAGAATTGAACCACCGTTTTGAAGGAGCAGTTTTGAAACACTCTTTTTCTGGAATCTGCAAGAGTATATTTGCCTAGCCTTGAGGATTTCGTTGGAAACGGGATTGTCTTCAGAGAAAATCTAGACAGAAGCATTCTCAGAAACTTCTTTGGGATGTTTGCATTCAAGTCACAGAGTAGAACATTCCCTTTGGTAGAGCAGGTTTGAAACACTCTTTTTTTAGTATATGGAAGTGGACATTTTGATCGCTTTCAGGCCTACGTTGGAAAAGGAAATATCTTCCCATAACAACTAGACAGATAAGCATTCTCAGAAACTAGTTTCTGATGTGTGTCCTCAACTAACACAGTTGAACATTTCTTTAGACAGAACAGTTTTGAAACACTCTTTTTGTGGAATCTGCAAGTGGATATTTGGCTAGATTTGAGGATTTCGTTGGAAACGGGATTACAAATAAAAAGCAGACAGCAGCATTCTCAGAAAGTTCTTTGTGATGATTGCATTCAAGTCACAGAATTGAACATTCCCTTTCACAGAGCAGGTTTGAAACACTCTTTTTGTAGTGTGTGTAAGTGGACATTTGGAGCGCTTTCCGGCCTAAGGTGAAAAAGGAAATATCTTCCCATAGAAACTAGAGAGAAGCATTCTCAGAAACTTACTCGTGATGTGTGTCCTCAACTAAAGGAGTAGAACCTTTCTATTCATAGAGAAGTTTTGAAACGCTCTTTTTGTGGAATCTCCAAGTGGATATTTGGCTAGTTTTGAGGATTTCGTTGGAAGCGGGAATTCATACAAATTGCAGACTGCAGCGTTCTGAGAAACATCTTTGTGATGTTTGTATTCAGGACACAGAGTTGAACATTCCCTATCATAGAGCAGGTTTGAATCACTCCTTTTGTAGTACCTGGAAGTGGACATTTGGAGCGCTTTCAGGCCTATGTTGGAAAAGGAAATATCTTCCCATAACAACTAGACAGAAGCATTCTCAGAAACTTATTTGAGATGTGTGTACTCAACTAAGAGAATTGAACCACCGTTTTGAAGGAGCAGTTTTGAAACACTCTTTTTCTGGAATCTGCAAGTGGATATTTGGCTAGCTTTGGGGATTTCGCTGGAAGCGGGAATACATATAAAAAGCACACAGCAGCGTTCTGAGTAAACTGCTTTCTGATGTTTGCATTCAAGTCAAAAGTTGAACACTCCCTTTCATAGAGCAGTCCTGAAACACCCCTTTTGTAGTATCTGGAACTGGACTTTTGGAGCGATTTCAGGGCTAAGGTGAAAAAGGAAATATCTTCCCATAAAAACTGGACAGAAGCATTCTCAGAAACTTGTTTATGCTGTATCTACTCAACTAACAAAGTTGAACCTTTCTTTTGATAGAGCAGTTTTGAAATGGTCTTTTTGTGGAATCTGCAAGTGGATATTTGGCTAGTTTTGAGGATTTCGTTGGAAGCGGGAATTCATACAAATTGCAGACTGCAGCGTTCTGAGAAACATCTTTGTGATGTTTGTATTCAGGACACAGAGTTGAACATTCCCTATCATAGAGCAGGTTGGAATCACTCCTTTTGTAGTATCTGGAAGTGGACATTTGGAGCGCTTTCAGGCCTATTTTGGAAAGGGAAATATCTTCCCGTAACAACTATGCAGAAGCATTCTCAGAAACTTGTTTGTGATGTGTGCCCTCTACTGACAGAGTTGAACCTTTCTTTTCATAGAGCAGTTTTGAAACACTCTTTTTGTAGAATCTGCAAGAGGATATTTGCATAGCTTTGAGGATTTCGTGGGAAACGGGATTGTCTTCAGGTAAAATCTAGACAGAAGCATTCTCAGAAACTTCTTTGGGATGTTTGCATTCAAGTCACAGAGTAGAACATTCCCTTTGGTAGAGCAGGTTTGAAACACTCTTTTTGTAGTATCTGGAAGTGGACATTTGGAGCGCTTTCAGGCCTATGTTGGAAAGGGAAATATCTTCCCGTAACAACTAGGCAGAGGCATTCTCAGAAACTTGTTTGTGATGTGTGCCCTCTACTGACACAGTTGAACCTTTCTTTTCATAGAGCACTTTCGAAACACTCTTTTTGTAGAATCTGCAAGAGGATATTTGCATAGCTTTGAGGATTTCGTGGGAAACGGGATTGTCTTCAGGTAAAATCTAGACAGAAGCATTCTCAGAAACTTCTTTGGGATGTTTGCATTCAAGTCACAGAGTAGAACATTCCCTTTGGTGGAGCAGGTTTGAAACACTCTTTTTGTAGTGTGTGTAAGTGGACATTTGGAGCGCTTTCATGCCTACGTTGGAAAAGGAAATATCTTCCCATAACAACTATACAGAAGCATTCTCAGAAACTAGTTTCTGATGTGTGTCCTCAACTAACACAGTTGCACATTTCTTTAGACAGAACAGTTTTGAAACACTCTTTTTGTGGAATCTGCAAGTGGCTATTTGGCTAGATTTGAGGATTTCGTTGGAAACGGGATTACATATAAAAAGCAGTCAGCAGCATTCTCAGAAAGTTCTTTGTGATGATTGCATTCAAGTCACAGAATTGAACATTCCCTTTCACAGAGCAGGTTTGAAACACTCTTTTTGTAGTGTGTGTAAGTGGACATTTGGAGCACTTACCGGCCTAAGGTGAAAAAGGAAATATCTTCCCATAAAAACTAGACAGAAGCATTCTCAGAAACTTACTCGTGATGTGTTTCCTCAACTAAAGGAGTAGAACCTTTCTATTCATAGAGAAGTTTTGAAACGCTCTTTTTGTGGAATCTCCAAGTGGATATTTGGCTAGTTTTGAGGATTTCGTTGGAAGCGGGAATTCATCCAAATTGCAGACTGCAGCGTTCTGAGAAACATCTTTGTGATGTTTGTATTCAGGACACAGAGATGAACATTCCCTATCATAGAGCAGGTTGGAATCACTCCTTTTGTAGTATCTGGAAGTGGACATTTGGAGCGCTTTCAGGCCTATGTTGAAAAAGGAAATATCTTCCCATAACAACTAGACACAAGCATTCTCAGAAACTTATTTGAGATGTGTGTACTCAACTAAGAGAATTGAACCACCGTTTTGAAGGAGCAGTTTTGAAACACTCTTTTTCTGGAATCTGCAAGTGGATATTTGGCTAGCTTTGGGGATTTCGCTGGAAGCGGGAATACATATAAAAAGCACACAGCAGCGTTCTGAGAAACTGCTTTCTGATGTTTGCATTCAAGTCAAAAGTTGAACACTCCCTTTCATAGAGCAGTCCTGAAACACCCCTTTTGTAGTATCTGGAACTGGACTTTTGGAGCGATTTCAGGGCTAAGGTGAAAAAGGAAATATCTTCCCATAAAAACTGGACAGAAGCATTCTCAGAAACTTGTTTATGCTGTATCTACTCAACTAACAAAGTTGAACCTTTCTTTTGATAGAGCAGTTTTGAAATGGTCTTTTTGTGGAATCTGCAAGTGGATATTTGGCTAGTTTTGAGGATTTCGTTGGAAGCGGGAATTCATACAAATTGCAGACTGCAGCGTTCTGAGAAACATCTTTGTGATGTTTGTATTCAGGACACAGAGTTGAACTTTCCCTATCATAGAGCAGGTTGGAATCACTCCTTTTGCAGTATCTGGAAGTGGACATTTGGAGCGCTTTCAGGCCTATTTTGGAAAGGGAAATATCTTCCCGTAACAACTAGGCAGAAGCATTCTCAGAAACTTATTTGAGATGTGTGTACTCAACTAAGAGAATTGAACCACCGTTTTGAAGGAGCAGATTTGAAACACTCTTTTTCTGGAATCTGCAAGAGTATATTTGCCTAGCCTTGAAGATTTCGTTGGAAACGGGATTGTCTTCAGAAAAAATCTAGACAGAAGCATTCTCAGAAACTTCTTTGGGATGTTTGCATTCAAGTCACAGAGTAGAACATTCCCTTTGGTAGAGCAGGTTTGAAACACTCTTTTTTTAGTATATGGAAGTGGACATTTGGAGCGCTTTCAGGCCTACGTTGGAAAAGGAAATATCTTCCCATAACAACTAGACAGAAGCATTCTCAGAAACTAGTTTCTGATGTGTGTCCTCAAACAACACAGTTGAACTTTTCTTTAGACAGAACAGTTTTGAAACACTCTTTTTGTGGAATCTGCAAGTGGATATTGGGTTAGATTTGAGGATTTCGTTGGAAAGGGGATTACATATAAAAAGCAGACAGCAGCATTCTCAGAAAGTTGTTTGTGATGATTGCATTCAAGTCACAGAATTGAACATTCCCTTTCACAGAGCAGGTTTGAAACACTCTTTTTGTAGTGTGTGTAAGTGGACATTTGGAGCGCTTTCCGGCCTAAGGTGAAAAAGGACATATCTTCCCATAAAAACTAGACAGAAGCATTCTCAGAAACTTACTCGTGATGTGTGTCCTCAACTAAAGGAGTAGAACCTTTCTTTTCATAGAGAAGTTTTGAAACGCTCTTTTTGTGGAATCTGCAAGTGGATATTTGGCTAGTTTGGAGGATTTCGTTGGAAGCGGGAATTCATACAAATTGCAGACTGCAGCGTTCTGAGAAACTGCTTTCTGATGTTTGCATTCAAGTCAAAAGTTGAACACTCCCTTTCATAGAGCAGTCCTGAAACACTCCTTTTGTAGTATCTGGAACTGGACTTTTGGAGCGCTTTCAGGGCTAAGGTGAAAAAGGAAATATCTTCCCATAAAAACTGGACAGAAGCATTCTCAGAAACTTGTTTATGCTGTATCTACTCAACTAACAAAGTTGAACCTTTCTTTTGATAGAGCAGTTTTGAAATGCTCTTTTTGTGGAATCTGCAAGTGGATATTTGGCTAGTTTTGAGGATTTCGCTGGAAGCGGGAATTCATACAAATTGCAGACTGCAGCGTTCTGAGAAACATCTTTGTGATGTTTGTATTCAGGACACAGAGTTGAACATTCCCTATCATAGAGCAGGTTGGAATCACTCCTTTTTTAGTATCTGGAAGTGGACATTTGGAGCGCTTTCAGGCCTATGTTGAAAAAGGAAATATCTTCCCATAACAACTAGACAGAAGCATTCTCAGAAACTTGTTTGTGATGTGTGCCCTCTACTGACACAGTTGAACCTTTCTTTTCATAGAGCAGTTTCGAAACACTCTTTTTGTAGAATCTGCAAGAGGATATTTGCATAGCTTTGAGGATTTCGTGGGAAACGGGATTGTCTTCAGGTAAAATCTAGACAGAAGCATTCTCAGAAACTTCTTTGGGATGTTTGCATTCAAGTCACAGAGTAGAACATTCCCTTTGGTAGAGCAGGTTTGAAACACTCTTTTTGTAGTATCTGGAAGTGGACATTTGGAGCGCTTTCAGGCCCATGTTGGAAAGGGAAATATCTTCCCGTAACAACTAGGCAGAAGCATTCTCAGACACTTATTTGAGATGTGTGTACTCAACTAAGAGAATTGAACCACCGTTTTGAAGGAGCAGTTTTGAAACACTCTTTTTCTGGAATCTGCAAGAGTATATTTGCCTAGCCTTGAGGATTTCGTTGGAAACGGGATTGTCTTCAGATAAAATCTAGACAGAAGCATTCTCAGAAACTTCTTTGGGATGTTTGCATTCAAGTCACAGAGTAGAACATTCCCTTTGGTAGAGCAGGTTTGAAACACTCTTTTTTTAGTATATGGAAGTGGACATTTGGAGCGCTTTCAGGCCTACGTTGGAAAAGGAAATATCTTCCCATAACAACTAGACAGAAGCATTCTCAGAAACTAGTTTCTGATGTGTGTCCTCAACTAACACAGTTGAACTTTTCTTTAGACAGAACAGTTTTGAAACACTCTTTTTGTGGAATCTGCAAGTGGATATTGGGCTAGATTTGAGGATTTCGTTGGAAACGGGATTACATATAAAAAGCAGACAGCAGCATTCTCAGAAAGTTCTTTGTGATGATTGCATTCAAGTCACAGAATTGAACATTCCCTTTCACAGAGCAGGTTTGAAACACTCTTTTTGTAGTGTGTGTAAGTGGACATTTGGAGCACTTTCCGGCCTAAGGTGAAAAAGGAAATATCTTCCCATAAAAACTAGACAGAAGCATTCTCAGAAACTTACTCGTGATGTGTGTCCTCAAATAAAGGAGTAGAACCTTTCTTTTCATAGAGAAGTTTTGAAACGCTCTTTTTGTGGAATCTGCAAGTGGATATTTGGCTAGTTTGGAGGATTTCGTTGGAAGCGGGAATTCATACAAATTGCAGACTGCAGCGTTCTGAGAAACATCTTTGTGATGTTTGTATTCAGGACACAGAGTTGAACATTCCCTATCATAGAGCAGGTTTGAATCACTCCTTTTGTAGTATCTGGAAGTGGACATTTGGAGCGCTTTCAGGCCTATGTTGGAAAAGGAAATATCTTCCCATAACAACTAGACAGAAGCATTCTCAGAAACTTATTTGAGATGTGTGTACTCAACTAAGAGAATTGAACCACCGTTTTGAAGGAGCAGTTTTGAAACACTCTTTTTCTGGAATCTGCAAGTGGATATTTGGCTAGCTTTGGGGATTTCGCTGGAAGCGGGAATACATATAAAAAGCACACAGCAGCGTTCTGAGAAACTGCTTTCTGATGTTTGCATTCAAGTCAAAAGTTGAACACTCCCTTTCATAGAGCAGTCTTGAAACACCCCTTTTGTAGTATCTGGAACTGGACTTTTGGAGCGATTTCAGGGCTAAGGTGAAAAAGGAAATATCTTCCCATAAAAACTGGACAGAAGCATTCTCAGAAACTTGGTTATGCTGTATCTACTCAACTAACAAAGTTGAACCTTTCTTTTGATAGAGCAGTTTTGAAATGGTCTTTTTGTGGAATCTGCAAGTGGATATTTGGCTAGTTTTGAGGATTTCGTTGGAAGCGGGAATTCATACAAATTGCAGACTGCAGCGTTCTGAGAAACATCTTTGTGATGTTTGTATTCAGGACACAGAGTTGAACATTCCCTATCATAGAGCAGGTTTGAATCACTCCTTTTGTAGTATCTGGAAGTGGACATTTGGAGCGCTTTCAGGCCTATGTTGGAAAAGGAAATATCTTCCCATAACAACTAGACAGAAGCATTCTCAGAAACTTGTTTGTGATGTGTGCCCTCTACTGACAGAGTTGAACCTTTCTTTTCATAGAGCAGTTTTGAAACACTCTTTTTGTAGAATCTGCAAGAGGATATTTGCATAGTTTTGAGGATTTCGTGGGAAACCGGATTGTCTTCAGGTAAAATCTAGACAGAAGCATTCTCAGAAACTTCTTTGGGATGTTTGCATTCAAGTCACAGAGTAGAACATTCCCTTTGATAGAGCAGGTTTCAAACACTCTTTTTGTAGTATCTGGAAGTGGACATTTGGAGCGCTTTCAGGCCTATGTTGGAAAGGGAAATATCTTCCCGTAACAACTAGGCAGAAGCATTCTCAGAAACTTATTTGAGATGTGTGTACTCAACTAAGAGAATTGAACCACCGTTTTGAAGGAGCAGTTTTGAAACACTCTTTTTCTGGAATCTGCAAGAGGATATTTGCCTAGCCTTGAGGATTTCGTTGGAAACGGGATTGTCTTCAGATCAAATCTAGACAGAAGCATTCTCAGAAACTTCTTTGGGATGTTTGCATTCAAGTCACAGAGTAGAACATTCCCTTTGGTAGAGCAGGTTTGAAACACTCTTTTTTTAGTATATGGAAGTGGACATTTGGATCGCTTTCAGGCCTACGTTGGAAAAGGAAATATCTTCCCATAACAACTAGACAGAAGCATTCTCAGAAACTAGTTTCTGATGTGTGTCCTCAACTAACACAGTTGAACATTTCTTTAGACAGAACAGTTTTGAAACACTCTTTTTGTGGAATCTGCAAGTGGATATTTGGCTAGATTTGAGGATTTCGTTGGAAACGGGATTACATATAAAAAGCAGACAGCAGCATTCTCAGAAAGTTCTTTGTGATGATTGCATTCAAGTCACAGAATTGAACATTCCCTTTCACAGAGCAGGTTTGAAACACTCTTTTTGTAGTGTGTGTAAGTGGACATTTGGAGCGCTTTCCGGCCTAAGGTGAAAAAGGACATATCTTCCCATAAAAACTAGACAGAAGCATTCTCAGAAACCTACTCGTGATGTGTGTCCTCAACTAAAGGAGTAGAACCTTTCTTTTCATAGAGAAGTTTTGAAACGCTCTTTTTGTGGAATCTGCAAGTGGATATTTGGCTAGTTTGGAGGATTTCGTTGGAAGCGGGAATTCATACAAATTGCAGACTGCAGCGTTCTGAGAAACATCTTTGTGATGTTTGTATTCAGGACACAGAGTTGAACATTCCCTATCATAGAGCAGGTTTGAATCACTCCTTTTGTAGTATCTGGAAGTGGACATTTGGAGCGCTTTCAGGCCTATGTTGGAAAAGGAAATATCTTCCCATAACAACTAGACAGAAGCATTCTCAGAAACTTATTTGAGATGTGTGTACTCAACTAAGAGAATTGAACCACCGTTTTGAAGGAGCAGTTTTGAAACACTCTTTTTCTGGAATCTGCAAGTGGATATTTGGCTAGCTTTGGGGATTTCGCTGGAAGCGGGAATACATATAAAAAGCACACAGCAGCGTTCTGAGAAACTGCTTTCTGATGTTTGCATTCAAGTCAAAAGTTGAACACTCCCTTTCATAGAGCAGTCCTGAAACACCCCTTTTGTAGTATCTGGAACTGGACTTTTGGAGCGATTTCAGGGCTAAGGTGAAAAAGGAAATATCTTCCCATAAAAACTGGACAGAAGCATTCTCAGAAACTTGTTTATGCTGTATCTACTCAACTAACAAAGTTGAACCTTTCTTTTGATAGAGCAGTTTTGAAATGCTCTTTTTGTGGAATCTGCAAGTGGATATTTGGCTAGTTTTGAGGATTTCGTTGGAAGCGGGAATTCATACAAATTGCAGACTGCAGCGTTCTGAGAAACATCTTTGTGATGTTTGTATTCAGGACAGAGAGTTGAACATTCCCTATCATAGAGCAGGTTGGAATCACTCCTTTTGTAGTATCTGGAAGTGGACATTTGGAGCGCTTTCAGGCCTACGTTGGAAAAGGAAATATCTTCCCATAACAACTAGACACAAGCATTCTCAGAAACTTGTTTGTGATGTGTGCCCTCTACTGACAGAGTTGAACCTTTCTTTTCATAGAGCAGTTTTGAAACACTCTTTTTGTAGAATCTGCAAGAGGATATTTGCATAGCTTTGAGGATTTCGTGGGAAACGGGATTGTCTTCAGGTAAAATCTAGACAGAAGCATTCTCAGAAACTTCTTTGGGATGTTTGCATTCAAGTCACAGAGTAGAACATTCCCTTTGGTAGAGCAGGTTTGAAACACTCTTTTTGTAGTATCTGGAAGTGGACATTTGGAGCGCTTTCAGGCCCATGTTGGAAAGGGAAATATCTTCCCGTAACAACTAGGCAGAAGCATTCTCAGAAACTTATTTGAGATGTGTGTATTCAACTAAGAGAATTGAACCACCGTTTTGAAGGAGCAGTTTTGAAACACTCTTTTTCTGGAATCTGAAAGAGGATATTTGCCTAGCCTTGAGGATTTCGTTGGAAACGGGATTGTCTTCAGATCAAATCTATACAGAAGCATTCTCAGAAACTTCCATGGGATGTTTGCATTCAAGTCACAGAGTAGAACATTCCCTTTGGTAGAGCAGGTTTGAAACACTCTTTTTTTAGTATATGGAAGTGGACATTTGGAGCGCATTCAGGCCTACGTTGGAAAAGGAAATATCTTCCCATAACAACTAGACAGAAGCATTCTCAGAAACTAGTTTCTGATATGTGTCCTCAACTAACACAGTTGAACATTTCTTTAGACAGAACAGTTTTGAAACTCTCTTTTTGTGGAATCTGCAAGTGGCTATTTGGCTAGATTTGAGGATTTCGTTGGAAACGGGATTACATATAAAAAGCAGACAGCCAGCATTCTCAGTAAAGTTCTTTGTGATGATTGCATTCAAGTCACAGAATTGAACATTCCCTTTCACAGAGCAGGTTTGAAACACTCTTTTTGTAGTGTGTGTAAGTGGACATTTGGAGCGCTTTCCGGCCTAAGGTGAAAAAGGAAATATCTTCCCATAAAAACTAGACAGAAGCATCCTCAGAAACTTACTCGTGATGTGTGTCCTCAACTAAAGGAGTAGAACCTTTCTATTCATAGAGAAGTTTTGAAACGCTCTTTTTGTGGAATCTCCAAGTGGATATTTGGC
Organism: Homo sapiens; assembly: GCF_000001405.40. Lineage (NCBI taxonomy): Eukaryota > Metazoa > Chordata > Mammalia > Primates > Hominidae > Homo > Homo sapiens. The sequence continues at coordinate 20,458,779 of NC_000018.10, forward strand.
TAGTTTTGAGGATTTCGTTGGAAGCGGGAATTCATACAAATTGCAGACTGCAGCGTTCTGAGAAACATCTTTGTGATGTTTGTATTCAGGACACAGAGTTGAACATTCCCTATCATAGAGCAGGTTTGAATCACTCCTTTTGTAGTATCTGGAAGTGGACATTTGGAGCGCTTTCAGGCCTATGTTGGAAAAGGAAATATCTTCCCATAACAACTAGACAGAAGCATTCTCAGAAACTTATTTGAGATGTGTGTACTCAACTAAGAGAATTGAACCACCGTTTTGAAGGAGCAGTTTTGAAACACTCTTTTTCTGGAATCTGCAAGTGGATATTTGGCTAGCTTTGGGGATTTCGCTGGAAGCGGGAATACATATAAAAAGCACACAGCAGCGTTCTGAGAAACTGCTTTCTGATGTTTGCATTCAAGTCAAAAGTTGAACACTCCCTTTCATAGAGCAGTCTTGAAACACCCCTTTTGTAGTATCTGGAACTGGACTTTTGGAGCGATTTCAGGGCTAAGGTGAAAAAGGAAATATCTTCCCATAAAAACTGGACAGAAGCATTCTCAGAAACTTGGTTATGCTGTATCTACTCAACTAACAAAGTTGAACCTTTCTTTTGATAGAGCAGTTTTGAAATGGTCTTTTTGTGGAATCTGCAAGTGGATATTTGGCTAGTTTTGAGGATTTCGTTGGAAGCGGGAATTCATACAAATTGCAGACTGCAGCGTTCTGAGAAACATCTTTGTGATGTTTGTATTCAGGACACAGAGTTGAAGATTCCCTATCATAGAGCAGGTTGGAATCACTCCTTTTGTAGTATCTGGAAGTGGACATTTGGAGCGCTTTCAGGCCTATGTTGAAAAAGGAAATATCTTCCCATAACAACTAGACACAAGCATTCTCAGAAACTTGTTTGTGATGTGTGCCCTCTACTGACAGAGTTGAACCTTTCTTTTCATAGAGCAGTTTTGAAACACTCTTTTTGTAGAATCTGCAAGAGGATATTTGCATAGCTTTGAGGATTTCGTGGGAAACGGGATTGTCTTCAGGTAAAATCTAGACAGAAGCATTCTCAGAAACTTCTTTGGGATGTTTGCATTCAAGTCACAGAGTAGAACATTCCCTTTGGTAGAGCAGGTTTGAAACACTCTTTTTGTAGTATCTGGAAGTGGACATTTGGAGCGCTTTCAGGCCCATGTTGGAAAGGGAAATATCTTCCCGTAACAACTAGGCAGAAGCATTCTCAGAAACTTATTTGAGATGTGTGTACTCAAGTAAGAGAATTGAACCACCGTTTTGAAGGAGCAGTTTTGAAACACTCTTTTTCTGGAATCTGCAAGAGGATATTTGCCTAGCCTTGATGATTTCGTTGGAAACGGGATTGTCTTCAGATCAAATCTAGACAGAAGCATTCTCAGAAACTTCTTTGGGATGTTTGCATTCAAGTCACAGAGTAGAACATTCCCTTTGGTAGAGCAGGTTTGAAACACTCTTTTTTTAGTATATGGAAGTGGACATTTGGAGCGCTTTCAGGCCTACGTTGGAAAAGGAAATATCTTCCCATAACAACTAGACAGAAGCATTCTCAGAAACTAGTTTCTGATGTGTGTCCTCAGCTAACACAGTTGAACATTTCTTTAGACAGAATAGTTTTGAAACTCTCTTTTTGTGGAATCTGCAAGTGGCTATTTGGCTAGATTTGAGGATTTCGTTGGTAACGGGATTACATATAAAAAGCAGACAGCAGCAATCTCAGAAAGTTCTTTGTGATGATTGCATTCAAGTCACAGAATTGAACATTCCCTTTCACAGAGCAGGTTTGAAACACTCTTTTTATAGTGTGTGTAAGTGGACATTTGGAGCACTTTCCGGCCTAAGGTGAAAAAGGAAATATCTTCCCATAAAAACTAGACAGAAGCATTCTCAGAAACTTACTCGTGATGTGTGTCCTCAACTAAAGGAGTAGAACCTTTCTTTTCATAGAGAAGTTTTGAGACGCTCTTTTTGTGGAATCTGCAAGTGGATATTTGGCTAGTTTTGAGGATTTCGTTGGAAGCGGGAATTCATACAAATTGCAGACTGCAGCGTTCTGAGAAACATCTTTGTGATGTTTGTATTCAGGACACAGAGTTGAACATTCCCTATCATAGAGCAGGTTGGAATCACTCCTTTTGTAGTATCTGGAAGTGGACATTTGGAGCGCTTTCAGGCCTATGTTGAAAAAGGAAATATCTTCCCATAACAAGTAGACACCAAGCATTCTCAGAAACTTATTTGAGATGTGTGTACTCAACTAAGAGAATTGAACCACCGTTTTGAAGGAGCAGTTTTGAAACTCTCTTTTTCTGGAATCTGCAAGTGGATATTTGGCTAGCTTTGGGGATTTCGCTGGAAGCGGGAATACATATAAAAAGCACACAGCAGCGTTCTGAGAAACTGCTTTCTGATGTTTGCATTCAAGTCAAAAGTTGAACACTCCCTTTCATAGAGCAGTCTTGAAACACCCCTTTTGTAGTATCTGGAACTGGACTTTTGGAGCGATTTCAGGGCTAAGGTGAAAAAGGAAATATCTTCCCATAAAAACTGGACAGAAGCATTCTCAGGAAACTTGGTTATGCTGTATCTACTCAACTAACAAAGTTGAACCTTTCTTTTGATAGAGCAGTTTTGAAATGGTCTTTTTGTGGAATCTGCAAGTGGATATTTGGCTAGTTTTGAGGATTTCGTTGGAAGCGGGAATTCATACAAATTGCAGACTGCAGCGTTCTGAGAAACATCTTTGTGATGTTTGTATTCAGGACACAGAGATGAACATTCCCTATCATAGAGCAGGTTGGAATCACTCCTTTTGTAGTATCTGGAAGTGGACATTTGGAGCGCTTTCAGGCCTATGTTGAAAAAGGAAATATCTTCCCATAACAACTAGACACAAGCATTCTCAGAAACTTGTTTGTGATGTGTGCCCTCTACTGACAGAGTTGAACCTTTCTTTTCATAGAGCAGTTTTGAAACACTCTTTTTGTAGAATCTGCAAGAGGATATTTGCATAGCTTTGAGGATTTCGTGGGAAACGGGATTGTCTTCAGGTAAAATCTAGACAGAAGCATTCTCAGAAACTTCTTCGGGATGTTTGCATTCAACTCACAGAGTAGAACATTCCCTTTGGTAGAGCAGGTTTGAAACACTCTTTTTGTCGTATCTGGAAGTGGACATTTGTTGCGCTTTCAGGCCTATGTTGGAAAGGGAAATATCTTCCCGTAACAACTAGGCAGAAGCATTCTCAGAAACTTATTTGAGATGTGTGTACTCAACTAAGAGAATTGAACCACCGTTTTGAAGGAGCAGTTTTGAAACACTCTTTTTCTGGAATCTGCAAGAGGATATTTGCCTAGCCTTGAGGATTTCGTTGGAAACGGGATTGTCTTCAGATCAAATCTAGACAGAAGCATTCTCAGAAACTTCTTTGGGATGTTTGCATTCAAGTCACAGAGTAGAACATTCCCTTTGGTAGAGCAGGTGTTAAACACTCTTTTTTTAGTATATGGAAGTGGACATTTGGAGCGCTTTCAGGCCTACGTTGGAAAAGGAAATATCTTCCCATAACAACTAGACAGAAGCATTCTCAGAAACTAGTTTCTGATGTGTGTCCTCAACTAACACAGTTGAACATTTCTTTAGACAGAACAGTTTTGAAACTCTCTTTTTGTGGAATCTGCAAGTGGCTATTTGGCTAGATTTGAGGATTTCGTTGGAAACGGGATTACATATAAAAAGCAGACAGCAGCATTCTCAGAAAGTTCTTTGTGATGATTGCATTCAAGTCACAGAATTGAACATTCCCTTTCACAGAGCAGGTTTGAAACACTCTTTTTGTAGTGTGTGTAAGTGGACATTTGGAGCGCTTTCCGGCCTAAGGTGAAAAAGGAAATATCTTCCCATAAAAACTAGACAGAAGCATTCTCAGAAACTTACTCGTGATGTGTGTCCTCAACTAAAGGAGTAGAACCTTTCTATTCATAGAGAAGTTTTGAAACGCTCTTTTTGTGGAATCTCCAAGTGGATATTTGGTTAGTTTTGAGGATTTCGTTGGAAGCGGGAATTCATACAAATTGCAGACTGCAGCGTTCTGAGAAACATCTTTGTGATGTTTGTATTCAAGACACAGAGATGAACATTCCCTATCATAGAGCATGTTGGAATCACTCCTTTTGTAGTATCTGGAAGTGGACATTTGGAGCGCTTTCAGGCCTATGTTGAAAAAGGAAATATCTTCCCATAACAACTAGACACAAGCATTCTCAGAAACTTATTTGAGATGTGTGTACTCAACTAAGAGAATTGAACCACCGTTTTGAAGGAGCAGTTTTGAAACACTCTTTTTCTGGAATCTGCAAGTGGATATTTGGCTAGCTTTGGGGATTTCGCTGGAAGCGGGAATACATATAAAAAGCACACAGCAGCGTTCTGAGCAAACTGCTTTCTGATGTTTGCATTCAAGTCAAAAGTTGAACACTCCCTTTCATAGAGCAGTCTTGAAACACCCCTTTTGTAGTATCTGGAACTGGACTTTTGGAGCGATTTCAGGGCTAAGGTGAAAAAGGAAATATCTTCCCATAAAAACTGGACAGAAGCATTCTCAGAAACTTGGTTATGCTGTATCTACTCAACTAACAAAGTTTAACCTTTCTTTTGATAGAGCAGTTTTGAAATGGTCTTTTTGTGGAATCTGCAAGTGGATATTTGGCTAGTTTTGAGGATTTCGTTGGAAGCGGGAATTCATACAAATTGCAGACTGCAGCGTTCTGAGAAACAACTTTGTGATGTTTGTATTCAGGACACAGAGTTGAACATTCTCTATCATAGAGCAGGTTGGAATCACTCCTTTTGTAGTATCTGGAAGTGGACATTTGGAGCGCTTTCAGGCCTATGTTGAAAAAGGAAATATCTTCCCATAACAACTAGGCAGAAGCATTCTCAGAAACTTGTTTGTGATGTGTGCCCTCTACTGACACAGTTGAACCTTTCTTTTCATAGAGCAGTTTCGAAACACTCTTTTTGTAGAATCTGCAAGAGGATATTTGCATAGCTTTGAGGATTTCGTGGGAAACGGGATTGTCTTCAGGTAAAATCTAGACAGAAGCATTCTCAGAAACTTCTTTGGGATGTTTGCATTCAAGTCACAGAGTAGAACATTCCCTTTGGTAGAGCAGGTTTGAAACACTCTTTTTGTAGTATCTGGAAGTGGACATTTGGAGCGCTTTCAGGCCTATGTTGGAAAGGGAAATATCTTCCCGTAACAACTAGGCAGAAGCATTCTCAGAAACTTATTTGAGATGTGTGTACTCAACTAAGTAGAATTGAACCACCGTTTTGAAGGAGCAGTTTTGAAACACTCTTTTTCTGGAATCTGCAAGAGGATATTTGCCTAGCTTTGAGGATTTCGTTGGAAACGGGATTGTCTTCAGATCAAATCTAGACAGAAGCATTCTCAGAAACTTCTTTGGGATGTTTGCATTCAAGTCACAGAGTAGAACATTCCCTTTGGTAGAGCAGGTTTGAAACACTCTTTTTTTAGTATATGGAAGTGGACATTTGGAGCGCATTCAGGCCTACGTTGGAAAAGGAAATATCTTCCCATAACAACTAGACAGAAGCATTCTCAGAAACTAGTTTCTGATGTGTGTCGTCAACTAACACAGTTGAACATTTCTTTAGACAGAACAGTTTTGAAACACTCTTTTTGTGGAATTTGCAAGTGGATATTTGGCTAGATTTGAGCATTTCGTTGGAAACGGGATTACATATAAAAAGCAGACAGCGGCATTCTCAGACAGTTCTTTGTGATGATTGCATTCAAGTCACAGAATTGAACATTCCCTTTCACAGAGCAGGTTTGAAACACTCTTTTTGTAGTGTGTGTAAGTGGACATTTGGAGCGCTTTCCGGCCTAAGGTGAACAAGGAAATATCTTCCCATAAAAACTAGACAGAAGCATTCTCAGAAACTTACTCGTGATGTGTGTACTCAAGTAAAGGAGTAGAAACTTTCTTTTCATAGAGAAGTTTTGAAACGCTCTTTTTGTGGAATCTGCAAGTGGATATTTGGCTAGTTTTGAGGATTTCGTTGGAAGCGGGAATTCATACAAATTGCAGACTGCAGCGTTCTGAGAAACATCTTTGTGATGTTTGTATTCAAGACACAGAGATGAACATTCCCTATCATAGAGCATGTTGGAATCACTCCTTTTGTAGTATCTGGAAGTGGACATTTGGAGCGCTTTCAGGCCTATGTTGAAAAAGGAAATATCTTCCCATAACAACTAGACACAAGCATTCTCAGAAACTTATTTGAGATGTGTGTACTCAACTAAGAGAATTGAACCACCGTTTTGAAGGAGCAGTTTTGAAACACTCTTTTTCTGGAATCTGCAAGTGGATATTTAGCTAGATTTGAGGATTTCGTTGGAAACGGGATTACATATACAAAGCAGACAGCAGCGTTCTGAGAAACTGCTTTCTGATGTTTGCATTCAAGTCAAAAGTTGAACACTCCCTTTCATAGAGCAGTCCTGAAACACCCCTTTTGTAGTATCTGGAACTGGACTTTTGGAGCGATTTCAGGGCTAAGGTGAAAAAGGAAATATCTTCCCATAAAAACTGGACAGAAGCATTCTCAGAAACTTGTTTATGCTGTATCTACTCAACTAACAAAGTTGAACCTTTCTTTTGATAGAGCAGTTTTGAAATGGTCTTTTTGTGGAATCTGCAAGTGGATATTTGGCTAGTTTTGAGGATTTCGTTGGAAGCGGGAATTCATACAAATTGCAGACTGCAGCGTTCTGAGAAACATCTTTGTGATGTTTGTATTCAGGACACAGAGTTGAACATTCCCTATCATAGAGCAGGTTGGAATCACTCCTTTTGTAGTATCTGGAAGTGGACATTTGGAGCGCTTTCAGGCCCATGTTGGAAAGGGAAATATCTTCCCGTAACAACTAGGCAGAAGCATTCTCAGAAACTTGTTTGTGATGTGTGCCCTCTACTGACAGAGTTGAACCTTTCTTTTCATAGAGCAGTTTTGAAACACTCTTTTTGTAGAATCTGCAAGAGGATATTTGCATAGCTTTGAGGATTTCGTGGGAAACGGGATTGTCTTCAGGTAAAATCTAGACAGAAGCATTCTCAGAAACTTCTTTGGGATGTTTGCATTCAAGTCACAGAGTAGAACATTCCCTTTGGTAGAGCAGGTTTGAAACACTCTTTTTGTAGTATCTGGAAGTGGACATTTGGAGCGCTTTCAGGCCCATGTTGGAAAGGGAAATATCTTCCCGTAACAACTAGGCAGAAGCATTCTCAGAAACTTATTTGAGATGTGTGTACTCAACTAAGAGAATTGAACCACCGTTTTGAAGGAGCAGTTTTGAAACACTCTTTTTCTGGAATCTGCAAGAGTATATTTTCCTAGCCTTGAGGATTTCGTTGGAAACGGGATTGTCTTCAGATAAAATCTAGACAGAAGCATTCTCAGAAACTTCTTTGGGATGTTTGCATTCAAGTCACAGAGTAGAACATTCCCTTTGGTAGAGCAGGTTTGAAACACTCTTTTTTTAGTATATGGAAGTGGACATTTGGAGCGCTTTCAGGCCTACGTTGGAAAAGGAAATATCTTCCCATAACAACTAGACAGAAGCATTCTCAGAAACTAGTTTCTGATGTGTGTCCTCAACTAACACAGTTGAACTTTTCTTTAGACAGAACAGTTTTGAAACACTCTTTTTGTGGAATCTGCAAGTGGATATTGGGTTAGATTTGAGGATTTCGTTGGAAAGGGGATTACATATAAAAAGCAGACAGCAGCATTCTCAGAAAGTTGTTTGTGATGATTGCATTCAAGTCACAGAATTGAACATTCCCTTTCACAGAGCAGGTTTGAAACACTCTTTTTGTAGTGTGTGTAAGTGGACATTTGGAGCGCTTTCCGGCCTAAGGTGAAAAAGGACATATCTTCCCATAAAAACTAGACAGAAGCATTCTCAGAAACTTACTCGTGATGTGTGTCCTCAACTAAAGGAGTAGAACCTTTCTATTCATAGAGAAGTTTTGAAACGCTCTTTTTGTGGAATCTCCAAGTGGATATTTGGTTAGTTTTGAGGATTTCGTTGGAAGCGGGAATTCATACAAATTGCAGACTGCAGCGTTCTGAGAAACATCTTTGTGATGTTTGTATTCAAGACACAGAGATGAACATTCCCTATCATAGAGCATGTTGGAATCACTCCTTTTGTAGTATCTGGAAGTGGACATTTGGAGCGCTTTCAGGCCTATGTTGAAAAAGGAAATATCTTCCCATAACAACTAGACACAAGCATTCTCAGAAACTTATTTGAGATGTGTGTACTCAACTAAGAGAATTGAACCACCGTTTTGAAGGAGCAGTTTTGAAACTCTCTTTTTCTGGAATCTGCAAGTGGATATTTGGCTAGCTTTGGGGATTTCGCTGGAAGCGGGAATACATATAAAAAGCACACAGCAGCGTTCTGAGAAACTGCTTTCTGATGTTTGCATTCAAGTCAAAAGTTGAACACTCCCTTTCATAGAGCAGTCTTGAAACACCCCTTTTGTAGTATCTGGAACTGGACTTTTGGAGCGATTTCAGGGCTAAGGTGAAAAAGGAAATATCTTCCCATAAAAACTGGACAGAAGCATTCTCAGAAACTTGGTTATGCTGTATCTACTCAACTAACAAAGTTGAACCTTTCTTTTGATAGAGCAGTTTTGAAATGGTCTTTTTGTGGAATCTGCAAGTGGATATTTGGCTAGTTTTGAGGATTTCGTTGGAAGCGGGAATTCATACAAATTGCAGACTGCAGCGTTCTGAGAAACATCTTTGTGATGTTTGTATTCAGGACACAGAGTTGAACATTCCCTATCATAGAGCAGGTTGGAATCACTCCTTTTGTAGTATCTGGAAGTGGACATTTGGAGCGCTTTCAGGCCTATTTTGGAAAGGGAAATATCTTCCCGTAACAACTATGCAGAAGCATTCTCAGAAACTTGTTTGTGATGTGTGCCCTCTACTGACAGAGTTGAACCTTTCTTTTCATAGAGCAGTTTTGAAACACTCTTTTTGTAGAATCTGCAAGAGGATATTTGCATAGCTTTGAGGATTTCGTGGGAAACGGGATTGTCTTCAGGTAAAATCTAGACAGAAGCATTCTCAGAAACTTCTTTGGGATGTTTGCATTCAAGTCACAGAGTAGAACATTCCCTTTGGTAGAGCAGGTTTGAAACACTCTTTTTGTAGTATCTGGAAGTGGACATTTGGAGCGCTTTCAGGCCTATGTTGGAAAGGGAAATATCTTCCCGTAACAACTAGGCAGAAGCATTCTCAGAAACTTATTTGAGATGTGTGTACTCAACTAAGAGAATTGAACCACCGTTTTGAAGGAGCAGTTTTGAAACACTCTTTTTCTGGAATCTGCTAGAGGATATTTGCCTAGCTTTGAGGATTTCGTTGGAAACGGGATTGTCTTCAGATCAAATCTAGACAGAAGCATTCTCAGAAACTTCTTTGGGATGTTTGCATTCAAGTCACAGAGTAGAACATTCCCTTTGGTAGAGCAGGTTTGAAACACTCTTTTTGTAGTATCTGGAAGTGGACATTTGGAGCGCTTTCAGGCCTACGTTGGAAAAGGAAATATCTTCCCATAACAACTAGACAGAAGCATTCTCAGAAACTAGTTTCTGATGTGTGTCCTCAACTAACACAGTTGAACATTTCTTTAGACAGAACAGTTTTGAAACACTCTTTTTGTGGAATCTGCAAGTGGCTATTTGGCTAGATTTGAGGATTTCGTTGGAAACGGGATTACATATAAAAAGCAGTCAGCAGCATTCTCAGAAAGTTCTTTGTGATGATTGCATTCAAGTCACAGAATTGAACATTCCCTTTCACAGAGCAGGTTTGAAACACTCTTTTTGTAGTGTGTGTAAGTGGACATTTGGAGCGCTTTCCGGCCTAAGGTGAAAAAGGAAATATCTTCCCATAAAAACTAGACAGAAGCATTCTCAGAAACTTACTCGTGATGTGTGTCCTCAACTAAAGGAGTAGAACCTTTCTTTCATAGAGAAGTTTTGAAACGCTCTTTTTGTGGTATCTGTAAGTGGATATTTGGCTAGTTTGGAGGATTTCGTTGGAAGCGGGAATTCATACAAATTGCAGACTGCAGCGTTCTGAGAAACATCTTTGTGATGTTTGTATTCAGGACACAGAGTTGAACATTCCCTATCATAGAGCAGGTTGGAATCACTCCTTTTGTAGTATCTGGAAGTGGACATTTGGAGCGCTTTCAGGCCTATGTTGGAAAAGGAAATATCTTCCCATAACAACTAGACAGAAGCATTCTCAGAAACTTATTTGAGATGTGTGTACTCAACTAAGAGAATTGAACCACCGTTTTGAAGGAGCAGTTTTGAAACACTCTTTTTCTGGAATCTGCAAGTGGATATTTGGCTAGCTTTGGGGATTTCGCTGGAAGCGGGAATACATATAAAAAGCACACAGCCAGCGTTCTGAGCAAACTGCTTTCTGATGTTTGCATTCAAGTCAAAAGTTGAACACTCCCTTTCATAGAGCAGTCTTGAAACACCCCTTTTGTAGTATCTGGAACTGGACTTTTGGAGCGATTTCAGGGCTAAGGTGAAAAAGGAAATATCTTCCCATAAAAACTGGACAGAAGCATTCTCAGAAACTTGTTTATGCTGTATCTACTCTACTAACAAAGTTGAACCTTTCTTTTGATAGAGCAGTTTTGAAATGCTCTTTTTGTGGAATCTGCAAGTGGATATTTGGCTAGTTTTGAGGATTTCGTTGGAAGCTGGAATTCATACAAATTGCAGACTGCAGCGTTCTGAGAAACATCTTTGTGATGTTTGTATTCAGGACACAGAGTTGAACATTCCCTATCATAGAGCAGGTTGGAATCACTCCTTTTGTCGTATCTGGAAGTGGACATTTGGAGCGCTTTCAGGCCTAAGATGAAAAAGGAAATATCTTCCCATAACAACTAGACAGAAGCATTCTCAGAAAGTTGTTTGTGATGTGTGCCCTCTACTGACAGAGTTGAACCTTTCTTTTCATAGAGCAGTTTCGAAACACTCTTTTTGGAGAATCTGCAAGAGGATATTTGCATAGCTCTGAGGATTTCGTTGGAAACGGGATTGTCTTCAGGTAAAATCTAGACAGAAGCATTCTCAGAAACTTCTTTGGGATGTTTGCATTCAAGTAACAGAGTAGAACATTCCCTTTGGTAGACCAGGTTTGAAACACTCTTTTTGTAGTATCTGGAAGTGGACATTTGGAGCCCTTTCAGGCCTATGTTGCAAAGGGAAATATCTTCCCGTAACAACTAGGTAGAAGCATTCTCAGAAACTTATTTGAGATGTGTGTACTCAACTAAGAGAATTGAACCACCGTTTTGAAGGAGCAGTTTTGAAACACTCTTTTTCTGGAATCTGCAAGAGGATATTTGCCTAGCCTTGAGGATTTCGTTGGAAACGGGATTGTCTTCAGATCAAATCTAGACAGAAGCATTCTCAGAAACTTCTTTGGGATGTTTGCATTCAAGTCACAGAGTAGAACATTCCCTTTGGTAGAGCAGGTTTGAAACACTCTTTTTTTAGTATATGGAAGTGGACATTTTGATCGCTTTCAGGCCTACGTTGGAAAAGGAAATATCTTCCCATAACAACTAGACAGAAGCATTCTCAGAAACTAGTTTCTGATGTGTGTCCTCAACTAACACAGTTGAACATTTCTTTAGACAGAACAGTTTTGAAACACTCTTTTTGTGGAATCTGCAAGTGGCTATTTGGCTAGATTTGAGGATTTCGTTGGAAACGGGATTACATATAAAAAGCAGTCAGCAGCATTCTCAGAAACTTCTTTGTGATGATTGCATTCAAGTCACAGAATTGAACATTCCCTTTCACAGAGCAGGTTTGAAACACTCTTTTTGTAGTGTGTGTAAGTGGACATTTGGAGCGCTTTCCGGCCTAAGGTGAACAAGGAAATATCTTCCCATAAAAACTAGACAGAAGCATTCTCAGAAACTTACTCGTGATGTGTGTCCTCAACTAAAGGAGTAGAACCTTTCTTTTCATAGAGAACTTTTGAAACGCTCTTTTTTTGGAATCTGCAAGTGGATATTTGGCTAGTTTTGAGGATTTCGTTGGAAGCGGGAATTCATACAAGATGCAGACTGCAGCGTTCTGAGAAACATCTTTGTGATGTTTGTATTCAGGACACAGAGTTGAACATTCCCTATCATAGAGCAGGTTTGAATCACTCCTTTTGTAGTATCTGGAAGTGGACATTTGGAGCGCTTTCAGGCCTATGTTGGAAAAGGAAATATCTTCCCATAACAACTAGACAGAAGCATTCCCAGAAACTTATTTGAGATGTGTGTACTCAACTAAGAGAATTGAACCACCGTTTTGAAGGAGCAGTTTGGAAACACGCTTTTTCTGGAATCTGCAAGTGGATATTTGGCTAGCTTTGGGGATTTCGCTGGAAGCGGGAATACATATAAAAAGCACACAGCAGCGTTCTGAGAAACTACTTTCTGATGTTTGCATTCAAGTCAAAAGTTGAACACTCCCTTTCATAGAGCAGTCTTGAAACACCCCTTTTGTAGTATCTGGAACTGGAAATTTGGAGCGCTTTCAGGGCTAAGGTGAAAAAGGAAATATCTTCCCATAAAAACTGGACAGAAGCATTCTCAGAAACTTGTTTATGCTGTATCTACTCAACTAACAAAGTTGAACCTTTCTTTTGATAGAGCAGTTTTGAAATGCTCTTTTTGTGGAATCTGCAAGTGGATATTTGGCTAGTTTTGAGGATTTCGTTGGAAGCGGGAATTCATACAAATTGCAGACTGCAGCGTTCTGAGAAACATCTTTGTGATGTTTGTATTCAGGACACAGAGTTGAACATTCCCTATCATAGAGCAGGTTGGAATCACTCCTTTTGTAGTATCTGGAAGTGGACATTTGGAGCGCTTTCAGGCCTATGTTGGAAAAGGAAATATCTTCCCATTACAACTAGACAGAAGCATTCTCAGAAACTTATTTGAGATGTGTGTACTCAACTAAGAGAACTGAACCACCGTTTTGAAGGAGCAGTTTTGAAACACTCTTTTTCTGGAATCTGCAATTGGATATTTGGCTAGCTTTGGGGATTTCGCTGGAAGCGGGAATACATATAAAAAGCACACAGCAGCGTTCTGAGAAACTGCTTTCTGATGTTTGCATTCAAGTCAAAAGTTGAACACTCCCTTTCATAGAGCAGTCCTGAAACACTCCTTTTGTAGTATCTGGAACTGGACTTTTGGAGCGCTTTCAGGGCTAAGGTGAAAAAGGAAATATCTTCCCATAAAATCTGGACAGAAGCATTCTCAGAAACTTGTTTATGCTGTATCTACTCTACTAACAATGTTGAACATTTCTTTTGATAGGGCAGTTTTGAAATGCTCTTTTTGTGGAATCTGCAAGTGGATATTTGGCTAGTTTTGAGGATTTCGTTGGAAGCTGGAATTCATGCAAATTGTAGACTGCAGCGTTCTGAGAAACATCTTTGTGATGTTTGTATTCAGGACACAGAGTTGAACATTCCCTATCATAGAGCAGGTTGGAATCACTCCTTTTGTAGTATCTGGAAGTGGACATTTGGAGCGCTTTCAGGCCTATTTTGGAAAGGGAAATATCTTCCCGTAACAACTATGCAGAAGCATTCTCAGAAACTTGTTTGTGATGTGTGCCCTCTACTGACAGAGTTGAACCTTTCTTTTCATAGAGCAGTTTTGAAACACTCTTTTTGTAGAATCTGCAAGAGGATATTTGCATAGCTTTGAGGATTTCGTGGGAAACGGGATTGTCTTCAGGTAAAATCTAGACAGAAGCATTCTCAGAAACTTCTTTGGGATGTTTGCATTCAAGTCACAGAGTAGAACATTCCCTTTGGTAGAGCAGGTTTGAAACACTCTTTTTATAGTATCTGGAAGTGGACATTTGGAGCGCTTTCAGGCCTATGTTGGAAAGGGAAATATCTTCCCGTAACAACTAGGCAGAAGCATTCTCAGAAACTTATTTGAGATGTGTGTACTCAACTAAGAGAATTGAACCACCGTTTTGAAGGAGCAGTTTTGAAACACTCTTTTTCTGGAATCTGCAAGAGTATATTTGCCTAGCCTTGAGGATTTCGTTGGAAACGGGATTGTCTTCAGAGAAAATCTAGACAGAAGCATTCTCAGAAACTTCTTTGGGATGTTTGCATTCAAGTCACAGAGTAGAACATTCCCTTTGGTAGAGCAGGTTTGAAACACTCTTTTTTTAGTATATGGAAGTGGACATTTGGAGCGCTTTCAGGCCTACGTTGGAAAAGGAAATATCTTCCCATAACAACTAGACAGAAGCATTCTCAGAAACTAGTTTCTGATGTGTGTCCTCAACTAACACAGTTGAACATTTCTTTAGACAGAACAGTTTTGAAACACTCTTTTTGTGGAATCTGCAAGTGGCTATTTGGCTAGATTTGAGGATTTCGTTGGAAACGGGATTACATATAAAAAGCAGACAGCAGCATTCTCAGAAACTTCTTTGTGATGATTGCATTCAAGTCACAGGAATTGAACATTCCCTTTCACAGAGCAGGTTTGAAACACTCTTTTTGTAGTGTGTGTAAGTGGACATTTGGAGCGCTTTTCGGCCTAAGGTGTACAAGGAAATATCTTCCCATAAGAACTAGACAGAAGCATTCTCAGAAACTTACTCGTGATGTGTGTCCTCAACTAAAGGAGTAGAACCTTTCTTTTCATAGAGAAGTTTTGAAACGCTCTTTTTGTGGACTCTGCAAGTGGATATTTGGCTAGTTTGGAGGATTTCGTTGGAAGCGGGAATTCATACAAATTGCAGACTGCAGCGTTCTGAGAAACATCTTTGTGATGTTTGTATTCAGGACACAGAGTTGAACATTCCCTATCATAGAGCAGGTTTGAATCACTCCTTTTGTAGTATCTGGAAGTGGACATTTGGAGCGCTTTCAGGCCTATGTTGGAAAAGGAAATATCTTCCCATAACAACTAGACAGAAGCATTCTCAGAAACTTATTTGAGATGTGTGTACTCAACTAAGAGAATTGAACCACCGTTTTGAAGGAGCAGTTTTGAAACACTCTTTTTCTGGAATCTGCAAGTGGATATTTGGCTAGCTTTGGGGATTTCGCTGGAAGCGGGAATACATATAAAAAGCACACAGCAGCGTTCTGAGAAACTGCTTTCTGATGTTTGCATTCAAGTCAAAAGTTGAACACTCCCTTTCATAGAGCAGTCTTGAAACACCCCTTTTGTAGTATCTGGAACTGGACTTTTGGAGCGATTTCAGGGCTAAGGTGAAAAAGGAAATATCTTCCCATAAAAACTGGACAGAAGCATTCTCAGAAACTTGGTTATGCTGTATCTACTCAACTAACAAAGTTGAACCTTTCTTTTGATAGAGCAGTTTTGAAATGGTCTTTTTGTGGAATCTGCAAGTGGATATTTGGCTAGTTTTGAGGATTTCGTTGGAAGCGGGAATTCATACAAATTGCAGACTGCAGCGTTCTGAGAAACATCTTTGTGATGTTTGTATTCAGGACAGAGAGTTGAACATTCCCTATCATAGAGCAGGTTGGAATCACTCCTTTTGTAGTATCTGGAAGTGGACATTTGGAGCACTTTCCGGCCTAAGGTGAAAAAGGAAATATCTTCCCATAAAAACTAGACAGAAGCATTCTCAGAAACTTGTTTGTGATGTGTGCCCTCTACTGACAGAGTTGAACCTTTCTTTTCATAGAGCAGTTTTCAAACACTCTTTTTGTAGAATCTGCAAGAGGATATTTGCATAGCTTTGAGGATTTCGTGGGAAACGGGATTGTCTTCAGGTAAAATCTAGACAGAAGCATTCTCAGAAACTTCTTTGTTATGTTTGCATTCAAGTCAAAGAGTAGAACATTCCCTTTGGTAGAGCAGGTTTGAAACCCTCTTTTTGTAGTATCTGGAAGTGGACATTTGGAGCGCATTCAGGCCCATGTTGGAAAGGGAAATATCTTCCCGTAACAACTAGGCAGAAGCATTCTCAGAAACTTATTTGAGATGTGTGTACTCAACTAAGAGAATTGAACCACCGTTTTGAAGGAGCAGTTTTGAAACACTCTTTTTCTGGAATCTGCAAGAGTATATTTGCCTAGCCTTGAGGATTTCGTTGGAAACGGGATTGTCTTCAGAGAAAATCTAGACAGAAGCATTCTCAGAAACTTCTTTGGGATGTTTGCATTCAAGTCACAGAGTAGAACATTCCCTTTGGTAGAGCAGGTTTGAAACACTCTTTTTTTAGTATATGGAAGTGGACATTTGGAGCGCTTTCAGGCCTACGTTGGAAAAGGAAATATCTTCCCATAACAACTAGACAGAAGCATTCTCAGAAACTAGTTTCTGATGTGTGTCCTCAACTAACACAGTTGAACATTTCTTTAGACAGAGCAGATTTGAAACACTCTCTTTGTGGAATCTGCAAGTGGATATTTGGCTAGATTTGAGGATTTCGTTGGAAACGGGATTACATATAAAAAGCAGACAGCAGCATTCTCAGAAACTTCTTTGTGATGATTGCATTCAAGTCACAGAATTGAACATTCCCTTTCACAGAGCAGGTTTGAAACACTCTTTTTGTAGTGTGTGTAAGTGGACATTTGGAGCACTTTCCGGCCTAAGGTGAAAAAGGAAATATCTTCCCATAAAAACTAGACAGAAGCATTCTCAGAAACTTACTCGTGATGTGTGTCCTCAACTAAAGGAGTAGAACCTTTGTTTTCATAGAGAAGTTTTGAAACGCTCTTTTTGTGGAATCTGCAAGTGGATATTTGGCTAGTTTTGAGGATTTCGTTGGAAGCGGGAATTCATACAAATTGCAGACTGCAGCGTTCTGAGAAACATCTTTGTGATGTTTGTATTCAGGACACAGAGTTGAACATTCCCTATCATAGAGCAGGTTGGAATCACTCCTTTTGTAGTATCTGGAAGTGGACATTTGGAGCGCTTTCAGGCCTATGTTGGAAAAGGAAATATCTTCCCATAACAACTAGACAGAAGCATTCTCAGAAACTTATTTGAGATGTGTGTACTCAACTAAGAGAATTGAACCACCGTTTTGAAGGAGCAGTTTTGAAACACTCTTTTTCTGGAATCTGCAAGTGGATATTTGGCTAGCTTTGGGGATTTCGCTGGAAGCGGGAATACATATAAAAAGCACACAGCAGCGTTCTGAGAAACTGCTTTCTGATGTTTGCATTCAAGTCAAAAGTTGAACACTCCCTTTCATAGAGCAGTCTTGAAACACCCCTTTTGTAGTATCTGGAACTGGACTTTTGGAGCGATTTCAGGGCTAAGGTGAAAAAGGAAATATCTTCCCATAAAAACTGGACAGAAGCATTCTCAGAAACTTGGTTATGCTGTATCTACTCAACTAACAAAGTTGAACCTTTCTTTTGATAGAGCAGTTTTGAAATGGTCTTTTTGTGGAATCTGCAAGTGGATATTTGGCTAGTTTTGAGGATTTCGTTGGAAGCGGGAATTCATACAAATTGCAGACTGCAGCGTTCTGAGAAACATCTTTGTGATGTTTGTATTCAGGACACAGAGTTGAACATTCCCTATCATAGAGCAGGTTGGAATCACTCCTTTTGTAGTATCTGGAAGTGGACATTTGGAGCGCTTTCAGGCCTATTTTGGAAAGGGAAATATCTTCCCGTAACAACTATGCAGAAGCATTCTCAGAAACTTGTTTGTGATGTGTGCCCTCTACTGACAGAGTTGAACCTTTCTTTTCATAGAGCAGTTTTGAAACACTCTTTTTGTAGAATCTGCAAGAGGATATTTGCATAGCTTTGAGGATTTCGTGGGAAACGGGATTGTCTTCAGGTAAAATCTAGACAGAAGCATTCTCAGAAACTTCTTTGGGATGTTTGCATTCAAGTCACAGAGTAGAACATTCCCTTTGGTAGAGCAGGTTTGAAACACTCTTTTTGTAGTATCTGGAAGTGGACATTTGGAGCGCTTTCAGGCCCATGTTGGAAAGGGAAATATCTTCCCGTAACAACTAGGCAGAAGCATTCTCAGAAACTTATTTGAGATGTGTGTACTCAACTAAGAGAATTGAACCACCGTTTTGAAGGAGCAGTTTTGAAACACTCTTTTTCTGGAATCTGCAAGAGTATATTTGCCTAGCCTTGAGGATTTCGTTGGAAACGGGATTGTCTTCAGAGAAAATCTAGACAGAAGCATTCTCAGAAACTTCTTTGGGATGTTTGCATTCAAGTCACAGAGTAGAACATTCCCTTTGGTAGAGCAGGTTTGAAACACTCTTTTTGTAGTATCTGGAAGTGGACATTTGGAGCGCTTTCAGGCCTACGTTGGAAAAGGAAATATCTTCCCATAACAACTAGACAGAAGCATTCTCAGAAACTAGTTTCTGATGTGTGTCCTCAACTAACACAGTTGAACATTTCTTTAGACAGAACAGTTTTGAAACACTCTTTTTGTGGAATCTGCAAGTGGCTATTTGGCTAGATTTGAGGATTTCGTTGGAAACGGGATTACATATAAAAAGCAGTCAGCAGCATTCTCAGAAAGTTCTTTGTGATGATTGCATTCAAGTCACAGAATTGAACATTCCCTTTCACAGAGCAGGTTTG
The DNA here is from genome assembly GCF_000001405.40 of Homo sapiens. Taxonomy (NCBI): domain Eukaryota; kingdom Metazoa; phylum Chordata; class Mammalia; order Primates; family Hominidae; genus Homo; species Homo sapiens. The sequence continues at coordinate 20,477,565 of NC_000018.10, forward strand.
AAACACTCTTTTTGTAGTGTGTGTAAGTGGACATTTGGAGCGCTTTCCGGCCTAAGGTGAAAAAGGACATATCTTACCATAAAAACCAGACAGAAGCATTCTCAGAAACTTACTCGTGATGTGTGTCCTCAACTAAAGGAGTAGAACCTTTCTTTTCATAGAGAAGTTTTGAAACGCTCTTTTTGTGGAATCTGCAAGTGGATATTTGGCTAGTTTTGAGGATTTCGTTGGAAGCGGGAATTCATACAAATTGCAGACTGCAGCGTTCTGAGAAACATCTTTGTGATGTTTGTATTCAGGACACAGAGTTGAACATTCCCTATCATAGAGCAGGTTGGAATCACTCCTTTTGTAGTATCTGGAAGTGGACATTTGGAGCGCTTTCAGGCCTATGTTGGAAAAGGAAATATCTTCCCATAACAACTAGACAGAAGCATTCTCAGAAACTTATTTGAGATGTGTGTACTCAACTAAGAGAATTGAACCACCGTTTTGAAGGAGCAGTTTTGAAACACTCTTTTTCTGGAATCTGCAAGTGGATATTTGGCTAGCTTTGGGGATTTCGCTGGAAGCGGGAATACATATAAAAAGCACACAGCAGCGTTCTGAGAAACTGCTTTCTGATGTTTGCATTCAAGTCAAAAGTTGAACACTCCCTTTCATAGAGCAGTCTTGAAACACCCCTTTTGTAGTATCTGGAACTGGACTTTTGGAGCGATTTCAGGGCTAAGGTGAAAAAGGAAATATCTTCCCATAAAAACTGGACAGAAGCATTCTCAGAAACTTGTTTATGCTGTATCTACTCAACCAGCAAAGTTGAACCTTTCTTTTGATAGAGCAGTTTTGAAATGGTCTTTTTGTGGAATCTGCAAGTGGATATTTGGCTAGTTTTGAGGATTTCGTTGGAAGCGGGAATTCATACAAATTGCAGACTGCAGCGTTCTGAGAAACATCTTTGTGATGTTTGTATTCAGGACACAGAGTTGAACATTCCCTATCATAGAGCAGGTTGGAATCACTCCTTTTGTAGTATCTGGAAGTGGACATTTGGAGCGCTTTCAGGCCTATTTTGGAAAGGGAAATATCTTCCCGTAACAACTATGCAGAAGCATTCTCAGAAACTTGTTTGTGATGTGTGCCCTCTACTGACAGAGTTGGAACCTTTCTTTTCATAGAGCAGTTTTGAAACACTCTTTTTGTAGAATCTGCAAGAGGATATTTGCATAGCTTTGAGGATTTCGTGGGAAACGGGATTGTCTTCAGGTAAAATCTAGACAGAAGCATTCTCAGAAACTTCTTTGGGATGTTTGCATTCAAGTCACAGAGTAGAACATTCCCTTTGGTAGAGCAGGTTTGAAACACTCTTTTTGTAGTATCTGGAAGTGGACATTTGGAGCGCTTTCAGGCCCATGTTGGAAAGGGAAATATCTTCCCGTAACAACTAGGCAGAAGCATTCTCAGAAACTTATTTGAGATGTGTGTACTCAACTAAGAGAATTGAACCACCGTTTTGAAGGAGCAGTTTTGAAACACTCTTTTTCTGGAATCTGCAAGAGGATATTTGCCTAGCCTTGAGGATTTCGTTGGAAACGGGATTGTCTTCAGATCAAATCTAGACAGAAGCATTCTCAGAAACTTCTTTGGGATGTTTGCATTCAAGTCACAGAGTAGAACATTCCCTTTGGTAGAGCAGGTTTGAAACACTCTTTTTTTAGTATATGGAAGTGGACATTTGGAGCGCTTTCAGGCCTACGTTGGAAAAGGAAATATCTTCCCATAACAACTAGACAGAAGCATTCTCAGAAACTAGTTTCTGATGTGTGTCCTCAACTAACACAGTTGAACATTTCTTTAGACAGAACAGTTTTGAAACTCTCTTTTTGTGGAATCTGCAAGTGGCTATTTGGCTAGATTTGAGGATTTCGTTGGAAACGGGATTACATATAAAAAGCAGACAGCAGCATTCTCAGAAAGTTCTTTGTGATGATTGCATTCAAGTCACAGAATTGAACATTCCCTTTCACAGAGCAGGTTTGAAACACTCTTTTTGTAGTGTGTGTAAGTGGACATTTGGAGCGCTTTCCGGCCTAAGGTGAAAAAGGACATATCTTCCCATAAAAACTAGACAGAAGCATTCTCAGAAACTGGTTTATGCCGTATCTACTCAACTAACAAAGTTGAACCTTTCTTTTGATAGAGCAGTTTTGAAATGCTCTTTTTGTGGAATCTGCAAGTGGATATTTGGCTAGGTTTGAGGATTTCGTTGGAAGCGGGAATTCATACAAATTGCAGACTGCACCGTTCTCAGAAAAATCTTTGTGATGTCTGTATTCAGGACACAGAGTTGAACATTCCCTATCATAGAGCAGGTTGGAATCACTCCTTTTGTAGTATCTGGAAGTGGACATTTGGAGCGCTTTCAGGCCTATGTTGAAAAAGGAAATATCTTCCCATAACAACTAGGCAGAAGCATTCTCAGAAACTTATTTGAGATGTGTGTACTCAACTAAGAGAATTGAACCACCGTTTTGAAGGAGCAGTTTTGAAACTCTCTTTTTCTGGAATCTGCAAGTGGATATTTGGCTAGCTTTGGGGATTTCGCTGGAAGCGGGAATACATATAAAAAGCACACAGCAGCGTTCTGAGAAACTGCTTTCTGATGTTTGCATTCAAGTCAAAAGTTGAACACTCCCTTTCATAGAGCAGTCTTGAAACACCCCTTTTGTAGTATCTGGAACTGGACTTTTGGAGCGATTTCAGGGCTAAGGTGAAAAAGGAAATATCTTCCCATAAAAACTGGACAGAAGCATTCTCAGAAACTTGTTTATGCTGTATCTACTCAACTAACAAAGTTGAACCTTTCTTTTGATAGAGCAGTTTTGAAATGGTCTTTTTGTGGAATCTGCAAGTGGATATTTGGCTAGTTTTGAGGATTTCGTTGGAAGCGGGAATTCATACAAATTGCAGACTGCAGCGTTCTGAGAAACATCTTTGTAATGTTTGTATTCAGGACACAGAGTTGAACATTCCCTATCATAGAGCAGGTTGGAATCACTCCTTTTGTAGTATCTAGAAGTGGACATTTGGAGCGCTTTCAGGCCTATGTTGAAAAAGGAAATATCTTCCCATAACAACTAGACACAAGCATTCTCAGAAACTTGTTTGTGATGTGTGCCCTCTACTGACAGAGTTGAACCTTTCTTTTCATAGAGCAGTTTTGAAACACTCTTTTTGTAGAATCTGCAAGAGGATATTTGCATTGCTTTGAGGATTTCGTGGGTAACGGGATTGTCTTCAGGTAAAATCTAGACAGAAGCATTCTCAGAAACTTCTTTGGGATGTTTGCATTCAAGTCACAGAGTAGAACATTCCCTTTGGTAGAGCAGGTTTGAAACACTCTTTTTGTAGTATCTGGAAGTGGACATTTGGAGCGCTTTCAGGCCTATGTTGGAAAGGGAAATATCTTCCCGTAACAACTAGGCAGAAGCATTCTCAGAAACTTATTTGAGATGTGTGTACTCAACTAAGAGAATTGAACCACCGTTTTGAAGGAGCAGTTTGGAAACACTCTTTTTCTGGAATCTGCAAGAGGATATTTGCCTAGCTTTGAGGATTTCGTTGGAAAAGGGATTGTCTTCAGATCAAATCTAGACAGAAGCATTCTCAGAAACTTCTTTGGGATGTTTGCATTCAAGTCACAGAGTAGAACATTCCCTTTGGTAGAGCAGGTTTGAAACACTCTTTTTGTAGTGTGTGTAAGTGGACATTTGGAGCGCTTTCTGGCCTACGTTGGAAAAGGAAATATCTTCCCATAACAACTAGACAGAAGCATTCTCAGAAACTAGTTTCTGATGTGTGTCCTCAACTAACACAGTTGAACTTTTCTTTAGACAGAACAGTTTTGGAACACTCTTTTTGTGGAATCTGCAAGTGGATAGTTGGCTAGATTTGAGGATTTCGTTGGAAACGGGATTACATATAAAAAGCAGTCAGGCAGCATTCTCAGAAAGTTCTTTGTGATGATTGCATTCAAGTCACAGAATTGAACATTCCCTTTCACAGAGCAGGTTTGAAACACTCTTTTTGTAGTGTGTGTAAGTGGACATTTGGAGCGCTTTCCGGCCTAAGGTGAAAAAGGAAATATCTTCCCATAAAAACTAGACAGAAGCATTCTCAGAAACTTACTCGTGATGTGTGTCCTCAACTAAAGGAGTAGAACCTTTCTATTCGTAGAGAAGTTTTGAAATGCTCTTTTTGTGGAATCTCCAAGTGGATATTTGGCTAGTTTTGAGGATTTCGTTGGAAGCGGGAATTCATACAAATTGCAGACTGCAGCGTTCTGAGAAACATCTTTGTGATGTTTGTATTCAGGACACAGAGTTGAACATTCCCTATCATAGAGCAGGTTTGAATCACTCCTTTTGTAGTATCTGGAAGTGGACATTTGGAGCGCTTTCAGGCCCTATGTTGGAAAAGGAAATATCTTCCCATAACAAATAGACAGGAAGCATTCTCAGAAACTTATTTGAGATGTGTGTACTCAACTAAGAGAATTGAACCACCGTTTTGAAGGAGCAGTTTTGAAACTCTCTTTTTCTGGAATCTGCAAGTGGATATTTGGCTAGCTTTGGGGATTTCGCTGGAAGCGGGAATACATATAAAAAGCACACAGCAGCGTTCTGAGAAACTGCTTTCTGATGTTTGCATTCAAGTCAAAAGTTGAACACTCCCTTTCATAGAGCAGTCTTGAAACACCCCTTTTGTAGTATCTGGAACTGGACATTTGGAGCGCTTTCAGGGCTAAGGTGAAAAAGGAAATATCTTCCCATAAAAACTGGACAGAAGCATTCTCAGAAACTTGGTTATGCTGTATCTACTCAACTAACAAAGTTGAACCTTTCTTTTGATAGAGCAGTTTTGAAATGGTCTTTTTGTGGAATCTGCAAGTGGATATTTGGCTAGTTTTGAGGATTTCGTTGGAAGCGGGAATTCATACAAATTGCAGACTGCAGCGTTCTGAGAAACATCTTTGTGATGTTTGTATTCAGGACACAGAGTTGAACATTCCCTATCATAGAGCAGGTTGGAATCACTCCTTTTGTAGTATCTGGAAGTGGACATTTGGAGCGCTTTCAGGCCTATTTTGGAAAGGGAAATATCTTCCCGTAACAACTATGCAGAAGCATTCTCAGAAACTTGTTTGTGATGTGTGCCCTCTACTGACAGAGTTGAACCTTTCTTTTCATAGAGCAGTTTTGAAACACTCTTTTTGTAGAATCTGCAAGAGGATATTTGCATAGCTTTGAGGATTTCGTGGGAAACGGGATTGTCTTCAGGTAAAATCTAGACAGAAGCATTCTCAGAAACTTCTTTGGGATGTTTGCATTCAAGTCACAGAGTAGAACATTCCCTTTGGTAGAGCAGGTTTGAAACACTCTTTTTGTAGTATCTGGAAGTGGACATTTGGAGCGCTTTCAGGCCCATGTTGGAAAGGGAAATATCTTCCCGTAACAACTAGGCAGAAGCATTCTCAGAAACTTATTTGAGATGTGTGTACTCAACTAAGAGAATTGAACCACCGTTTTGAAGGAGCAGTTTTGAAACACTCTTTTTCTGGAATCTGCAAGAGGATATTTGCATAGATTTGAGGATTTCGTTGGAAACGGGATTGTCTTCAGATCCAATCTAGACAGAAGCATTCTCAGAAACTTCTTTGGGATGTTTGCATTCATGTCACAGAGTAGAACATTCCCTTTGGTAGAGCAGGTTTGAAACACTCTTTTTTTAGTATATGGAAGTGGACATTTGGAGCGCTTTCAGGCCTACGTTGGAAAAGGAAATATCTTCCCATAACAACTAGACAGAAGCATTCTCAGAAACTAGTTTCTGATGTGTGTCCTCAACTAACACAGTTGTACATTTCTTTAGACAGAACAGTTTTGAAACACTCTTTTTGTGGAATCTGCAAGTGGCTATTTGGCTAGATTTGAGGATTTCGTTGGAAACGGGATTACATATAAAAAGCAGACAGCAGCATTCTCAGAAAGTTCTTTGTGATGATTGCATTCAAGTCACAGAATTGAACATTCCCTTTCACAGAGCAGGTTTGAAACACTCTTTTTGTAGTGTGTGTAAGTGGACATTTGGAGCGCTTTCCGGCCTAAGGTGAAAAAGGAAATATCTTCCCATAAAAACTAGACAGAAGCATTCTCAGAAACTTACTCGTGATGTGTGTCCTCAACTAAAGGAGTAGAACCTTTCTTTTCATAGAGAAGTTTTGAAACGCTCTTTTTGTGGAATCTGCAAGTGGATATTTGGCTAGTTTTGAGGATTTCGTTGGAAGCGGGAATTCATACAAATTGCAGACTGCAGCGTTCTGAGAAACATCTTTGTGATGTTTGTATTCAGGACACAGAGTTGAACATTCCCTATCATAGAGCAGGTTTGAATCACTCCTTTTGTAGTATCTGGAAGTGGACATTTGGAGTGCTTTCAGGCCTATGTTGGAAAAGGAAATATCTTCCCATAACAACTAGACAGAAGCATTCTCAGAAACTTATTTGAGATGTGTGTACTCAACTAAGAGAATTGAACCACCGTTTTGAAGGAGCAGTTTTGAAACACTCTTTTTCTGGAATCTGCAAGTGGATATTTGGCTAGCTTTGGGGATTTCGCTGGAAGCGGGAATACATATAAAAAGCACACAGCAGCGTTCTGAGAAACTGCTTTCTGATGTTTGCATTCAAGTCAAAAGTTGAACACTCCCTTTCATAGAGCAGTCTTGAAACACCCCTTTTGTAGTATCTGGAACTGGACTTTTGGAGCGATTTCAGGGCTAAGGTGAAAAAGGAAATATCTTCCCATAAAAACTGGACAGAAGCATTCTCAGAAACTTGTTTATGCTGTATCTACTCAACTAACAAAGTTGAACCTTTCTTTTGATAGAGCAGTTTTGAAATGCTCTTTTTGTGGAATCTGCAAGTGGATATTTGGCTAGTTTTGAGGATTTCGCTGGAAGCGGGAATTCATACAAATTGCAGACTGCAGCGTTCTGAGAAACATCTTTGTGATGTTTGTATTCAGGACACAGAGTTGAACATTCCCTATCATAGAGCAGGTTGGAATCACTCCTTTTGTAGTATCTGGAAGTGGACATTTGGAGCGCTTTCAGGCCTATTTTGGAAAGGGAAATATCTTCCCGTAACAACTATGCAGAAGCATTCTCAGAAACTTGTTTGTGATGTGTGCCCTCTACTGACAGAGTTGAACCTTTCTTTTCATAGAGCAGTTTTGAAACACTCTTTTTGTAGAATCTGCAAGAGGATATTTGCATAGCTTTGAGGATTTCGTGGGAAACGGGATTGTCTTCAGGTAAAATCTAGACAGAAGCATTCTCAGAAACTTCTTTGGGATGTTTGCATTCAAGTCACAGAGTAGAACATTCCCTTTGGTAGAGCAGGTTTGAAACACTCTTTTTGTAGTATCTGGAAGTGGACATTTGCAGCACTTTCAGGCCCATGTTGGAAAGGGAAATATCTTCCCGTAACAACTAGGCAGAAGCATTCTCAGAAACTTATTTGAGATGTGTGGACTCAACTAAGAGAATTGAACCACCGTTTTGAAGGAGCAGTTTTGAAACACTCTTTTTCTGGAATCTGCTAGACGATATTTGCCTAGCCTTGAGGATTTCGTTGGAAACGGGATTGTCTTCAGATAAAATCTAGACAGAAGCATTCTCAGAAACTTCTTTGGGATGTTTGTATTCAAGTCACAGAGTAGAACATTCCCTTTGATAGAGCAGGTTTGAAACACTCTTTTTTTAGTATATGGAAATGGACATTTGGAGCGCTTTCAGGCCTACGTTGGAAAAGGAAATATCTTCCCATAACAACTAGACAGAAGCATTCTCAGAAACTAGTTTCTGATGTGTGTCCTCAACTAACACAAGTTGAACTTTTCTTTAGACAGAACAGTTTTGAAACACTCTTTTTGTGGAATCTGCAAGTGGATATTTGGCTAGATTTGAGGATTTCGTTGGAAACGGGATTACATATAAAAAGCAGACAGCAGCATTCTCAGAAAGTTCTTTGTGATGATTGCATTCAAGTCACAGAATTGAACATTCCCTTTCACAGAGCAGGTTTGAAACACTCTTTTTGTAGTGTGTGTAAGTGGACATTTGGAGCACTTACCGGCCTAAGGTGAAAAAGGAAATATCTTCCCATAAAAACTAGACAGATAAGCATTCTCAGAAACTTACTCGTGATGTGTGTCCTCAACTAAAGGAGTAGAACCTTTCTTTTCATAGAGAAGTTTTGAAACGCTCTTTTTGTGGAATCTGCAAGTGGATATTTGGCTAGTTTTGAGGATTTCGTTGGAAGCGGGAATTCATACAAATTGCAGACTGCAGCATTCTCAGAAACTTGTTTATGCTGTATCTACTCAACTAACAAAGTTGAACCTTTCTTTTGATAGAGCAGTTTTGAAATGCTCTTTTTGTGGAATCTGCAAGTGGATATTTGGCTAGTTTTGAGGATTTCGCTGGAAGCGGGAATTCATACAAATTGCAGACTGCAGCATTCTCAGAAACTTATTTGAGATGTGTGTACTCAACTAAGAGAATTGAACCACCGTTTTGAAGGAGCAGTTTTGAAACACTCTTTTTCTGGAATCTGCAAGTGGATATTTGGCTAGCTTTGGGGATTTCGCTGGAAGCGGGAATACATATAAAAAGCACACAGCAGCGTTCTGAGAAACTGCTTTCTGATGTTTGCATTCAAGTCAAAAGTTGAACACTCCCTTTCATAGAGCAGTCCTGAAACACTCCTTTTGTAGTATCTGGAACTGGACTTTTGGAGCGCTTTCAGGGCTAAGGTGAAAAAGGAAATATCTTCCCATAAAAACTGGACAGAAGCATTCTCAGAAACTTGGTTATGCTGTATCTACTCAACTAACAAAGTTGAACCTTTCTTTTGATAGAGCAGTTTTGAAATGGTCTTTTTGTGGAATCTGCAAGTGGATATTTGGCTAGTTTTGAGGATTTCGTTGGAAGCGGGAATTCATACAAATTGCAGACTGCAGCGTTCTGAGAAACATCTTTGTGATGTTTGTATTCAGGACAGAGAGTTGAACATTCCCTATCATAGAGCAGGTTGGAATCACTCCTTTTGTAGTATCTGGAAGTGGACATTTGGAGCGCTTTCAGGCCTATGTTGAAAAAGGAAATATCTTCCCATAACAACTAGACACAAGCATTCTCAGAAACTTGTTTGTGATGTGTGCCCTCTACTGACAGAGTTGAACCTTTCTTTTCATAGAGCAGTTTTGAAACACTCTTTTTGTAGAATCTGCAAGAGGATATTTGCATAGCTTTGAGGATTTCGTGGGAAACGGGATTGTCTTCAGGTAAAATCTAGACAGAAGCATTCTCAGAAACTTCTTTGGGATGTTTGCATTCAAGTCACAGAGTAGAACATTCCCTTTGGTAGAGCAGGTTTGAAACACTCTTTTTGTAGTATCTGGAAGTGGACATTTGGAGCGCTTTCAGGCCTATGTTGGAAAGGGAAATATCTTCCCGTAACAACTAGGCAGAAGCATTCTCAGAAACTTATTTGAGATGTGTGTACTCAACTAAGAGAATTGAACCACCGTTTTGAAGGAGCAGTTTTGAAACACTCTTTTTCTGGAATCTGCAAGAGTATATTTGCCTAGCCTTGAGGATTTCGTTGGAAACGGGATTGTATTCAGATAAAATCTAGACAGAAGCATTCTCAGAAACTTCTTTGGGATGTTTGCATTCAAGTCACAGAGTAGAACATTCCCTTTGGTAGAGCAGGTTTGAAACACTCTTTTTTTAGTATATGGAAGTGGACATTTTGATCGCTTTCAGGCCTACGTTGGAAAAGGAAATATCTTCCCATAACAACTAGACAGAAGCATTCTCAGAAACTAGTTTCTGATGTGTGTCCTCAACTAACACAGTTGAACATTTCTATAGACAGAACAGTTTTGAAACACTCTTTTTGTGGAATCTGCAAGTGGCTATTTGGCTAGATTTGAGGATTTCGTTGGAAACGGGATTACATATAAAAAGCAGTCAGCAGCATTCTCAGAAAGTTCTTTGTGATGATTGCATTCAAGTCACAGAATTGAACATTCCCTTTCACAGAGCAGGTTTGAAACACTCTTTTTGTAGTGTGTGTAAGTGGACATTTGGAGCACTTTCCGGCCTAAGGTGAAAAAGGAAATATCTTCCCATAAAAACTAGACAGAAGCATTCTCAGAAACTTACTCGTGATGTGTGTCCTCAACTAAAGGAGTAGAACCTTTCTTTTCATAGAGAAGTTTTGAAACGCTCTTTTTGTGGAATCTGCAAGTGGATATTTGGCTAGTTTTGAGGATTTCGTTGGAAGCGGGAATTCATACAAATTGCAGACTGCAGCGTTCTGAGAAACATCTTTGTGATGTTTGTATTCAGGACACAGAGTTGAACATTCCCTATCATAGAGCAGGTTGGAATCACTCCTTTTGTAGTATCTGGAAGTGGACATTTGGAGCGCTTTCAGGCCTATGTTGGAAAAGGAAATATCTTCCCATAACAACTAGACAGAAGCATTCTCAGAAACTTATTTGAGATGTGTGTACTCAACTAAGAGAATTGAACCACCGTTTTGAAGGAGCAGTTTTGAAACACTCTTTTTCTGGAATCTGCAAGTGGATATTTGGCTAGCTTTGGGGATTTCGCTGGAAGCGGGAATACATATAAAAAGCACACAGCAGCGTTCTGAGAAACTGCTTTCTGATGTTTGCATTCAAGTCAAAAGTTGAACACTCCCTTTCATAGAGCAGTCTTGAAACACCCCTTTTGTAGTATCTGGAACTGGACATTTGGAGCGCTTTCAGGGCTAAGGTGAAAAAGGAAATATCTTCCCATAAAAACTGGACAGAAGCATTCTCAGAAACTTGTTTATGCTGTATCTACTCAACTAACAAAGTTGAACCTTTCTTTTGATAGAGCAGTTTTGAAATGGTCTTTTTGTGGAATCTGCAAGTGGATATTTGGCTAGTTTTGAGGATTTCGTTGGAAGCGGGAATTCATACAAATTGCAGACTGCAGCGTTCTGAGAAACATCTTTGTGATGTTTGTATTCAGGACAGAGAGTTGAACATTCCCTATCATAGAGCAGGTTGGAATCACTCCTTTTGTAGTATCTGGAAGTGGACATTTGGAGCGCTTTCAGGCCTATGTTGAAAAAGGAAATATCTTCCCATAACAACTAGACACAAGCATTCTCAGAAACTTGTTTGTGATGTGTGCCTTCTACTAACACAGTTGAACCTTTCTTTTCATAGAGCAGTTTCGAAACACTCTTTTTGTAGAATCTGCAAGAGGATATTTGCATAGATTTGAGGATTTCTTGGGAAACGGGATTGTCTTCAGGTAAAATCTAGACAGAAGCATTCTCAGAAACTTCTTTGGGATGTTTGCATTCAAGTCACAGAGTAGAACATTCCCTTTGGTAGAGCAGGTTTGAAACACTCTTTTTGTAGTGTGTGTAAGTGGACATTTGGAGCGCTTTCAGGCCTACGTTGGAAAAGGAAATATCTTCCCATAACAACTAGACAGAAGCATTCTCAGAAACTAGTTTCTGATGTGTGTCCTCAACTAACACAGTTGAACATTTCTTTAGACAGAACAGTTTTGAAACACTCTTTTTGTGGAATCTGCAAGTGGATATTTGGCTAGATTTGAGGATTTCGTTGGAAACGGGATTACATATAAAAAGCAGACAGCAGCATTCTCAGAAAGTTCTTTGTGATGATTGCATTCAAGTCACAGAATTGAACATTCCCTTTCACAGAGCAGGTTTGAAACACTCTTTTTGTAGTGTGTGTAAGTGGACATTTGGAGCACTTTCCGGCCTAAGGTGAAAAAGGAAATATCTTCCCATAAAAACTAGACAGAAGCATTCTCAGAAACTTACTCGTGATGTGTGTCCTCAACTAAAGGAGTAGAACCTTTCTATTCATAGAGAAGTTTTGAAACGCTCTTTTTGTGGAATCTCCAAGTGGATATTTGGCTAGTTTTGAGGATTTCGTTGGAAGCGGGAATTCATACAAATTGCAGACTGCAGCGTTCTGAGAAACTGCTTTCTGATGTTTGCATTCAAGTCAAAAGTTGAACACTCCCTTTCATAGAGCAGTCCTGAAACACCCCTTTTGTAGTATCTGGAACTGGACTTTTGGAGCGATTTCAGGGCTAAGGTGAAAAAGGAAATATCTTCCCATAAAAACTGGACAGAAGCATTCTCAGAAACTTGTTTATGATGTATCTACTCAACTAACAAAGTTGAACCTTTCTTTTGATAGAGCAGTTTTGAAATGCTCTTTTTGTGGAATCTGCAAGTGGATATTTGGCTAGTTTTGAGGATTTCGTTGGAAGCGGGAATTCATACAAATTGCAGACTGCAGCGTTCTGAGAAACATCTTTGTGATGTTTGTATTCAGGACAGAGAGTTGAACATTCCCTATCATAGAGCAGGTTGGAATCACTCCTTTTGTAGTATCTGGAAGTGGACATTTGGAGCGCTTTCAGGCCTATGTTGAAAAAGGAGATATCTTCCCATAACAACTAGACACAAGCATTCTCAGAAACTTGTTGGTGATGTGTTTCCTCTACTGACAGAGTTGAACCTTTCTTTTCATAGAGCAGTTTCGAAACACTCTTTTTGTAGAATCTGCAAGAGGATATTTGCATAGCTCTGAGGATTTCGTGGGAAACGGGATTGTCTTCAGGTAAAATCTAGACAGAAGCATTCTCAGAAACTTCTTTGGGATGTTTGCATTCAAGTCACAGAGTAGAACATTCCCTTTGGTAGAGCAGGTTTGAAACACTCTTTTTGTAGTATCTGGAAGTGGACATTTGGAGCGCTTTCGGGCCCATGATGGAAAGGGAAATATCTTCCCGTAACAACTAGGCAGAAGCATTCTCAGAAACTTATTTGAGATGTGTGTACTCAACTAAGAGAATTGAACCACCGTTTTGAAGGAGCAGTTTTGAAACACTCTTTTTCTGGAATCTGCAAGAGTATATCTTCCTAGCTTTGTGGATTTCGTTGGAAACGGGATTGTCTTCAGATAAAATCTAGACAGAAGCATTCTCAGAAACTTCTTTGGGATGTTTGTATTCAAGTCACAGAAGTAGAACATTCCCTTTGATAGAGCAGGTTTGAAACACTCTTTTTTTAGTATATGGAAATGGACATTTGGAGCGCTTTCAGGCCTACGTTGGAAAAGGAAATATCTTCCCGTAACAACTAGACAGAAGCATTCTCAGAAACTAGTTTCTGATGTGTGTCCTCAACTAACACAGTTGAACTTTTCTTTAGACAGAACAGTTTTGAAACACTCTTTTTGTGGAATCTGCAAGTGGATATTTGGCTAGATTTGAGGATTTCGTTGGAAACGGGATTACATATAAAAAGCAGACAGCAGCATTCTCAGAAAGTTCTTTGTGATGATTGCATTCAAGTCACAGAATTGAACATTGCCTTTCACAGAGCAGGTTTGAAACACTCTTTTTGTAGTGTGTGTAAGTGGACATTTGGAGCGCTTTCCGGCCTAAGGTGAAAAAGGAAATATCTTCCCATAAAAACTAGACAGAAGCATTCTCAGAAACTTACTCGTGATGTGTGTCCTCAACTAAAGGAGTAGAACCTTTCTTTTCATAGAGAAGTTTTGAAACGCTCTTTTTGTGGAATCTGCAAGTGGATATTTGGCTAGTTTTGAGGATTTCGTTGGAAGCGGGAATTCATACAAATTGCAGACTGCAGCGTTCTGAGAAACATATTTGTGATGTTTGTATTCAGGACAGAGAGTTGAACATTCCCTATCATAGAGCAGGTTGGAATCACTCCTTTTGTAGTATCTGGAAGTGGACATTTGGAGCGCTTTCAGGCCTATGTTGAAAAAGGAAATATCTTCCCATAACAACTAGACACAAGCATTCTCAGAAACTTATTTGAGATGTGTGTACTCAACTAAGAGAATTGAACCACCGTTTTGAAGGAGCAGTTTTGAAACTCTCTTTTTCTGGAATCTGCAAGTGGATATTTGGCTAGCTTTGGGGATTTCGCTGGAAGCGGGAATACATATAAAAAGCACACAGCCAGCGTTCTGAGCAAACTGCTTTCTGATGTTTGCATTCAAGTCAAAAGTTGAACACTCCCTTTCATAGAGCAGTCTTGAAACACCCCTTTTGTAGTATCTGGAACTGGACTTTTGGAGCGATTTCAGGGCTAAGGTGAAAAAGGAAATATCTTCCCATAAAAACTGGACAGAAGCATTCTCAGAAACTTGTTTATGCTGTATCTACTCAACTAACAAAGTTGAACCTTTCTTTTGATAGAGCAGTTTTGAAATGGTCTTTTTGTGGAATCTGCAAGTGGATATTTGGCTAGTTTTGAGGATTTCGTTGGAAGCGGGAATTCATACAAATTGCAGACTGCAGCGTTCTGAGCAAACATCTTTGTGATGTTTGTATTCAGGACACAGAGTTGAACATTCCCTATCATAGAGCAGGTTGGGATCACTCCTTTTGTAGTATCTGGAAGTGGACATTTGGAGCGCTTTCAGGCCTATGTTGAAAAAGGAAAAATCTTCCCATAACAACTAGACAGAAGCATTCTCAGAAACTTGTTGGTGATGTGTTTCCTCTACTGACAGAGTTGAACCTTTCTTTTCATACAGCAGTTTCGAAACACTCTTTTTGTAGAATCTGCAAGAGGATATTTGCATAGCTCTGAGGATTTCGTGGGAAACGGGATTGTCTTCAGGTAAAATCTAGACAGAAGCATTCTCAGAAACTTCTTCGGGATGTTTGCATTCAAGTCACAGAGTAGAACATTCCCTTTGGTAGAGCAGGTTTGAAACACTCTTTTTGTCGTATCTGGAAGTGGACATTTGTTGCGCTTTCAGGCCTATGTTGGAAAGGGAAATATCTTCCCGTAACAACTAGGCAGAAGCATTCTCAGAAACTTATTTGAGATGTGTGTACTCAACTAAGAGAATTGAACCACCGTTTTGAAGGAGCAGTTTTGAAACACTCTTTTTCTGGAATCTGCAAGAGTATATTTGCCTAGCCTTGAGGATTTCGTTGGAAACGGGATTGTCTTCAGATCAAATCTAGACAGAAGCATTCTCAGAAACTTCTTTGGGATGTTTGCATTTAAGTCACAGAGTAGAACATTCCCTTTGGTAGAGCAGGTTTGAAACAATCTTTTTTTAGTATATGGAAGTGGACATTTGGAGCGCTTTCAGGCCTACGTTGGAAAAGGAAATATCTTCCCATAACAACTAGACAGAAGCATTCTCAGAAACTAGTTTCTGATGTGTGTCCTCAACTAACACAGTTGAACATTTCTTTAGACAGAACAGTTTTGAAACACTCTTTTTGTGGAATCTGCAAGTGGCTATTTGGCTAGATTTGAGGATTTCGTTGGAAACGGGATTACATATAAAAAGCAGTCAGCAGCATTCTCAGAAAGTTCTTTGTGATGATTGCATTCAAGTCACAGAATTGAACATTCCCTTTCACAGAGCAGGTTTGAAACACTCTTTTTGTAGTGTGTGTAAGTGGACATTTGGAGCACTTACCGGCCTAAGGTGAAAAAGGAAATATCTTCCCATAAAAACTAGACAGAAGCATTCTCAGAAACTTACTCGTGATGTGTGTCCTCAACTAAAGGAGTAGAACATTTCTATTCATAGAGAAGTTTTGAAACGCTCTTTTTGTGGAATCTCCAAGTGGATATTTGGCTAGTTTTGAGGATTTCGTTGGAAGCGGGAATTCATACAAATTGCAGACTGCAGCGTTCTGAGAAACATCTTTGAAATGTTTGTATTCAAGACACAGAGATGAACATTCCCTATCATAGAGCAGGTTGGAATCACTCCTTTTGTAGTATCTGGAAGTGGACATTTGGAGCGCTTTCAGGCCTATGTTGAAAAAGGAAATATCTTCCCATAACAACTAGACACAAGCATTCTGAGAAACTTGTTTGTGATGTGTGCCCTCTACTGACAGAGTTGAACCTTTCTTTTCATAGAGCAGTTTTGAAACACTCTTTTTGTAGAATCTGCAAGAAGATATTTGCATAGATTTGAGGATTTCGTGGGAAACGGGATTGTCTTCAGGTAAAATCTAGACAGAAGCGTTCTGAGAAACTGCTTTCTGATGTTTGCATTCAAGTCAAAAGTTGAACACTCCCTTTCATAGAGCAGTCCTGAAACACTCCTTTTGTAGTATCTGGAACTGGACTTTTGGAGCGCTTTCAGGGCTAAGGTGAAAAAGGAAATATCTTCCCATAAAAACTGGACAGAAGCATTCTCAGAAACTTGTTTATGCTGTATCTACTCAACTAACAAAGTTGAACCTTTCTTTTGATAGAGCAGTTTTGAAATGGTCTTTTTGTGGAATCTGCAAGTGGATATTTGGCTAGTTTTGAGGATTTCGTTGGAAGCGGGAATTCATACAAATTGCAGACTGCAGCGTTCTGAGAAACATCTTTGTGATGTTTGTATTCAGGACACAGAGTTGAACATTCCCTATCATAGAGCAGGTTTGAATCACTCCTTTTGTAGTATCTGGAAGTGGACATTTGGAGCGCTTTCAGGCCTATGTTGGAAAAGGAAATATCTTCCCATAACAACTAGACAGAAGCATTCTCAGAAACTTATTTGAGATGTGTGTACTCAACTAAGAGAATTGAACCACCGTTTTGAAGGAGCAGTTTTGAAACACTCTTTTTCTGGAATCTGCAAGTGGATATTTGGCTAGCTTTGGGGATTTCGCTGGAAGCGGGAATACATATAAAAAGCACACAGCAGCATTCTCAGAAACTTATTTGAGATGTGTGTACTCAACTAAGAGAATTGAACCACCGTTTTGAAGGAGCAGTTTTGAAACACTCTTTTTCTGGAATCTGCAAGTGGATATTTGGCTAGCTTTGGGGATTTCGCTGGAAGCGGGAATACATATAAAAAGCACACAGCAGCGTTCTGAGAAACTGCTTTCTGATGTTTGCATTCAAGTCAAAAGTTGAACACTCCCTTTCATAGAGCAGTCCTGAAACACTCCTTTTGTAGTATCTGGAACTGGACTTTTGGAGCGCTTTCAGGGCTAAGGTGAAAAAGGAAATATCTTCCCATAAAAACTGGACAGAAGCATTCTCAGAAACTTGTTTATGCTGTATCTACTCAACTAACAAAGTTGAACCTTTCTTTTGATAGAGCAGTTTTGAAATGGTCTTTTTGTGGAATCTGCAAGTGGATATTTGGCTAGTTTTGAGGATTTCGTTGGAAGCGGGAATTCATACAAATTGCAGACTGCAGCGTTCTGAGAAACATCTTTGTGATGTTTGTACTCAGGACACAGAGTTGAACATTCCCTATCATAGAGCAGGTTGGGATCACTCCTTTTGTAGTATCTGGAAGTGGACATTTGGAGCGCTTTCAGGCCTATGTTGAAAAAGGAAAAATCTTCCCATAACAACTAGACAGAAGCATTCTCAGAAACTTGTTTGTGATGTGTGCCCTCTACTGACAGAGTTGAACCTTTCTTTTCATAGAGCAGTTTTGAAACACTCTTTTTGTAGAATCTGCAAGAGGATTTTTGCATAGCTTTGAGGATTTCGTGGGAAACGGGATTGTCTTCAGGTAAAATCTAGACAGAAGCATTCTCAGAAACTTCTTTGGGATGTTTGCATTCAAGTCACAGAGTAGAACATTCCCTTTGGTAGAGCAGGTTTGAAACACTCTTTTTGTAGTATCTGGAAGTGGACATTTGGAGCGCTTTCAGGCCCATGTTGGAAAGGGAAATATCTTCCCGTAACAACTAGGCAGAAGCATTCTCAGAAACTTATTTGAGATGTGTGTACTCAACTAAGAGAATTGAACCACCGGTTTGAAGGAGCAGTTTTGAAACACTCTTTTTCTGCAATCTGCAAGAGGATATTTGCCTAGCCTTGAGGATTTCGTTGGAAACGGGATTGTCTTCAGATCAAATCTAGACAGAAGCATTCTCAGAAACTTCTTTGGGATGTTTGCATTCAAGTCACAGAGTAGAACATTCCCTTTGGTAGAGCAGGTTTGAAACACTCTTTTTTTAGTATATGGAAGTGGACATTTGGAGCACTTTCAGGCCTACGTTGGAAAAGGAAATATCTTCCCATAACAACTAGACAGAAGCATTCTCAGAAACTAGTTTCTGATGTGTGTCCTCAACTAACACAGTTGAACATTTCTTTAGACAGAACAGTTTTGAAACACTCTTTTTGTGGAATCTGCAAGTGGCTATTTGGCTAGATTTGAGGATTTCGTTGGAAACGGGATTACATATAAAAAGCAGTCAGCAGCATTCTCAGAAAGTTCTTTGTGATGATTGCATTCAAGTCACAGAATTGAACATTCCCTTTCACAGAGCAGGTTTGAAACACTCTTTTTGTAGTGTGTGTAAGTGGACATTTGGAGCGCTTTCCGGCCTAAGGTGAAAAAGGAAATATCTTCCCATAAAAACTAGACAGAAGCATTCTCAGAAACTTACTCGTGATGTGTGTCCTCAACTAAAGGAGTAGAACCTTTCTTTTCATAGAGAAGTTTTGAAACGCTCTTTTTGTGGAATCTGCAAGTGGATATTTGGCTAGTTTTGAGGATTTCGTTGGAAGCGGGAATTCATACAAATTGCAGACTGCAGCGTTCTGAGAAACATCTTTGTGATGTTTGTATTCAAGACACAGAGATGAACATTCCCTATCATAGAGCATGTTGGAATCACTCCTTTTGTAGTATCTGGAAGTGGACATTTGGAGCGCTTTCAGGCCTATGTTGAAAAAGGAAATATCTTCCCATAACAATTAGACACAAGCATTCTCAGAAACTTATTTGAGATGTGTGTACTCAACTAAGAGAATTGAACCACCGTTTTGAAGGAGCAGTTTTGAAACACTCTTTTTCTGGAATCTGCAAGTGGATATTTGGCTAGCTTTGGGGATTTCGCTGGAAGCGGGAATACATATAAAAAGCACACAGCAGCGTTCTGAGAAACTGCTTTCTGATGTTTGCATTCAAGTCAAAAGTTGAACACTCCCTTTCATAGAGCAGTCCTGAAACACTCCTTTTGTAGTATCTGGAACTGGACTTTTGGAGCGCTTTCAGGGCTAAGGTGAAAAAGGAAATATCTTCCCATAAAAACTGGACAGAAGCATTCTCAGAAACTTGGTTATGCTGTATCTACTCAACTAACAAAGTTGAACCTTTCTTTTGATAGAGCAGTTTTGAAATGGTCTTTTTGTGGAATCTGCAAGTGGATATTTGGCTAGTTTTGAGGATTTCGTTGGAAGCGGGAATTCATACAAATTGCAGACTGCAGCGTTCTGAGAAACATCTTTGTGATGTTTGTATTCAGGACACAGAGTTGAACATTCCCTATCATAGAGCAGGTTGGAATCACTCCTTTTGTAGTATCTGGAAGTGGACATTTGGAGCGCTTTCAGGCCTATTTTGGAAAGGGAAATATCTTCCCGTAACAACTATGCAGAAGCATTCTCAGAAACTTGTTTGTGATGTGTGCCCTCTACTGACAGAGTTGAACCTTTCTTTTCATAGAGCAGTTTTGAAACACTCTTTTTGTAGAATCTGCAAGAGGATATTTGCATAGCTTTGAGGATTTCGTGGGAAACGGGATTGTCTTCAGGTAAAATCTAGACAGAAGCATTCTCAGAAACTTCTTTGGGATGTTTGCATTCAAGTCACAGAGTAGAACATTCCCTTTGGTAGAGCAGGTTTGAAACACTCTTTTTGTAGTATCTGGAAGTGGACATTTGGAGCGCTTTCAGGCCCATGTTGGAAAGGGAAATATCTTCCCGTAACAACTAGGCAGAAGCATTCTCAGAAACTTATTTGAGATGTGTGTACTCAACTAAGAGAATTGAACCACCGTTTTGAAGGAGCAGTTTTGAAACACTCTTTTTCTGGAATCTGCAAGAGTATATTTGCCTAGCCTTGAGGATTTCGTTGGAAACGGGATTGTCTTCAGAGAAAATCTAGACAGAAGCATTCTCAGAAACTTCTTTGGGATGTTTGCATTCAAGTCACAGAGTAGAACATTCCCTTTGGTAGAGCAGGTTTGAAACACTCTTTTTTTAGTATATGGAAGTGGACATTTGGAGCGCTTTCAGGCCTACGTTGGAAAAGGAAATATCTTCCCATAACAACTAGACAGAAGCATTCTCAGAAACTAGTTTCTGATGTGTGTCGTCAACTAACACAGTTGAACTTTTCTTTAGACAGAACAGTTTTGAAACACTCTTTTTGTGGAATCTGCAAGTGGATATTTGGCTAGATTTGAGGATTTCGTTGGAAAC
The DNA here is from genome assembly GCF_000001405.40 of Homo sapiens. Taxonomy (NCBI): domain Eukaryota; kingdom Metazoa; phylum Chordata; class Mammalia; order Primates; family Hominidae; genus Homo; species Homo sapiens. The sequence goes on from NC_000018.10 coordinate 20,497,985, forward strand.
GGGATTACATATAAAAAGCAGACAGCAGCATTCTCAGAAAGTTCTTTGTGATGATTGCATTCAAGTCACAGAATTGAACATTCCCTTTCACGGAGCAGGTTTGAAACCCTCTTTTTGTAGTGTGTGTAAGTGGACATTTGGAGCGCTTTCCGACCTAAGGTGAAAAAGGAAATATCTTCCCATAAAAACTAGACAGAAGCATTCTCAGAAACTTACTCGTGATGTGTGTCCTCAACTAAAGGAGCAGAACCTTTCTTTTCATAGAGAAGTTTTGAAACGCTCTTTTTGTGGAATCTGCAAGTGGATATTTGGCTAGTTTTGAGGATTTCGTTGGAAGCGGGAATTCATACAAATTGCAGACTGCAGCGTTCTGAGAAACATCTTTGTGATGTTTGTATTCAGGACACAGAGTTGAACATTCCCTATCATAGAGCAGGTTGGAATCACTCCTTTTGTAGTATCTGGAAGTGGACATTTGGAGCGCTTTCAGGCCTACGTTGGAAAAGGAAATATCTTCCCATAACAACTAGACAGAAGCATTCTCAGAAACTAGTTTCTGATGTGTGTCCTCAACTAACACAGTTGAACATTTCTTTAGACAGAACAGTTTTGAAACTCTCTTTTTGTGGAATCTGCAAGTGGCTATTTGGCTAGATTTGAGGATTTCGTTGGAAACGGGATTACATATAAAAAGCAGACAGCGGCATTCTCAGAAAGTTCTTTGTGATGATTGCATTCAAGTCACAGAATTGAACATTCCCTTTCACAGAGCAGGTTTGAAACACTCTTTTTGTAGTGTGTGTAAGTGGACATTTGGAGCACTTACCGGCCTAAGGTGAAAAAGGAAATAATCTTCCCATAAAAACTAGACAGAAGCATTCTCAGAAACTTACTCGTGATGTGTGTCCTCAACTAAAGGAGTAGAACCTTTCTATTCATAGAGAAGGTTTGAAACGCTCTTTTTGTGGAATCTCCAAGTGGATATTTGGCTAGTTTTGAGGATTTCGTTGGATGCGGGAATTCATACAAATTGCAGACTGCAGCGTTCTGAGAAACATCTTTGTGATGTTTGTATTCAGGACACAGAGTTGAACATTCCCTATCATAGAGCAGGTTTGAATCACTCCTTTTGTAGTATCTGGAAGTGGACATTTGGAGCGCTTTCAGGCCTATGTTGGAAAAGGAAATATCTTCCCATAACAACTAGACAGAAGCATTCTCAGAAACTTATTTGAGATGTGTGTACTCAACTAAGAGAATTGAACCACCGTTTTGAAGGAGCAGTTTTGAAACTCTCTTTTTCTGGAATCTGCAAGTGGATATTTGGCTAGCTTTGGGGATTTCGCTGGAAGCGGGAATACATATAAAAAGCACACAGCAGCGTTCTGAGAAACTGCTTTCTGATGTTTGCATTCAAGTCAAAAGTTGAACACTCCCTTTCATAGAGCAGTCTTGAAACACCCCTTTTGTAGTATCTGGAACTGGACTTTTGGAGCGATTTCAGGGCTAAGGTGAAAAAGGAAATATCTTCCCATAAAAACTGGACAGAAGCATTCTCAGAAACTTGTTTATGCTGTATCTACTCAACTAACAAAGTTGAACCTTTCTTTTGATAGAGCAGTTTTGAAATGGTCTTTTTGTGGAATCTGCAAGTGGATATTTGGCTAGTTTTGAGGATTTCGTTGGAAGCGGGAATTCATACAAATTGCAGACTGCAGCGTTCTGAGAAACATCTTTGTGATGTTTGTATTCAGGACACAGAGTTGAACATTCCCTATCATAGAGCAGGTTGGAATCACTCCTTTTGTAGTATCTGGAAGTGGACATTTGGAGCGCTTTCAGGCCTATTTTGGAAAGGGAAATATCTTCCCGTAACAACTATGCAGAAGCATTCTCAGAAACTTGTTTGTGATGTGTGCCCTCTACTGACAGAGTTGAACCTTTCTTTTCATAGAGCAGTTTTGAAACACTCTTTTTGTAGAATCTGCAAGAGGATATTTGCATAGCTTTGAGGATTTCGTGGGAAACGGGATTGTCTTCAGGTAAAATCTAGACAGAAGCATTCTCAGAAACTTCTTTGGGATGTTTGCATTCAAGTCACAGAGTAGAACATTCCCTTTGGTAGAGCAGGTTTGAAACCCTCTTTTTGTAGTATCTGGAAGTGGACATTCGGAGCGCTATCAGGCCCATGTTGGAAAGGGAAATATCTTCCCGTAACAACTAGGCAGAAGCATTCTCAGAAACTTATTTGAGATGTGTGTACTCAACTAAGAGAATTGAACCACCGTTTTGAAGGAGCAGTTTTGAAACACTCTTTTTCTGGAATCTGCAAGAGTATATTTGCCTAGCCTTGAGGATTTCGTTGGAAACGGGATTGTCTTCAGAGAAAATCTAGACAGAAGCATTCTCAGAAACTTCTTTGGGATGTTTGCATTCAAGTCACAGAGTAGAACATTCCCTTTGGTAGAGCAGGTTTGAAACACTCTTTTTTTAGTATATGGAAGTGGACATTTGGAGCGCTTTCAGGCCTACGTTGGAAAAGGAAATATCTTCCCATAACAACTAGACAGAAGCATTCTCAGAAACTAGTTTCTGATGTGTGTCCTCAACTAACACAGTTGAACTTTTCTTTAGACAGAACAGTTTTGAAACACTCTTTTTGTGGAATCTGCAAGTGGATATTGGGCTAGATTTGAGGATTTCGTTGGAAACGGGATTACATATAAAAAGCAGACAGCAGCATTCTCAGAAAGTTCTTTGTGATGATTGCATTCAAGTCACAGAATTGAACATTCCCTTTCACAGAGCAGGTTTGAAACACTCTTTTTGTAGTGTGTGTAAGTGGACATTTGGAGCACTTTCCGGCCTAAGGTGAAAAAGGAAATATCTTCCCATAAAAACTAGACAGAAGCATTCTCAGAAAATTACTCGTGATGTGTGTCCTCAACTAAAGGAGTAGAACCTTTCTTTTCATAGAGAAGTTTTGAAACGCTCTTTTTGTGGAATCTGCAAGTGGATATTTGGCTAGTTTGGAGGATTTCGTTGGAAGCGGGAATTCATACAAATTGCAGACTGCAGCGTTCTGAGAAACATCTTTGTAATGTTTGTATTCAGGACACAGAGTTGAACATTCCCTATCATAGAGCAGGTTGGAATCACTCCTTTTGTAGTATCTGGAAGTGGACATTTGGAGCGCTTTCAGGCCTATGTTGGAAAAGGAAATATCTTCCCATAACAACTAGACAGAAGCATTCTCAGAAACTTATTTGAGATGTGTGTACTCAACTAAGAGAATTGAACCACCGTTTTGAAGGAGCAGTTTTGAAACTCTCTTTTTCTGGAATCTGCAAGTGGATATTTGGCTAGCTTTGGGGATTTCGCTGGAAGCGGGAATACATATAAAAAGCACACAGCAGCGGTTCTGAGAAACTGCTTTCTGATGTTTGCATTCAAGTCAAAAGTTGAACACTCCCTTTCATAGAGCAGTCCTGAAACACTCCTTTTGTAGTATCTGGAACTGGACTTTTGGAGCGCTTTCAGGGCTAAGGTGAAAAAGGAAATATCTTCCCATAAAAACTGGACAGAAGCATTCTCAGAAACTTGTCCATGCTGTATCTACTCAACTAACAAAGTTGAACCTTTCGTTTGATAGAGCAGTTTTGAAATGCTCTTTTTCTGGAATCTGCAAGTGTATATTTGGCTAGTTTTGAGGATTTCGTTGGAAGCGGGAATTCATACAAATTGCAGACTGCAGCGTTCTGAGAAACCTCTTGGTGACGTTTGCAATCAAGTCACAGAATTGAACATTCCCTTTGATAGAACAGGTTTGAAACACTCCTTTTGTCATATCTGGAAGTGTCCATTTGGAGCGCATTCAGGCTTGTGTTGAAAAAGGAAATATCTTCCCATAAAAACTAGACAGAAGCATTCTCAGAAACTTGTTTGTGATGTGTGCCCTCTACTGACAGAGTTGAACCTTTCTTTTCATAGAGCAGTTTTGAAACACTCTTTTTGTAGAATCTGCAAGAGGATATTTGCATAGCTTTGAGGATTTAGTGGGAAACGGGATTGTCTTCAGGTAAAATCTAGACAGAAGCATTCTCAGAAACTTCTTTGGGATGTTTGCATTCAAGTCACAGAGTAGAACATTCCCTTTGGTAGAGCAGGTTTGAAACCCTCTTTTTGTAGTATCTGGAAGTGGACATTCGGAGCGCTATCAGGCCCATGTTGGAAAGGGAAATATCTTCCCGTAACAACTAGGCAGAAGCATTCTCAGAAACTTATTTGAGATGTGTGTACTCAACTAAGAGAATTGAACCACCGTTTTGAAGGAGCAGTTTTGAAACACTCTTTTTCTGGAATCTGCAAGAGTATATTTGCCTAGCCTTGAGGATTTCGTTGGAAACGGGATTGTCTTCAGAGAAAATCTAGACAGAAGCATTCTCAGAAACTTCTTTGGGATGTTTGCATTCAAGTCACAGAGTAGAACATTCCCTTTGGTAGAGCAGGTGTGAAACACTCTTTTTTTAGTATATGGAAGTGGACATTTGGAGCGCTTTCAGGCCTACGTTGGAAAAGGAAATATCTTCCCATAACAACTAGACAGAAGCATTCTCAGAAACTAGTTTCTGATGTGTGTCCTCAACTAACACAGTTGAACATTTCTTTAGACAGAACAGTTTTGAAACACTCTTTTTGTGGAATCTGCAAGTGGATATTTGGCTAGATTTGAGGATTTCGTTGGAAACGGGATTACATATAAAAAGCAGACAGCGGCATTCTCAGAAAGTTCTTTGTGATGATTGCATTCAAGTCACAGAATTGAACATTCCCTTTCACAGAGCAGGTTTGAAACACTCTTTTTGTAGTGTGTGTAAGTGGACATTTGGAGCACTTACCGGCCTAAGGTGAAAAAGGAAATATCTTCCCATAAAAACTAGACAGAAGCATTCTCAGAAACTTACTCGTGATGTGTGTCCTCAACTAAAGGAGTAGAACCTTTCTTTTCATAGAGAAGTTTTGAAACGCTCTTTTTGTGGAATCTGCAAGTGGATATTTGGCTAGTTTTGAGGATTTCGTTGGAAGCGGGAATTCATACAAATTGCAGACTGCAGCGTTCTGAGAAACATCTTTGTGATGTTTGTATTCAGGACACAGAGTTGAACATTCCCTATCATAGAGCAGGTTGGAATCACTCCTTTTGTAGTATCTGGAAGTGGACATTTGGAGCGCTTTCAGGCCTATGTTGGAAAAGGAAATATCTTCCCATAACAACTAGACAGAAGCATTCCCAGAAACTTATTTGAGATGTGTGTACTCAACTAAGAGAATTGAACCACCGTTTTGAAGGAGCAGTTTGGAAACACTCTTTTTCTGGAATCTGCAAGTGGATATTTGGCTAGCTTTGGGGATTTCGCTGGAAGCGGGAATACATATAAAAAGCACACAGCAGCGTTCTGAGAAACTGCTTTCTGATGTTTGCATTCAAGTCAAAAGTTGAACACTCCCTTTCATAGAGCAGTCTTGAAACACCCCTTTTGTAGTATCTGGAACTGGACTTTTGGAGCGATTTCAGGGCTAAGGTGAAAAAGGAAATATCTTCCCATAAAAACTGGACAGAAGCATTCTCAGAAACTTGTTTATGCTGTATCTACTCAACTAACAAAGTTGAACCTTTCTTTTGATAGAGCAGTTTTGAAATGCTCTTTTTGTGGAATCTGCAAGTGGATATTTGGCTAGTTTTGAGGATTTCGTTGGAAGCGGGAATTCATACAAATTGCAGACTGCAGCGTTCTGAGAAACATCTTTGTGATGTTTGTATTCAGGACACAGAGTTGAACATTCCCTATCATAGAGCAGGTTGGAATCACTCCTTTTGTAGTATCTGGAAGTGGACATTTGGAGCGCTTTCAGGCCTATTTTGGAAAGGGAAATATCTTCCCGTAACAACTATGCAGAAGCATTCTCAGCAAACTTGTTTGTGATGTGTGCCCTCTACTGACAGAGTTGAACCTTTCTTTTCATAGAGCAGTTTTGAAACACTCTTTTTGTAGAATCTGCAAGAGGATATTTGCATAGCTTTGAGGATTTCGTGGGAAACGGGATTGTCTTCAGGTAAAATCTAGACAGAAGCATTCTCAGAAACTTCTTTGGGATGTTTGCATTCAAGTCACAGAGTAGAACATTCCCTTTGGTAGAGCAGGTTTGAAACACTCTTTTTGTAGTATCTGGAAGTGGACATTTGGAGCGCTTTCAGGCCTATGTTGGAAAGGGAAATATCTTCCCGTAACAAATAGGCAGAAGCATTCTCAGAAACTTATTTGAGATGTGTGTACTCAACTAAGAGAATTGAACCACCGTTTTGAAGGAGCAGTTTTGAAACACTCTTTTTCTGGAATCTGCAAGAGTATATTTGCCTAGCCTTGAGGATTTCGTTGGAAACGGGATTGTCTTCAGAGAAAATCTAGACAGAAGCATTCTCAGAAACTTCTTTGGGATGCTTGCATTCAAGTCACAGAGTAGAACATTCCCTTTGGTAGAGCAGGTTTGAAACACTCTTTTTGTAGTATCTGGAAGTGGACATTTGGAGCGCTTTCAGGCCTACGTTGGAAAAGGAAATATCTTCCCATAACAACTAGACAGAAGCCTTCTCAGAAACTAGTTTCTGATGTGTGTCCTCAACTAACACAGTTGAACTTTTCTTTAGACAGAACAGTTTTGAAACACTCTTTTTGTGGAATCTGCAAGTGGATATTGGGCTAGATTTGAGGATTTCGTTGGAAACGGGATTACATATAAAAAACAGACAGCAGCATTCTCAGAAAGTTCTTTGTGATGATTGCATTCAAGTCACAGAATTGAACATTCCCTTTCACAGAGCAGGTTTGAAACACTCTTTTTGTAGTGTGTGTAAGTGGACATTTGGAGCGCTTTCCGTCCTAAGGTGAAAAAGGACATATCTTCCCATAAAAACTAGACGGAAGCATTCTCAGAAACTTACTCGTGATGTGTGTCCTCAACTAAAGGAGTAGAACATTTCTATTCATAGAGAAGTTTTGAAACGCTCTTTTTGTGGAATCTCCAAGTGGATATTTGGCTAGTTTTGAGGATTTCGTTGGAAGCGGGAATTCATACAAATTGCAGACTGCAGCGTTCTGAGAAACATCTTTGTGATGTTTGTATTCAGGACACAGAGTTGAACATTCCCTATCATAGAGCAGGTTGGAATCACTCCTTTTGTAGTATCTGGAAGTGGACATTTGGAGCGCTTTCAGGCCTATGTTGGAAAAGGAAATATCTTCCCATAACAACTAGACAGAAGCATTCTCAGAAACTTATTTGAGATGTGTGTACTCAACTAAGAGAATTGAACCACCGTTTTGAAGGAGCAGTTTTGAAACACTCTTTTTCTGGAATCTGCAAGTGGATATTTGGCTAGCTTTGGGGATTTCGCTGGAAGCGGGAATACATATAAAAAGCACACAGCAGCGTTCTGAGCAAACTGCTTTCTGATGTTTGCATTCAAGTCAAAAGTTGAACACTCCCTTTCATAGAGCAGTCTTGAAACACCCCTTTTGTAGTATCTGGAACTGGACTTTTGGAGCGATTTCAGGGCTAAGGTGAAAAAGGAAATATCTTCCCATAAAAACTGGACAGAAGCATTCTCAGAAACTTGTTTATGCTGTATCTACTCAACTAACAAAGTTGAACCTTTCTTTTGATAGAGCAGTTTTGAAATGGTCTTTTTGTGGAATCTGCAAGTGGATATTTGGCTAGTTTTGAGGATTTCGTTGGAAGCGGGAATTCATACAAATTGCAGACTGCAGCGTTCTGAGAAACATCTTTGTGATGTTTGTATTCAGGACAGAGAGTTGAACATTCCCTATCATAGAGCAGGTTGGAATCACTCCTTTTGTAGTATCTGGAAGTGGACATTTGGAGCGCTTTCAGGCCTATTTTGGAAAGGGAAATATCTTCCCGTAACAACTATGCAGAAGCATTCTCAGAAACTTGCTTGTGATGTGTGCCCTCTACTGACAGAGTTGAACCTTTCTTTTCATAGAGCAGTTTTGAGACACTCTTTTTGTAGAATCCGCAAGAGGATATTTGCATAGCTTTGAGGATTTCGTGGGAAACGGGATTGTCTTCACGTAAAATCTAGACAGAAGCATTCTCAGAAACTTCTTTGGGATGTTTGCATTCAAGTCACAGAGTAGAACATTCCCTTTGGTAGAGCAGGTTTGAAACACTCTTTTTGTAGTATCTGGAAGTGGACATTTGGAGCGCTTTCAGGCCCATGTTGGAAAGGGAAATATCTTCCCGTAACAACTAGGCAGAAGCATTCTCAGAAACTTATTTGAGATGTGTGTACTCAACTAAGAGAATTGAACCACCGTTTTGAAGGAGCAGTTTTGAAACACTCTTTTTCTGGAATCTGCAAGAGTATATTTGCCTAGCCTTGAGGATTTCGTTGGAAACGGGATTGTCTTCAGATAAAATCTAGACAGAAGCATTCTCAGAAACTTCTTTGGGATGTTTGCATTCAAGTCACAGAGTAGAACACTTCCTTTGGTAGAGCAGGTTTCAAACACTCTTTTTGTAGTATCTGGAAGTGGACATTTGGAGCGCTTTCAGGCCTACGTTGGAAAAGGAAATATCTTCCCATAACAACTAGACAGAAGCATTCTCAGAAACTAGTTTCTGATGTGTGTCCTCAACTAACACAGTTGAACATTTCTTTAGACAGAACAGTTTTGAAACACTCTTTTTGTGGAATCTGCAAGTGGCTATTTGGCTAGATTTGAGGATTTCGTTGGAAACGGGATTACATATAAAAAGCAGTCAGCAGCATTCTCAGAAAGTTCTTTGTGATGATTGCATTCAAGTCACAGAATTGAACATTCCCTTTCACAGAGCAGGTTTGAAACACTCTTTTTGTAGTGTGTGTAAGTGGACATTTGGAGCACTTACCGGCCTAAGGTGAAAAAGGAAATATCTTCCCATAAAAACTAGACAGAAGCATTCTCAGAAACTTACTCGTGATGTGTGTCCTCAACTAAAGGAGTAGAACCTTTGTTTTCATAGAGAAGTTTTGAAACTCTCTTTTTGTGGAATCTGCAAGTGGATATTTGGCTAGTTTGGAGGATTTCGTTGGAAGCGGGAATTCATACAAATTGCAGACTGCAGCGTTCTGAGAAACATCTTTGTGATGTTTGTATTCAGGACACAGAGTTGAACATTCCCTATCATAGAGCAGGTTTGAATCACTCCTTTTGTAGTATCTGGAAGTGGACATTTGGAGCGCTTTCAGGCCTATGTTGGAAAAGGAAATATCTTCCCATAACAACTAGACAGAAGCATTCTCAGAAACTTATTTGAGATGTGTGTACTCAACTAAGAGAATTGAACCACCGTTTTGAAGGAGCAGTTTTGAAACTCTCTTTTTCTGGAATCTGCAAGTGGATATTTGGCTAGCTTTGGGGATTTCGCTGGAAGCGGGAATACATATAAAAAGCACACAGCAGCGTTCTGAGAAACTGCTTTCTGATGTTTGCATTCAAGTCAAAAGTTGAACACTCCCTTTCATAGAGCAGTCTTGAAACACCCCTTTTGTAGTATCTGGAACTGGACTTTTGGAGCGATTTCAGGGCTAAGGTGAAAAAGGAAATATCTTCCCATAAAAACTGGACAGAAGCATTCTCAGAAACTTGGTTATGCTGTATCTACTCAACTAACAAAGTTGAACCTTTCTTTTGATAGAGCAGTTTTGAAATGGTCTTTTTGTGGAATCTGCAAGTGGATATTTGGCTAGTTTTGAGGATTTCGTTGGAAGCGGGAATTCATACAAATTGCAGACTGCAGCGTTCTGAGAAACATCTTTGTGATGTTTGTATTCAGGACACAGAGTTGAACATTCCCTATCATAGAGCAGGTTGGAATCACTCCTTTTGTAGTATCTGGAAGTGGACATTTGGAGCGCTTTCAGGCCTATGTTGAAAAAGGAAATATCTTCCCATAACAACTAGGCAGAAGCATTCTCAGAAACTTGTTTGTGATGTGTGCCCTCTACTGACAGAGTTGAACCTTTCTTTTCATAGAGCAGTTTTGAAACACTCTTTTTGTAGAATCTGCAAGAGGATATTTGCATAGCTTTGAGGATTTCGTGGGAAACGGGATTGTCTTCAGGTAAAATCTAGACAGAAGCATTCTCAGAAACTTCTTTGGGATGTTTGCATTCAAGTCACAGAGTAGAACATTCCCTTTGGTAGAGCAGGTTTGAAACACTCTTTTTGTAGTATCTGGAAGTGGACATTTGGAGCGCTTTCAGGCCCATGTTGGAAAGGGAAATATCTTCCCGTAACAACTAGGCAGAAGCATTCTCAGAAACTTATTTGAGATGTGTGTACTCAACTAAGAGAATTGAACCACCGTTTTGAAGGAGCAGTTTTGAAACACTCTTTTTCTGTAATCTGCAAGAGTATATTTGCCTAGCCTTGAGGATTTCGTTGGAAACGGGATTGTCTTCAGGTAAAATCTAGACAGAAGCATTCTCAGAAACTTCTTTGGGATGTTTGCATTCAAGTCACAGAGTAGAACATTCCCTTTGGTAGAGCAGGTTTGAAACACTCTTTTTTTAGTATATGGAAGTGGACATTTGGAGCGCTTTCAGGCCTACGTTGGAAAAGGAAATATCTTCCCATAACAACTAGACAGAAGCATTCTCAGAAACTAGTTTCTGATGTGTGTCCTCAACTAACACAGTTGAACATTTCTTTAGACAGAAGAGTTTTGAAACACTCTTTTTGTGGAATCTGCAAGTGGCTATTTGGCTAGATTTGAGGATTTCGTTGGAAAGGGGATTACATATAAAAAGCAGACAGCAGCATTCTCAGAAAGTTCTTTGTGATGATTGCATTCAAGTCACAGAATTGAACATTCCCTTTCACAGAGCAGGTTTGAAACACTCTTTTTGTAGTGTGTGTAAGTGGACATTTGGAGCACTTACCGGCCTAAGGTGAAAAAGGAAATAATCTTCCCATAAAAACTAGACAGAAGCGTTCTGAGAAACTTCTTTCTGATGTTCGCATTCAAGTCAAAATTTGAACACTCCCTTTCGTAGAGCAGTCTTGAAACTCCCCTTTTGTGGTATCTGGAAGTGAACATTTGGAGTGCTTTCAGGGCTAAGGTGAAAAAGGAAATATCTTCCCATAAAAACTGGACAGAAGCATTCTCAGAAACTTGTTTATGCTGTATCTACTCAGCTAACAAAGTTGAACCTTTCTTTTGATAGAGCAGTTTTGAAATGCTCTTTTTGTGGAGTCTGCAAGTGGATATTTGGCTAGTTTTGAGGATTTCGTTGGAAGCGGGAATTCATACAAATTGCAGACTGCAGCATTCTCAGAAACTTATTTGAGATGTGTGTACTCAACTAAGAGAATTGAACCACCGTTTTGAAGGAGCAGTTTTGAAACACTCTTTTTCTGGAATCTGCAAGTGGATATTTGGCTAGCTTTGGGGATTTCGCTGGAGGCGGGAATACATATAAAAAGCACACAGCAGCGTTCTGAGAAACTGCTTTCTGATGTTTGCATTCAAGTCAAAAGTTGAACACTCCCTTTCATAGAGCAGTCTTGAAACACCCCTTTTGTAGTATCTGGAACTGGACTTTTGGAGCGATTTCAGGGCTAAGGTGAAAAAGGAAATATCTTCCCATAAAAACTGGACAGAAGCATTCTCAGAAACTTGTTTATGCTGTATCTACTCAACTAACAAAGTTGAACCTTTCTTTTGATAGAGCAGTTTTGAAATGGTCTTTTTGTGGAATCTGCAAGTGGATATTTGGCTAGTTTTGAGGATTTCGTTGGAAGCGGGAATTCATACAAATTGCAGACTGCAGCGTTCTGAGAAACATCTTTGTGATGTTTGTATTCAGGACACAGAGTTGAACATTCCCTATCATAGAGCAGGTTGGAATCACTCCTTTTGTAGTATCTGGAAGTGGACATTTGGAGCGCTTTCAGGCCTATGTTGAAAAAGGAAATATCTTCCCATAACAACTAGACACAAGCATTCTCAGAAACTTGTTTGTGATGTGTGCCCTTTACTGACAGAGTTGAACCTTTCTTTTCATAGAGCAGTTTTGAAACACTCTTTTTGTAGAATCTGCAAGAGGATATTTGCATAGCTTTGAGGATTTCGTGGGAAACGGGATTGTCTTCAGGTAAAATCTAGACAGAAGCATTCTCAGAAACTTCTTTGGGATGTTTGCATTCAAGTCACAGAGTAGAACATTCCCTTTGGTAGAGCAGGTTTGAAACACTCTTTTTGTAGTATCTGGAAGTGGACATTTGGAGCGCTTTCAGGCCTATGTTGGAAAGGGAAATATCTTCCCGTAACAACTAGGCAGAAGCATTCTCAGAAACTTATTTGAGATATGTGTACTCAACTAAGAGAATTGAACCACCGTTTTGAAGGAGCAGTTTTGAAACACTCTTTTTCTGGAATCTGCAAGAGTATATTTGCCTAGCCTTGAGGATTTCGTTGGAAACCGGATTGTCTTCAGATAAAATCTAGACAGAAGCATTCTCAGAAACTTCTTTGGGATGTTTGCATTCAAGTCACAGAGTAGAACATTCCCCTTTGGTAGAGCAGGTTTGAAACACTCTTTTTTTAGTATATGGAAGTGGACATTTGGAGCGCTTTCAGGCCTACGTTGGAAAAGGAAATATCTTCCCATAACAACTAGACAGAAGCATTCTCAGAAACTAGTTTCTGATGTGTGTCCTCAACTAACACAGTTGAACATTTCTTTAGACAGAACAGTTTTGAAACTCTCTTTTTGTGGAATCTGCAAGTGGCTATTTGGCTAGATTTGAGGATTTCGTTGGAAACGGGATTACATATAAAAAGCAGACAGCAGCATTCTCAGAACGTTCTTTGTTATGATTGCATTCAAGTCACAGAATTGAACATTCCCTTTCACAGAGCAGTTTTGAAACACTCTTTTTGTAGTGTGTGTAAGTGGACATTTGGAGCACTTTCCGGCCTAAGGTGAAAAAGGAAATATCTTCCCATAAAAACTAGACAGAAGCATTCTCAGAAACTTACTCGTGATGTGTGTCCTCAACTAAAGGAGTAGAACCTTTCTTTTCATAGAGAAGTTTTGAAACGCTCTTTTTGTGGAATCTGCAAGTGGATATTTGGCTAGTTTTGAGGATTTCGTTGGAAGCGGGAATTCATACAAATTGCAGACTGCAGCGTTCTGAGAAACTGCTTTCTGATGTTTGCATTCAAGTCAAAAGTTGAACACTCCCTTTCATAGAGCAGTCCTGAAACACTCCTTTTGTAGTATCTGGAACTGGACTTTTGGAGCGCTTTCAGGGCTAAGGTGAAAAAGGAAATATCTTCCCATAAAAACTGGACAGAAGCATTCTCAGAAACTTGTTTATGCTGTATCTACTCTACTAACAAAGTTGAACCTTTCTTTTGATAGAGCAGTTTTGAAATGCTCTTTTTGTGGAATCTGCAAGTGGATATTTGGCTAGATTTCAGGATTTCGTTGGAAGCTGGAATTCATACAAATTGCAGACTGCAGCGTTCTGAGAAACATCTTTGTGATGTTTGTATTCAGGACAGAGAGTTGAACATTCCCTATCATAGAGCAGGTTGGAATCACTCCTTTTGTAGTATCTGGAAGTGGACATTTGGAGCGCTTTCAGGCCTATGTTGAAAAAGGAAATATCTTCCCATAACAACTAGGCACAAGCATTCTCAGAAACTTGTTTGTGATGTGTACCCTCTACTGACACAGTTGAACCTTTCTTTTCATAGAGCAGTTTTGAAACACTCTTTTTGTAGAATCTGCAAGAGGATATTTGCATAGCTTTGAGGATTTCGTGGGAAACGGGATTGTCTTCAGGTAAAATCTAGACAGAAGCATTCTCAGAAACTTCTTTAGGATGTTTGCATTCAAGTCACAGAGTAGAACATTCCCTTTGGTAGAGCAGGTTTGAAACACTCTTTTTGTAGTATCTGGAAGTGGACATTTGGAGCGCTTTCAGGCCTATGTTGGAAAGGGAAGTATCTTCCCGTAACAACTAGGCAGAAGCATTCTCAGAAACTTATTTGAGATGTGTGTACTCAACTAAGAGAATTGAACCACCGTTTTGAAGGAGCAGTTTTGAAACACTCTTTTTCTGGAATCTGCAAGAGGATATTTGCCTAGCCTTGAGGATTTCGTTGGAAACGGGATTGTCTTCAGATCAAATCTAGACAGAAGCATTCTCAGAAACTTCTTTGGGATGTTTGCATTCAAGTCACAGTAGTAGAACATTCCCTTTGGTAGAGCAGGTTTGAAACACTCTTTTTTTAGTATATGGAAGTGGACATTTGGAGCGCTTTCAGGCCTACGTTGGAAAAGGAAATATCTTCCCATAACAAATAGACAGAAGCATTCTCAGAAACTAGTTTCTGATGTGTGTCCTCAACTAACACAGTTGTACATTTCTTTAGACAGAACAGTTTTGAAACACTCTTTTTGTGGAATCTGCAAGTGGATATTGGGCTAGATTTGAGGATTTCGTTGGAAACGGGATTACATATAAAAAGCAGTCAGCAGCATTCTCAGAAAGTTCTTTGTGATGATTGCATTCAAGTCACAGAATTGAACATTCCCTTTCACAGAGCAGGTTTGAAAGACTCTTTTTGTAGTGTGTGTAAGTGGACATTTGGAGCACTTACCGGCCTAAGGTGAAAAAGGAAATATCTTCCCATAAAAACTAGACAGAAGCATTCTCAGAAACTTACTCGTGATGTGTGTCCTCAACTAAAGGGGTAGAACCTTTCTTTTCATAGAGAAGTTTTGAAACGCTCTTTTTGTGGAATCTGCAAGTGGATATTTGGCTAGTTTTGAGGATTTCGTTGGAAGCGGGAATTCATACAAATTGCAGACTGCAGCGTTCTGAGAAACATCTTTGTGATGTTTGTATTCAGGACACAGAGTTGAACATTCCCTATCATAGAGCAGGTTTGAATCACTCCTTTTGTAGTATCTGGAAGTGGACATTTGGAGCGCTTTCAGGCCTATGTTGGAAAAGGAAATATCTTCCCATAACAACTAGACAGAAGCATTCTCAGAAACTTATTTGAGATGTGTGTACTCAACTAAGAGAATTGAACCACCGTTTTGAAGGAGCAGTTTTGAAACACTCTTTTTCTGGAATCTGCAAGTGGATATTTGGCTAGCTTTGGGGATTTCGCTGGAAGCGGGAATACATATAAAAAGCACACAGCAGCGTTCTGAGAAACTGCTTTCTGATGTTTGCATTCAAGTCAAAAGTTGAACACTCCCTTTCATAGAGCAGTCCTGAAACACTCCTTTTGTAGTATCTGGAACTGGACTTTTGGAGCGCTTTCAGGGCTAAGGTGAAAAAGGAAATATCTTCCCATAAAAACTGGACAGAAGCATTCTCAGAAACTTGTTTATGCTGTATCTACTCAACTAACAAAGTTGAACCTTTCTTTTGATAGAGCAGTTTTGAAATGGTCTTTTTGTGGAATCTGCAAGTGGATATTTGGCTAGTTTTGAGGATTTCGTTGGAAGCGGGAATTCATACAAATTGCAGACTGCAGCGTTCTGAGAAACATCTTTGTGATGTTTGTATTCAGGACACAGAGTTGAACATTCCCTATCATAGAGCAGGTTGGAATCACTCCTTTTGTAGTATCTGGAAGTGGACATTTGGAGCGCTTTCAGGCCTATTTTGGAAAGGGAAATATCTTCCCGTAACAACTATGCAGAAGCATTCTCAGAAACTTGTTTGTGATGTGTGCCCTCTACTGACAGAGTTGAACCTTTCTTTTCATAGAGCAGTTTTGAAACACTCTTTTTGTAGAATCCGCAAGAGGATATTTGCATAGCTTTGAGGATTTCGTGGGAAACGGGATTGTCTTCAGGTAAAATCTAGACAGAAGCATTCTCAGAAACTTCTTTGGGATGTTTGCATTCAAGTCACAGAGTAGAACATTCCCTTTGGTAGAGCAGGTTTGCAACACTCTTTTTGTAGTATCTGGAAGTGGACATTTGGAGCGCTTTCAGGCCTATGTTGGAAAGGGAAATATCTTCCAGTAACAACTAGGCAGAAGCATTCTCAGAAACTTATTTGAGATGTGTGTACTCAACTAAGAGAATTGAACCACCGTTTTGAAGGAGCAGTTTTGAAACACTCTTTTTCTGGAATCTGCAAGAGTATATTTGCCTAGCCTTGAGGATTTCGTTGGAAACGGGATTGTCTTCAGAGAAAATCTAGACAGAAGCATTCTCAGAAACTTCTTTGGGATGTTTGCATTCAAGTCACAGAGTAGAACATTCCCTTTGGTAGAGCAGGTTTGAAACACTCTTTTTTTAGTATATGGAAGTGGACATTTGGAGCGCTTTCAGGCCTACGTTGGAAAAGGAAATATCTTCCCATAACAACTAGACAGAAGCATTCTCAGAAACTAGTTTCTGATGTGTGTCCTCAACTAACACAGTTGAACATTTCTTTAGACAGAACAGTTTTGAAACTCTCTTTTTGTGGAATCTGCAAGTGGCTATTTGGCTAGATTTGAGGATTTCGTTGGAAACGGGATTACATATAAAAAGCAGACAGCAGCATTCTCAGAAAGTTCTTTGTGATGATTGCATTCAAGTCACAGAATTGAACATTCCCTTTCACAGAGCAGGTTTGAAACACTCTTTTTGTAGTGTGTGTAAGTGGACATTTGGAGCACTTACCGGCCTAAGGTGAAAAAGGAAATATCTTCCCATAAAAACTAGACAGAAGCATTCTCAGAAACTTACTCGTGATGTGTGTCCTCAACTAAAGGAGTAGAACCTTTGTTTTCATAGAGAAGTTTTGAAACGCTCTTTTTGTGGAATCTGCAAGTGGATATTTGGCTAGTTTGGAGGATTTCGTTGGAAGCGGGAATTCATACAAATTGCAGACTGCAGCGTTCTGAGAAACATCTTTGTGATGTTTGTATTCAGGACACAGAGTTGAACATTCCCTATCATAGAGCAGGTTGGAATCACTCCTTTTGTAGTATCTGGAAGTGGACATTTGGAGCGCTTTCAGGCCTATGTTGGAAAAGGAAATATCTTCCCATAACAACTAGACAGAAGCATTCTCAGAAACTTATTTGAGATGTGTGTACTCAACTAAGAGAATTGAACCACCGTTTTGAAGGAGCAGTTTTGAAACACTCTTTTTCTGGAATCTGCAAGTGGATATTTGGCTAGCTTTGGGGATTTCGCTGGAAGCGGGAATACATATAAAAAGCACACAGCAGCGTTCTGAGAAACTGCTTTCTGATGTTTGCATTCAAGTCAAAAGTTGAACACTCCCTTTCATAGAGCAGTCTTGAAACACCCCTTTTGTAGTATCTGGAACTGGACTTTTGGAGCGATTTCAGGGCTAAGGTGAAAAAGGAAATATCTTCCCATAAAAACTGGACAGAAGCATTCTCAGAAACTTGGTTATGCTGTATCTACTCAACTAACAAAGTTGAACCTTTCTTTTGATAGAGCAGTTTTGAAATGGTCTTTTTGTGGAATCTGCAAGTGGATATTTGGCTAGTTTTGAGGATTTCGTTGGAAGCGGGAATTCATACAAATTGCAGACTGCAGCGTTCTGAGAAACATCTTTGTGATGTTTGTATTCAGGACACAGAGTTGAACATTCCCTATCATAGAGCAGGTTGGAATCACTCCTTTTGTAGTATCTGGAAGTGGACATTTGGAGCGCTTTCAGGCCTATTTTGGAAAGGGAAATATCTTCCCGTAACAACTATGCAGAAGCATTCTCAGAAACTTGTTTGTGATGTGTGCCCTCTACTGACAGAGTTGAACCTTTCTTTTCATAGAGCAGTTTTGAAACACTCTTTTTGTAGAATCTGCAAGAGGATATTTGCATAGCTTTGAGGATTTCGTGGGAAACGGGATTGTCTTCAGGTAAAATCTAGACAGAAGCATTCTCAGAAACTTCTTTGGGATGTTTGCATTCAAGTCACAGAGTAGAACATTCCCTTTGGTAGAGCAGGTTTGAAACACTCTTTTTGTAGTATCTGGAAGTGGACATTTGGAGCGCTTTCAGGCCTATGTTGGAAAGGGAAATATCTTCCCGTAACAACTAGGCAGAAGCATTCTCAGAAACTTATTTGAGATGTGTGTACTCAACTAAGAGAATTGAACCACCGTTTTGAAGGTGCAGTTTTGAAACACTCTTTTTCTGGAATCTGCAAGAGTATATTTGCCTAGCCTTGAGGATTTCGTTGGAAACGGGATTGTCTTCAGATAAAATCTAGACAGAAGCATTCTCAGAAACTTCTTTGGGATGTTTGCATTCAAGTCACAGAGTAGAACATTCCCTTTGGTAGAGCAGGTTTGAAACACTCTTTTTTTAGTATATGGAAGTGGACATTTGGAGCGCTTTCAGGCCTACGTTGGAAAAGGAAATATCTTCCCATAACAACTAGACAGAAGCATTCTCAGAAACTAGTTTCTGATGTGTGTCCTCAACTAACACAGTTGAACTTTTCTTTAGACAGAACAGTTTTGAAACACTCTTTTTGTGGAATCTGCAAGTGGATATTGGGCTAGATTTGTGGATTTCGTTGGAAACGGGATTACATATAAAAAGCAGTCAGCAGCATTCTCAGATAGTTCTTTGTGATGATTGCATTCAAGTCACAGAATTGAAAATTCCCTTTCACAGAGCAGGTTTGAAACACTCTTTTTGTAGTGTGTGTAAGTGGACATTTGGAGCGCTTTCTGGCCTAAGGTGAAAAAGGAAATATCTTCCCATAAAAACTAGACAGAAGCATTCTCAGAAACTTACTCGTGATGTGTGTCCTCAACTAAAGGAGTAGAACCTTTCTTTTCATAGAGAAGTTTTGAAACGCTCTTTTTGTGGAATCTGCAAGTGGACATTTGGCTAGTTTTGAGGATTTCGTTGGAAGCGGGAATTCATACAAATTGCAGACTGCAGCGTTCTGAGAAACATCTTTGTGATGTTTGTATTCAGGACACAGAGATGAACATTCCCTATCATAGAGCAGGTTGGAATCACTCCTTTTGTAGTATCTGGAAGTGGACATTTGGAGCGCTTTCAGGCCTATGTTGAAAAAGGAAATATCTTCCCATAACAACTAGACACAAGCATTCTCAGAAACTTATTTGAGATGTGTGTACTCAACTAAGAGAATTGAACCACCGTTTTGAAGGAGCAGTTTTGAAACACTCTTTTTCTGGAATCTGCAAGTGGATATTTGGCTAGCTTTGGGGATTTCGCTGGAAGCGGGAATACATATAAAAAGCACACAGCAGCGTTCTGAGAAACTGCTTTCTGATGTTTGCATTCAAGTCAAAAGTTGAACACTCCCTTTCATAGAGCAGTCTTGAAACACCCCTTTTGTAGTATCTGGAACTGGACTTTTGGAGCGATTTCAGGGCTAAGGTGAAAAAGGAAATATCTTCCCATAAAAACTGGACAGAAGCATTCTCAGAAACTTGTTTATGCTGTATCTACTCAACTAACAAAGTTGAACCTTTCTTTTGATAGAGCAGTTTTGAAATGGTCTTTTTGTGGAATCTGCAAGTGGATATTTGGCTAGTTTTGAGGATTTCGTTGGAAGCGGGAATTCATACAAATTGCAGACTGCAGCGTTCTGAGAAACATCTTTGTGATGTTTGTATTCAGGACACAGAGTTGAACATTCCCTATCATAGAGCAGGTTGGAATCACTCCTTTTGTAGTATCTGGAAGTGGACATTTGGAGCGCTTTCAGGCCTATTTTGGAAAGGGAAATATCTTCCCGTAACAACTATGCAGAAGCATTCTCAGAAACTTGTTTGTGATGTGTGCCCTCTACTGACAGAGTTGAACCTTTCTTTTCATAGAGCAGTTTTGAAACACTCTTTTTGTAGAATCTGCAAGAGGATATTTGCATAGCTTTGAGGATTTCGTGGGAAACGGGATTGTCTTCAGGTAAAATCTAGACAGAAGCATTCTCAGAAACTTCCTTGGGATGTTTGCATTCAAGTCACAGAGTAGAACATTCCCCTTTGGTAGAGCAGGTTTGAAACACTCTTTTTGTAGTATCTGGAAGTGGACATTTGGAGCGCTTTCAGGCCTATGTTGGAAAGGGAAATATCTTCCCGTAACAACTAGGCAGAAGCATTCTCAGAAACTTATTTGAGATGTGTGTATTCAACTAAGAGAATTGAACCACCGTTTTGAAGGAGCAGTTTTGAAACACTCTTTTTCTGGAATCTGAAAGAGGATATTTGCCTAGCCTTGAGGATTTCGTTGGAAACGGGATTGTCTTCAGATCAAATCTATACAGAAGCATTCTCAGAAACTTCCTTGGGATGTTTGCATTCAAGTCACAGAGTAGAACATTCCCTTTGGTAGAGCAGGTTTGAAACACTCTTTTTTTAGTATATGGAAGTGGACATTTGGAGCGCATTCAGGCCTACGTTGGAAAAGGAAATATCTTCCCATAACAACTAGACAGAAGCATTCTCAGAAACTAGTTTCTGATGTGTGTCCTCAACTAACACAGTTGAACATTTCTTTAGACAGAACAGTTTTGAAACACTCTTTTTGTGGAATCTGCAAGTGGCTATTTGGCTAGATTTGAGGATTTCGTTGGAAACGGGATTACATATAAAAAGCAGTCAGCAGCATTCTCAGAAAGTTCTTTGTGATGATTGCATTCAAGTCACAGAATTGAACATTCCCTTTCACAGAGCAGGTTTGAAACACTCTTTCTGTAGTGTGTGTTAGTGGACATTTGGAGCGCTTTCCGGCCTAAGGTGAAAAAGGACATATCTTCCCATAAAAACTAGACAGAAGCATTCTCAGAAACTTACTCGTGATGTGTGTCCTCAACTAAAGGAGTAGAACCTTTCTTTTCATAGAGAAGTTTTGAAACGCTCTTTTTGTGGAATCTGCAAGTGGATATTTGGCTAGTTTTGAGGATTTCGTTGGAAGCGGGAATTCATACAAATTGCAGACTGCAGCATTCTCAGAAACTTGTTTATGCTGTATCTACTCAACTAACAAAGTTGAACCTTTCTTTTGATAGAGCAGTTTTGAAATGCTCTTTTTGTGGAATCTGCAAGTGGATATTTGGCTAGTTTTGAGGATTTCGTTGGAAGCGGGAATTCATACAAATTGCAGACTGCAGCGTTCTGAGAAACATCTTTGTGATGTTTGTATTCAGGACACAGAGTTGAACATTCCCTATCATAGAGCAGGTTGGAATCACTCCTTTTGTAGTATCTGGAAGTGGACATTTGGAGCGCTTTCAGGCCTATGTTGAAAAAGGAAATATCTTCCCATAACAACTAGACACAAGCATTCTCAGAAACTTGTTTGTGATGTGTGCCCTCTACTGACAGAGTTGAACCTTTCTTTTCATAGAGCAGTTTTGAAACACTCTTTTTGTAGAATCTGCAAGAGGATATTTGCATAGCTTTGAGGATTTCGTGGGAAACGGGATTGTCTTCAGGTAAAATCTAGACAGAAGCATTCTCAGAAACTTCTTTGGGATGTTTGCATTCAAGTCACAGAGTAGAACATTCCCTTTGGTAGAGCAGGTTTGAAACACTCTTTTTGTAGTATCTGGAAGTGGACATTTGGAGCGCTTTCAGGCCCATGTTGGAAAGGGAAATATCTTCCCGTAACAACTAGGCAGAAGCATTCTCAGAAACTTATTTGAGATGTGTGTACTCAACTAAGAGAATTGAACCACCGTTTTGAAGGAGCAGTTTTGAAACACTCTTTTTCTGGAATCTGCAAGAGTATATTTGCCTAGCCTTGAGGATTTCGTTGGAAACGGGATTGTCTTCAGAGAAAATCTAGACAGAAGCATTCTCAGAAACTTCTTTGGGATGCTTGCATTCCAGTCACAGAGTAGAACATTCCCTTTGGTAGAGCAGGTTTGAAACACTCTTTTTGTAGTATCTGGAAGTGGACATTTGGAGCGCTTTCAGGCCTACGTTGGAAAAGGAAATATCTTCCCATAACAACTAGACAGAAGCATTCTCAGAAACTAGTTTCTGATGTGTGTCCTCAACTAACACAGTTGAACATTTCTTTAGACAGAACAGTTTTGAAACACTCTTTTTGTGGAATCTGCAAGTGGCTATTTGGCTAGATTTGAGGATTTCGTTGGAAACGGGATTACATATAAAAAGCAGTCAGCAGCATTCTCAGAAAGTTCTTTGTGATGATTGCATTCAAGTCACAGAATTGAACATTCCCTTTCACAGAGCAGGTTTGAAACACTCTTTTTTAGTGTGTGTAAGTGGACATTTGGAGCACTTTCCGGCCTAAGGTGAAAAAGGAAATATCTTCCCATAAAAACTAGACAGAAGCATTCTCAGAAACTTACTCGTGATGTGTGTCCTCAACTAAAGGAGTACAACCTTTCTTTTCATAGAGAAGTTTTGAAACGCTCTTTTTGTGGAATCTGCAAGTGGATATTTGGCTAGTTTGGAGGATTTCGTTGGAAGCGGGAATTCATACAAGATGCAGACTGCAGCGTTCTGAGAAACATCTTTGTGATGTTTGTATTCAGGACACAGAGTTGAACATTCCCTATCATAGAGCAGGTTTGAATCACTCCTTTTGTAGTATCTGGAAGTGGACATTTGGAGCGCTTTCAGGCCTATGTTGGAAAAGGAAATATCTTCCCATAACAACTAGACAGAAGCATTCTCAGAAACTTATTTGAGATGTGTGTACTCAACTAAGAGAATTGAACCACCGTTTTGAAGGAGCAGTTTTGAAACACTCTTTTTCTGGAATCTGCAAGTGGATATTTGGCTAGCTTTGGGGATTTCGCTGGAAGCGGGAATACATATAAAAAGCACACAGCAGCGTTCTGAGAAACTGCTTTCTGATGTTTGCATTCAAGTCAAAAGTTGAACACTCCCTTTCATAGAGCAGTCTTGAAACACCCCTTTTGTAGTATCTGGAACTGGACTTTTGGAGCGATTTCAGGGCTAAGGTGAAAAAGGAAATATCTTCCCATAAAAACTGGACAGAAGCATTCTCAGAAACTTGTTTATGCTGTATCTACTCAACTAACAAAGTTGAACCTTTCTTTTGATAGAGCAGTTTTGAAATGGTCTTTTTGTGGAATCTGCAAGTGGATATTTGGCTAGTTTTGAGGATTTCGTTGGAAGCGGGAATTCATACAAATTGCAGACTGCAGCGTTCTGAGAAACATCTTTGTGATGTTTGTATTCAGGACACAGAGTTGAACATTCCCTATCATAGAGCAGGTTGGAATCACTCCTTTTGTAGTATCTGGAAGTGGACATTTGGAGCGCTTTCAGGCCTATTTTGGAAAGGGAAATATCTTCCCGTAACAACTATGCAGAAGCATTCTCAGAAACTTGTTTGTGATGTGTGCCCTCTACTGACAGAGTTGAACCTTTCTTTTCATAGAGCAGTTTTGAAACACTCTTTTTGTAGAATCTGCAAGAGGATATTTGCATAGCTTTGAGGATTTCGTGGGAAACGGGATTGTCTTCAGGTAAAATCTAGACAGAAGCATTCTCAGAAACTTCTTTGGGATGTTTGCATTCAAGTCACAGAGTAGAACATTCCCTTTGGTAGAGCAGGTTTGAAACACTCTTTTTGTAGTATCTGGAAGTGGACATTTGGAGCGCTTTCAGGCCCATGTTGGAAAGGGAAATATCTTCCCGTAACAACTAGGCAGAAGCATTCTCAGAAACTTATTTGAGATGTGTGTACTCAACTAAGAGAATTGAACCACCGTTTTGAAGGAGCAGTTTTGAAACACTCTTTTTCTGGAATCTGCAAGAGGATATTTGCATAGATTTGAGGATTTCGTTGGAAACGGGATTGTCTTCAGATCCAATCTAGACAGAAGCATTCTCAGAAACTTCTTTGGGATGTTTGCATTCAAGTCACAGAGTAGAAGATTCCCTTTGGTAGAGCAGGTTTGAAACACTCTTTTTTTCGTATATGGAAGTGGACACTTGGAGCGCTTTCAGGCCTACGTTGGAAAAGGAAATATCTTCCCATAACAACTAGACAGAAGCATTCTCAGAAACTTATTTGAGATGTGTGTACTCAACTAAGAGAATTGAACCACCGTTTTGAAGGAGCAGTTTTGAAACACTCTTTTTCTGGAATCTGCAAGTGGATATTTAGCTAGATATGAGGATTTCGTTGGAAACGGGATTATATACACAAAGCAGACAGCAGCGTTCTGAGAAACTTCTTGGTGATGTTTGCATTCAAGTCAAAAGTTGAACACTCCCTTTCATAGAGCAGTCTTGAAACTCCCCTTTTCTGGTATCTGGAAGTGGACATTTGGAGTGCTTTCAGGGCTAAGGTGAAAAAGGAAATATCTTCCCATAAAAACTGGACAGAAGCATTCTCAGAAACTTGTTTATGCTGTATCTACTCAACTAACAAAGTTGAACCTTTCTTTTGATAGAGCAGTTTTGAAATGGTCTTTTTGTGGAATCTGCAAGTGGATATTTGGCTAGTTTTGAGGATTTCGTTGGAAGCGGGAATTCATACAAATTGCAGACTGCAGCGTTCTGAGAAACATCTTTGTGATGTTTGTATTCAGGACACAGAGTTGAACATTCCCTATCATAGAGCAGGTTGGAATCACTCCTTTTGTAGTATCTGGAAGTGGACATTTGGAGCGCTTTCAGGCCTATTTTGGAAAGGGAAATATCTTCCCGTAACAACTATGCAGAAGCATTCTCAGAAACTTGTTTGTGATGTGTGCCCTCTACTGACAGAGTTGAACCTTTCTTTTCATAGAGCAGTTTTGAAACACTCTTTTTGTAGAATCTGCAAGAGGATATTTGCATAGCTTTGAGGATTTCGTGGGAAACGGGATTGTCTTCAGGTAAAATCTAGACAGAAGCATTCTCAGAAACTTCTTTGAGAAGTTTGCATGCAAGTCACAGAGTAGAACATTCCCTTTGGTAGAGCAGGTTTGAAACACTCTTTTTGTAGTATCTGGAAGTGGACATTTGGAGCGCTTTCAGGCCCATGTTGGAAAGGGAAATATCTTCCCGTAACAACTAGGCAGAAGCATTCTCAGAAACTTATTTGAGATGTGTGTACTCAACTAAGAGAATTGAACCACCGTTTTGAAGGAGCAGTTTTGAAACACTCTTTTTCTGGAATCTGCAAGAGTATATTTGCCTAGCCTTGAGGATTTCGTTGGAAACGGGATTGTCTTCAGATCAAATCTAGACAGAAGCATTCTCAGAAACTTCTTTGGGATGTTTGCATTCAAGTCACAGAGTAGAACATTCCCTTTGGTAGAGCAGGTTTGAAACACTCTTTTTTTAGTATATGGAAGTGGACATTTGGAGCGCTTTCAGGCCTACGTTGGAAAAGGAAATATCTTCCCATAACAACTAGACAGAAGCATTCTCAGAAACTAGTTTCTGATGTGTGTCCTCAACTAACACAGTTGAACATTTCTTTAGACAGAACAGTTTTGAAACTCTCTTTTTGTGGAATCTGCAAGTGGCTATTTGGCTAGATTTGAGGATTTCGTTGGAAACGGGATTACATATAAAAAGCAGACAGCCAGCATTCTCAGAAAGTTCTTTGTGATGATTGCATTCAAGTCACAGAATTGAACATTCCCTTTCACAGAGCAGGTTTGAAACACTCTTTTTGTAGTGTGTGTAAGTGGACATTTGGAGCACTTTCCGGCCTAAGGTGAGAAAGGAAATATCTTCCCATAAAAACTAGACAGAGCATTCTCAGAAACTTACTCGTGATGTGTGTCCTCAACTAAAGGAGTAGAACCTTTCTTTTCATAGAGAAGTTTTGAAACGCTCTTTTTGTGGAATCTGCAAGTGGATATTTGGCTAGTTTTGAGGATTTCGTTGGAAGCGGGAATTCATACAAATTGCAGACTGCAGCGTTCTGAGAAACATCTTTGTGATGTTTGTATTCAGGACACAGAGTTGAACATTCCCTATCATAGAGCAGGTTGGAATCACTCCTTTTGTAGTATCTGGAATTGGACATTTGGAGCGCTTTCAGGCCTATGTTGGAAAAGGAAATATCTTCCCATAACAACTAGACAGAAGCATTCTCAGAAACTTATTTGAGATGTGTGTACTCAACTAAGAGAATTGAACCACCGTTTTGAAGGAGCAGTTTTGAAACACTCTTTTTCTGGAATCTGCAAGTGGATATTTGGCTAGCTTTGGGGATTTCGCTGGAAGCGGGAATACATATAAAAAGCACACAGCAGCGTTCTGAGAAACTGCTTTCTGATGTTTGCATTCAAGTCAAAAGTTGAACACTCCCTTTCATAGAGCAGTCCTGAAACACCCCTTTTGTAGTATCTGGAACTGGACTTTTGGAGCGATTTCAGGGCTAAGGTGAAAAAGGAAATATCTTCCCATAAAAACTGGACAGAAGCATTCTCAGAAACTTGGTTATGCTGTATCTACTCAACTAACAAAGTTGAACCTTTCTTTTGATAGAGCAGTTTTGAAATGGTCTTTTTGTGGAATCTGCAAGTGGATATTTGGCTAGTTTTGAGGATTTCGTTGGAAGCGGGAATTCATACAAATTGCAGACTGCAGCGTTCTGAGAAACATCTTTGTGATGTTTGTATTCAGGACAGAGAGTTGAACATTCCCTATCATAGAGCAGGTTGGAATCACTCCTTTTGTAGTATCTGGAAGTGGACATTTGGAGCGCTTTCAGGCCTATGTTGAAAAAGGAAATATCTTCCCATAACAACTAGACACAAGCATTCTCAGAAACTTGTTTGTGATGTGTGCCCTCTACTGACAGAGTTGAACCTTTCTTTTCATAGAGCAGTTTTGAAACACTCTTTTTGTAGAATCTGCAAGAGGATATTTGCATAGCTTTGAGGATTTCGTGGGAAACGGGATTGTCTTCAGGTAAAATCTAGACAGAAGCATTCTCAGAAACTTCTTTGGGATGTTTGCATTCAAGTCACAGAGTAGAACATTCCCTTTGGTAGAGCAGGTTTGAAACACTCTTTTTTTAGTATCTGGAAGTGGACATTTGGAGCGCTTTCAGGCCTATGTTGGAAAGGGAAATATCTTCCCGTAACAACTAGGCAGAAGCATTCTCAGAAACTTATTTGAGATGTGTGTACTCAACTAAGAGAATTGAACCACCGTTTTGAAGGAGCAGTTTTGAAACACTCTTTTTCTGGAATCTGCAAGAGGATATTTGCCTAGCTTTGAGGATTTCGTTGGAAACGGGATTGTGTTCAGATCAAATCTAGACAGAAGCATTCTCAGAAACTTCTTTGGGATGTTTGCATTCAAGTCACAGAGTAGAACATTCCCTTTGGTAGAGCAGGTTTGAAACACTCTTTTTTTAGTATATGGAAGTGGACATTTGGAGCGCTTTCAGGCCTACGTTGGAAAAGGAAATATCTTCCCATAACAACTAGACAGAAGCATTCTCAGAAACTAGTTTCTGATGTGTGTCCTCAACTAACACAGTTGTACATTTCTTTAGACAGAACAGTTTTGAAACACTCTTTTTGTGGAATCTGCAAGTGGACATTAGGCTAGATTTGAGGATTTCGTTGGAAACGGGATTACATATAAAAAGCAGACAGCAGCATTCTCAGTAAAGTTCTTTGTGATGATTGCATTCAAGTCACAGAATTGAACATTCCCTTTCACAGAGCAGGTTTGAAACACTCTTTTTGTAGTGTGTGTAAGTGGACATTTGGAGCACTTACCGGCCTAAGGTGAAAAAGGAAATAATCTTCCCATAAAAACTAGACAGAAGCATTCTCAGAAACTTACTCGTGATGTGTGTCCTCAACTAAAGGAGTAGAACCTTTCTTTTCATAGAGAAGTTTTGAAACGCTCTTTTTGTGGAATCTGCAAGTGGATATTTGGCTAGTTTTGAGGATTTCGTTGGAAGCGGGAATTCATACAAATTGCAGACTGCAGCGTTCTGAGAAACATCTTTGTGATGTTTGTATTCAGGACACAGAGTTGAACATTCCCTATCATAGAGCAGGTTTGAATCACTCCTTTTGTAGTATCTGGAAGTGGACATTTGGAGCGCTTTCAGGCCTATGTTGGAAAAGGAAATATCTTCCCATAACAACTAGACAGAAGCATTCTCAGAAACTTATTTGAGATGTGTGTACTCAACTAAGAGAATTGAACCACCGTTTTGAAGGAGCAGTTTTGAAACACTCTTTTTCTGGAATCTGCAAGTGGATATTTGGCTAGCTTTGGGGATTTCGCTGGAAGCGGGAATACATATAAAAAGCACACAGCAGCGTTCTGAGAAACTGCTTTCTGATGTTTGCATTCAAGTCAAAAGTTGAACACTCCCTTTCATAGAGCAGTCCTGAAACACTCCTTTTGTAGTATCTGGAACTGGACTTTTGGAGCGCTTTCAGGGCTAAGGTGAAAAAGGAAATATCTTCCCATAAAAACTGGACAGAAGCATTCTCAGAAACTTACTCGTGATGTGTGTCCTCAACTAAAGGAGTAGAACCTTTCTTTTCATAGAGAAGTTTCGAAACGCTCTTTTTGTGGAATCTGCAAGTGGATATTTGGCTAGTTTTGAGGATTTCGTTGGAAGCGGGAATTCCTACAAATTGCAGACTGCAGCGTTCTGAGAAACATCTTTGTGATGTTTGTATTCAAGACACAGAGATGAACATTCCCTATCATAGAGCATGTTGGAATCACTCCTTTTGTAGTATCTGGAAGTGGACATTTAGAGCGCTTTCAGGCCTATGTTGAAAAAGGAAATATCTTCCCATAACAACTAGACACAAGCATTCTCAGAAACTTGTTTGTGATGTGTGCCCTCTACTGACAGAGTTGAACCTTTCTTTTCATAGAGCAGTTTTGAAACACTCTTTTTGTAGAATCCGCAAGAGGATATTTGCATAGCTTTGAGGATTTCGTGGGAAACGGGATTGTCTTTAGGTAAAATCTAGACAGAAGCGTTCTGAGAAACATCTTTGTGATGTTTGTATTCAGGACACAGAGTTGAACATTCCCTATCATAGAGCAGGTTGGGATCACTCCTTTTGTAGTATCTGGAAGTGGACATTTGGAGCGCTTTCAGGCCTATGTTGGAAAAGGAAATATCTTCCCATAACAACTAGACAGAAGCATTCCCAGAAACTTATTTGAGATGTGTGTACTCAACTAAGAGAATTGAACCACCGTTTTGAAGGAGCAGTTTTGAAACACTCTTTTTCTGGAATCTGCAAGAGGATATTTGCCTAGCTTTGAGGATTTCGTTGGAAACGGGATTGTCTTCAGATCAAATCTAGACAGAAGCATTCTCAGAAACTTCTTTGGGATGTTTGCATTCAAGTCACAGAGTAGAACATTCCCTTTGGTAGAGCAGGTTTGAAACACTCTTTTTCTAGTATATGGAAGTGGACATTTGGAGTGCTTTCAGGCCTACGTTGGAAAAGGAAATATCTTCCCATAACAACTAGACAGAAGCATTCTCAGAAACTAGTTTCTGATGTGTGTCCTCAACTAACACAGTTGCACATTTCTTTAGGCAGAACAGTTTTGAAACACTCTTTTTGTGGAATCTGCAAGTGGCTATTTGGCTAGATTTGAGGATTTCGTTGGAAACGGGATTACATATAAAAAGCAGACAGCAGCATTCTCAGAAAGTTCTTTGTGATGATTGCATTCAAGTCACAGAATTGAACATTCCCTTTCATAGAGCAGGTTTGAAACACTCTTTTTGTAGTGTGTGTAAGTGGACATTTGGAGCGCTTTCCGGCCTAAGGTGAAAAAGGAAATATCTTCCCATAAAAACTAGACAGAAGCATTCTCAGAAACTTACTCGTGATGTGTGTCCTCAACTAAAGGAGTAGAACCTTTCTATTCATAGAGAAGTTTTGAAACGCTCTTTTTGTGGAATCTCCAAGTGGATATTTGGCTAGTTTTGAGGATTTCGTTGGAAGCGGGAATTCATACAAATTGCAGACTGCAGCGTTCTGAGAAACATCTTTGTGATGTTTGTATTCAGGACACAGAGTTGAACATTCCCTATCATAGAGCAGGTTTGAATCACTCCTTTTGTAGTATCTGGAAGTGGACATTTGGAGCGCTTTCAGGCCTATGTTGGAAAAGGAAATATCTTCCCATAACAACTAGACAGAAGCATTCTCAGAAACTTATTTGAGATGTGTGTACTCAACTAAGAGAATTGAACCACCGTTTTGAAGGAGCAGTTTTGAAACACTCTTTTTCTGGAATCTGCAAGTGGATATTTGGCTAGCTTTGGGGATTTCGCTGGAAGCGGGAATACATATAAAAAGCACACAGCAGCGTTCTGAGAAACTGCTTTCTGATGTTTGCATTCAAGTCAAAAGTTGAACACTCCCTTTCATAGAGCAGTCCTGAAACACTCCTTTTGTAGTATCTGGAACTGGACTTTTGGAGCGCTTTCAGGGCTAAGGTGAAAAAGGAAATATCTTCCCATAAAAACTGGACAGAAGCATTCTCAGAAACTTGTTTATGCTGTATCTACTCAACTAACAAAGTTGAACCTTTCTTTTGATAGAGCAGTTTTGAAATGGTCTTTTTGTGGAATCTGCAAGTGGATATTTGGCTAGTTTTGAGGATTTCGTTGGAAGCGGGAATTCATACAAATTGCAGACTGCAGCGTTCTGAGAAACATCTTTGTGATGTTTGTATTCAGGACACAGAGTTGAACATTCCCTATCATAGAGCAGGTTGGAATCACTCCTTTTGTAGTATCTGGAAGTGGACATTTGGAGCGCTTTCAGGCCTATTTTGGAAAGGGAAATATCTTCCCGTAACAACTATGCAGAAGCATTCTCAGAAACTTGTTTGTGATGTGTGCCCTCTACTGACAGATTTGAACCTTTCTTTTCATAGAGCAGTTTTGAAACACTCTTTTTGTAGAATCTGCAAGAGGATATTTGCATAGCTTTGAGGATTTCGTGGGAAACGGGATTGTCTTCAGGTTAAATCTGGACAGAAGCATTCTCAGAAACTTCTTTGGGATGTTTGCATTCAAGTCACAGAGTAGAACATTCCCTTTGGTAGAGCAGGTTTGAAACACTCTTTTTGTAGTATCTGGAAGTGGACATTTGGAGCGCTTTCAGGCCTATGTTGGAAAGGGAAATATCTTCCCGTAACAACTAGGCAGAAGCATTCTCTGAAACTTATTTGAGATGTGTGTACTCAACTAAGAGAATTGAACCACCGTTTTGAAGGAGCAGTTTGGAAACACTCTTTTTCTGGAATCTGCAAGAGGATATTTGCCTAGCTTTGAGGATTTCGTTGGAAAAGGGATTGTCTTCAGATCAAATCTAGACAGAAGCATTCTCAGAAACTTCTTTGGGATGTTTGCATTCAAGTCACAGAGTAGAACATTCCTTTGGTAGAGCAGGTTTGAAACACTCTTTTTTTAGTATATGGAAGTGGACATTTGGAGCGCTTTCAGGCCTACGTTGGAAAAGGAAATATCTTCCCATAACAACTAGACAGAAGCATTCTCAGAAACTAGTTTCTGATGTGTGTCCTCAACTAACACAGTTGAACATTTCTTTAGACAGAACAGTTTTGAAACACTCTTTTTGTGGAATCTGCAAGTGGATATTTGGCTAGATTTGAGCATTTCGTTGGAAACGGGATTACATATAAAAAGCAGACAGCGGCATTCTCAGAAAGTTCTTTGTGATGATTGCATTCAAGTCACAGAATTGAACATTCCCTTTCACAGAGCAGGTTTGAAACACTCTTTTTGTAGTGTGTGTAAGCGGACATTTGCAGCGCTTTCCGGCCTAAGGTGAAAAAGGAAATATCTTCCCATAAAAACTAGACAGAAGCATTCTCAGAAACTTACTCGTGATGTGTGTCCTCAACTAAAGGAGTAGAACCTTTCTATTCATAGAGAAGTTTTGAAACGCTCTTTTTGTGGAATCTCCAAGTGGATATTTGGCTAGTTTTGAGGATTTCGTTGGAAGCGGGAATTCATACAAATTGCAGACTGCAGCGTTCTGAGAAACATCTTTGTGATGTTTGTATTCAGGACACAGAGTTGAACATTCCCTATCATAGAGCAGGTTGGAATCACTCCTTTTGTAGTATCTGGAAGTGGACATTTGGAGCGCTTTCAGGCCTATGTTGGAAAAGGAAATATCTTCCCATAACAACTAGACAGAAGCATTCCCAGAAACTTATTTGAGATGTGTGTACTCAACTAAGAGAATTGAACCACCGTTTTGAAGGAGCAGTTTGGAAACACTCTTTTTCTGGAATCTGCAAGTGGATATTTGGCTAGCTTTGGGGATTTCGCTGGAAGCGGGAATACATATAAAAAGCACACAGCAGCGTTCTGAGAAACTGCTTTCTGATGTTTGCATTCAAGTCAAAAGTTGAACACTCCCTTTCATAGAGCAGTCTTGAAACACCCCTTTTGTAGTATCTGGAACTGGACTTTTGGAGCGATTTCAGGGCTAAGGTGAAAAAGGAAATATCTTCCCATAAAAACTGGACAGAAGCATTCTCAGAAACTTGTTTATGCTGTATCTACTCAACTAACAAAGTTGAACCTTTCTTTTGATAGAGCAGTTTTGAAATGGTCTTTTTGTGGAATCTGCAAGTGGATATTTGGCTAGTTTTGAGGATTTCGTTGGAAGCGGGAATTCATACAAATTGCAGACTGCAGCGTTCTGAGAAACATATTTGTGATGTTTGTATTCAGGACACAGAGATGAACATTCCCTATCATAGAGCAGGGTGGAATCACTCCTTTTGTAGTATCTGGAAGTGGACATTTGGAGCGCTTTCAGGCCTATGTTGAAAAAGGAAATATCTTCCCATAACAACTAGACACAAGCATTCTCAGAAACTTGTTTGTGATGTGTGCCCTCTACTGACAGAGTTGAACCTTTCTTTTCATAGAGCAGTTTTGAAACACTCTTTTTGTAGAATCTGCAAGAGGATATTTGCATAGCTTTGAGGATTTCGTGGGAAACGGGATTGTCTTCAGGTAAAATCTAGACAGAAGCATTCTCAGAAACTTCTTTGGGATGTTTGCATTCAAGTCACAGAGTAGAACATTCCCTTTGGTAGAGCAGGTTTGAAACACTCTTTTTGTAGTATCTGGAAGTGGACATTTGGAGCGCTTTCAGGCCCATGTTGGAAAGGGAAATATCTTCCCGTAACAACTAGGCAGAAGCATTCTCAGAAACTTATTTGAGATGTGTGTACTCAACTAAGAGAATTGAACCACCGTTTTGAAGGAGCAGTTTTGAAACACTCTTTTTCTGGAATCTGCAAGAGTATATTTGCCTAGCCTTGAGGATTTCGTTGGAAACGGGATTGTCTTCAGAGAAAATCTAGACAGAAGCATTCTCAGAAACTTCTTTGGGATGCTTGCATTCCAGTCACAGAGTAGAACATTCCCTTTGGTAGAGCAGGTTTGAAACACTCTTTTTTTAGTATCTGGAAGTGGACATTTGGAGCGCTTTCAGGCCTACGTTGGAAAAGGAAATATCTTCCCATAACAACTAGACAGAAGCATTCTCAGAAACTAGTTTCTGATGTGTGTCCTCAACTAACACAGTTGAACATTTCTTTAGACAGAACAGTTTTGAAACACTCTTTTTGTGGAATCTGCAAGTGGCTATTTGGCTAGATTTGAGGATTTCGTTGGAAACGGGATTACATATAAAAAGCAGTCAGCAGCATTCTCAGAAAGTTCTTTGTGATGATTGCATTCAAGTCACAGAATTGAACATTCCCTTTCACAGAGCAGGTTTGAAACACTCTTTTTGTAGTGTGTGTAAGTGGACATTTGGAGCACTTACCGGCCTAAGGTGAAAAAGGAAATATCTTCCCATAAAAACTAGACAGAAGCATTCTCAGAAACTTACTCGTGATGTGTGTCCTCAACTAAAGGAGTAGAACCTTTCTATTCATAGAGAAGTTTTGAAACGCTCTTTTTGTGGAATCTCCAAGTGGATATTTGGTTAGTTTTGAGGATTTCGTTGGAAGCGGGAATTCATACAAATTGCAGACTGCAGCGTTCTGAGAAACATCTTTGTGATGTTTGTATTCAGGACACAGAGTTGAACATTCCCTATCATAGAGCAGGTTTGAATCACTCCTTTTGTAGTATCTGGAAGTGGACATTTGGAGCGCTTTCAGGCCTATGTTGGAAAAGGAAATATCTTCCCATAACAACTAGACAGAAGCATTCTCAGAAACTTATTTGAGATGTGTCTACTCAACTAAGAGAATTGAACCACCGTTTTGAAGGAGCAGTTTTGAAACACTCTTTTTGTGGAATCTGCAAGTGGATATTTGGCTAGCTTTGGGGATTTCGCTGGAAGCGGGAATACATATAAAAAGCACACAGCAGCGTTCTGAGAAACTGCTTTCTGATGTTTGCATTCAAGTCAAAAGTTGAACACTCCCTTTCATAGAGCAGTCTTGAAACACCCCTTTTGTAGTATCTGGAACTGGACTTTTGGAGCGATTTCAGGGCTAAGGTGAAAAAGGAAATATCTTCCCATAAAAACTGGACAGAAGCATTCTCAGAAACTTGTTTATGCTGTATCTACTCAACTAACAAAGTTGAACCTTTCTTTTGATAGAGCAGTTTTGAAATGGTCTTTTTGTGGAATCTGCAAGTGGATATTTGGCTAGTTTTGAGGATTTCGTTGGAAGCGGGAATTCATACAAATTGCAGACTGCAGCGTTCTGAGAAACATCTTTGTGATGTTTGTATTCAGGACAGAGAGTTGAACATTCCCTATCATAGAGCAGGTTGGAATCACTCCTTTTGTAGTATCTGGAAGTGGACATTTGGAGCGCTTTCAGGCCTATTTTGGAAAGGGAAATATCTTCCCGTAACAACTATGCAGAAGCATTCTCAGAAACTTGTTTGTGATGTGTGCCCTCTACTGACAGAGTTGAACCTTTCTTTTCATAGAGCAGTTTTGAAACACTCTTTTTGTAGAATCTGCAAGAGGATATTTGCATAGCTTTGAGGATTTCGTGGGAAACGGGATTGTCTTCAGGTAAAATCTAGACAGAAGCATTCTCAGAAACTTCTTTGGGATGTTTACATTCAAGTCACAGAGTAGAACATTCCCTTTGGTAGAGCAGGTTTGAAACCCTCTTTTTGTAGTATCTGGAAGTGGACATTTGGAGCGCTTTCTGGCCCATGTTGCAAAGGGAAATATCTTCCCGTAACAACTAGGCAGAAGCATTCTCAGAAACTTATTTGAGATGTGTGTACTCAACTAAGAGAATTGAACCACCGTTTTGAAGGAGCAGTTTTGAAACACTCTTTTTCTGGAATCTGCAAGAGGATATTTGCCTAGCCTTGAGGATTTCGTTGGAAACGGGATTGTCTTCAGATCAAATCTAGACAGAAGCATTCTCAGAAACTTCTTTGGGATGTTTGCATTCAAGTCACAGAGTAGAACATTCCCTTTGGTAGAGCAGGTTTGAAACACTCTTTTTTTAGTATATGGAAGTGGACATTTGGAGCGCTTTCAGGCCTACGTTGGAAAAGGAAATATCTTCCCATAACAATTAGACAGAAGCATTCTCAGAAACTAGTTTCTGATGTGTGTCCTCAACTAACACAGTTGAACATTTCTTTAGACAGAACAGTTTTGAAACACTCTTTTTGTGGAATCTGCAAGTGGCTATTTGGCTAGATTTGAGGATTTCGTTGGAAACGGGATTACATATAAAAAGCAGTCAGCAGCATTCTCAGAAAGTTCTTTGTGATGATTGCATTCAAGTCACAGAATTGAACATTCCCTTTCACAGAGCAGGTTTGAAACACTCTTTTTGTAGTGTGTGTAAGTGGACATTTGGAGCGCTTTCCGGCCTAAGGTGAAAAAGGACATATCTTCCCATAAAAACTAGACAGAAGCATTCTCAGAAACTTACTCGTGATGTGTGTCCTCAACTAAAGGAGTAGAACCTTTGTTTTCATAGAGAAGTTTTGAAACGCTCTTTTTGTGGAATCTGCAAGTGGATATTTGGCTAGTTTGGAGGATTTCGTTGGAAGCGGGAATTCATACAAATTGCAGACTGCAGCATTCTCAGAAACTTATTTGAGATGTGTGTACTCAACTAAGAGAATTGAACCACCGTTTTGAAGGAGCAGTTTTGAAACACTCTTTTTCTGGAATCTGCAAGTGGATATTTGGCTAGCTTTGGGGATTTCGCTGGAAGCGGGAATACATATAAAAAGCACACAGCAGCATTCTCAGAAACTTATTTGAGATGTGTGTACTCAACTAAGAGAATTGAACCACCGTTTTGAAGGAGCAGTTTTGAAACACTCTTTTCCTGGAATCTGCAAGTGGATATTTGGCTAGCTTTGGGGATTTCGCTGGAAGCGGGAATACATATAAAAAGCACACAGCAGCGTTCTGAGAAACTGCTTTCTGATGTTTGCATTCAAGTCAAAAGTTGAACACTCCCTTTCATAGAGCAGTCTTGAAACACCCCTTTTGTAGTATCTGGAACTGGACTTTTGGAGCGATTTCAGGGCTAAGGTGAAAAAGGAAATATCTTCCCATAAAAACTGGACAGAAGCATTCTCAGAAACTTGTTTATGCTGTATCTACTCAACTAACAAAGTTGAACCTTTCTTTTGATAGAGCAGTTTTGAAATGGTCTTTTTGTGGAATCTGCAAGTGGATATTTGGCTAGTTTTGAGGATTTCGTTGGAAGCGGGAATTCATACAAATTGCAGACTGCAGCGTTCTGAGAAACATCTTTGTGATGTTTGTATTCAGGACACAGAGTTGAACATTCCCTATCATAGAGCAGGTTGGAATCACTCCTTTTGTAGTATCTGGAAGTGGACATTTGGAGCGCTTTCAGGCCTATTTTGGAAAGGGAAATATCTTCCCGTAACAACTATGCAGAAGCATTCTCAGAAACTTGTTTGTGATGTGTGCCCTCTGCTGACAGAGTTGAACCTTTCTTTTCATAGAGCAGTTTTGAAACACTCTTTTTGTAGAATCTGCAAGAGGATATTTGCATAGCTTTGAGGATTTCGTGGGAAACGGGATTGTCTTCAGGTAAAATCTAGACAGAAGCATTCTCAGAAACTTCTTTGGGATGTTTGCATTCAAGTCACAGAGTAGAACATTCCCTTTGGTAGAGCAGGTTTGAAACCCTCTTTTTGTAGTATCTGGAAGTGGACATTTGGAGCGCTTTCAGGCCCATGTTGGAAAGGGAAATATCTTCCCGTAACAACTAGGCAGAAGCATTCTCAGAAACTTATTTGAGATGTGTGTACTCAACTAAGAGAATTGAACCACCGTTTTGAAGGAGCAGTTTTGAAACACTCTTTTTCTGGAATCTGCAAGAGGATATTTGCCTAGCTTTGAGGATTTCGTTGGAAACGGGATTGTCTTCAGATCAAATCTAGACAGAAGCATTCTCAGAAACTTCTTTGGGATGTTTGCATTCAAGTCACAGAGTAGAACATTCCCTTTGGTAGAGCAGGTTTGAAACACTCTTTTTTTAGTATATGGAAGTGGACATTTGGAGCGCTTTCAGGCCTACGTTGGAAAAGGAAATATCTTCCCATAACAACTAGACAGAAGCATTCTCAGAAACTAGTTTCTGATGTGTGTCCTCAACTAACACAGTTGAACTTTTCTTTAGACAGAACAGTTTTGAAACACTCTTTTTGTGGAATTTGCAAGTGGATATTTGGCTAGATTTGAGGATTTCGTAGGAAACGGGATTACATATAAAAAGCAGACAGCAGCATTCTCAGAAAGTTCTTTGTGATGATTGCATTCAAGTCACAGAATTGAACATTCCCTTTCACAGAGCAGGTTTGAAACACTCTTTTTGTAGTGTGTGTAAGTGGACATTTGGAGCGCTTTCCGGCCTAAGGTGAAAAAGGAAATATCTTCCCATAAAAACTAGACAGAAGCATTCTCAGAAACTTACTCGTGATGTGTGTACTCAACTAAAGGAGTAGAACCTTTCTTTTCATAGAGAAGTTTTGAAACGCTCTTTTTGTGGACTCTGCAAGTGGATATTTGGCTAGTTTGGAGGATTTCGTTGGAAGCGGGAATTCATACAAATTGCAGACTGCAGCGTTCTGAGAAACATCTTTGTGATGTTTGTATTCAGGACACAGAGTTGAACATTCCCTATCATAGAGCAGGTTGGAATCACTCCTTTTGTAGTATCTGGAAGTGGACATTTGGAGCGCTTTCAGGCCTATGTTGGAAAAGGAAATATCTTCCCATAACAACTAGACAGAAGCATTCTCAGAAACTTATTTGAGATGTGTGTACTCAACTAAGAGAATTGAACCACCGTTTTGAAGGAGCAGTTTTGAAACACTCTTTTTCTGGAATCTGCACGTGGATATTTGGCTAGCTTTGGGGATTTCGCTGGAAGCGGGAATACATATAAAAAGCACACAGCAGCGTTCTGAGAAACTGCTTTCTGATGTTTGCATTCAAGTCAAAAGTTGAACACTCCCTTTCATAGAGCAGTCTTGAAACACCCCTTTTGTAGTATCTGGAACTGGACTTTTGGAGCGATTTCAGGGCTAAGGTGAAAAAGGAAATATCTTCCCATAAAAACTGGACAGAAGCATTCTCAGAAACTTGTTTATGCTGTATCTACTCAACTAACAAAGTTGAACCTTTCTTTTGATAGAGCAGTTTTGAAATGGTCTTTTTGTGGAATCTGCAAGTGGATATTTGGCTAGTTTTGAGGATTTCGTTGGAAGCGGGAATTCATACAAATTGCAGACTGCAGCGTTCTGAGAATCATCTTTGTGATGTTTGTATTCAGGACACAGAGATGAACATTCCCTATCATAGAGTAGGTTGGAATCACTCCTTTTGTAGTATCTGGAAGTGGACATTTGGAGCGCTTTCAGTCCTATGTTGAAAAAAGAAATATCTTCCCATAAGAACTAGACACAAGCATTCTCAGAAACTTGTTTGTGATGTGTGCCCTCTACTGACAGAGTTGAACCTTTCTTTTCATAGAGCAGTTTTGAAACACTCTTTTTGTAGAATCTGCAAGAGGATATTTGCATAGCTTTGAGGATTTCGTGGGAAACGGGATTGTCTTCAGGTAAAATCTAGACAGAAGCATTCTCAGAAACTTCTTTGGGATGTTTGCATTCAAGTCACAGAGTAGAACATTCCCTTTGGTAGAGCAGGTTTGAAACACTCTTTTTGTAGTATCTGGAAGTGGACATTTGGAGCGCTTTCAGGCCCATGTTGGAAAGGGAAATATCTTCCCGTAACAACTAGGCAGAAGCATTCTCAGAAACTTATTTGAGATGTGTGTACTCAACTAAGAGAATTGAACCACCGTTTTGAAGGAGCAGTTTTGAAACACTCTTTTTCTGGAATCTGCAAGAGTATATTTGCCTAGCCTTGAGGATTTCGTTGGAAACGGGATTGTCTTCAGAGAAAATCTAGACAGAAGCATTCTCAGAAACTTCTTTGGGATGTTTGCATTCAAGTCACAGAGTAGAACATTCCCTTTGGTAGAGCAGGTTTGAAACACTCTTTTTTTAGTATATGGAAGTGGACATTTGGATCGCTTTCAGGCCTACGTTGGAAAAGGAAATATCTTCCCATAACAACTAGACAGAAGCATTCTCAGAAACTAGTTTCTGATGTGTGTCCTCAACTAACACAGTTGAACATTTCTTTAGACAGAACAGTTTTGAAACTCTCTTTTTGTGGAATCTGCAAGTGGCTATTTGGCTAGATTTGAGGATTTCGTTGGAAACGGGATTACATATAAAAAGCAGACAGCCAGCATTCTCAGAAAGTTCTTTGTGATGATTGCATTCAAGTCACAGTAATTGAACATTCCCTTTCACAGTAGCAGGTTTGAAACACTCTTTTTGTAGTGTGTGTAAGTGGACATTTGGAGCACTTTCCGGCCTAAGGTGAAAAAGGAAATATCTTCCCATAAAAACTAGACAGAGCATTCTCAGAAACTTACTCGTGATGTGTGTCCTCAACTAAAGGAGTAGAACCTTTCTTTTCATAGAGAAGTTTTGAAACGCTCTTTTTGTGGAATCTGCAAGTGGATATTTGGCTAGTTTTGAGGATTTCGTTGGAAGCGGGAATTCATACAAATTGCAGACTGCAGCGTTCTGAGAAACATCTTTGTGATGTTTGTATTCAGGACACAGAGTTGAACATTCCCTATCATAGAGCAGGTTTGAATCACTCCTTTTGTAGTATCTGGAAGTGGACATTTGGAGCGCTTTCAGGCTTATGTTGGAAAAGGAAATATCTTCCCATAACAACTAGACAGAAGCATTCTCAGAAACTTATTTGAGATGTGTGTACTCAACTAAGAGAATTGAACCACCGTTTTGAAGGAGCAGTTTTGAAACACTCTTTTTCTGGAATCTGCAAGTGGATATTTGGCTAGCTTTTGGGATTTCGCTGGAAGCGGGAATACAT
Organism: Homo sapiens; assembly: GCF_000001405.40. Lineage (NCBI taxonomy): Eukaryota > Metazoa > Chordata > Mammalia > Primates > Hominidae > Homo > Homo sapiens. The sequence goes on from NC_000018.10 coordinate 20,538,530, forward strand.
CTAAAAAGCACACAGCAGCGTTCTGAGAAACTGCTTTCTGATGTTTGCATTCAAGTCAAAAGTTGAACACTCCCTTTCATAGAGCAGTCCTGAAACACTCCTTTTGTAGTATCTGGAACTGGACTTTTGGAGCGCTTTCAGGGCTAAGGTGAAAAAGGAAATATCTTCCCATAAAAACTGGACAGAAGCATTCTCAGAAACTTGGTTATGCTGTATCTACTCAACTAACAAAGTTGAACCTTTCTTTTGATAGAGCAGTTTTGAAATGGTCTTTTTGTGGAATCTGCAAGTGGATATTTGGCTAGTTTTGAGGATTTCGTTGGAAGCGGGAATTCATACAAATTGCAGACTGCCAGCGTTCTGAGAACATCTTTGTGATGTTTGTATTCAGGACAGAGAGTTGAACATTCCCTATCATAGAGCAGGTTGGAATCACTCCTTTTGTAGTATCTGGAAGTGGACATTTGGAGCGCTTTCAGGCCTATGTTGAAAAAGGAAATATCTTCCCATAACAACTAGACACAGCATTCTCAGAAACTTGTTTGTGATGTGTGCCCTCTACTGACAGAGTTGAACCTTTCTTTTCATAGAGCAGTTTTGAAACACTCTTTTTGTAGAATCTGCAAGAGGATATTTGCATAGCTTTGAGGATTTCGTGGGAAACGGGATTGTCTTCAGGTAAAATCTAGACAGAAGCATTCTCAGAAACTTCTTTGGGATGTTTGCATTCAAGTCACAGAGTAGAACATTCCCTTTGGTAGAGCAGGTTTGAAACACTCTTTTTGTAGTATCTGGAAGTGGACATTTGGAGCGCTTTCAGGCCCATGTTGGAAAGGGAAATATCTTCCCGTAACAACTAGGCAGAAGCATTCTCAGAAACTTATTTGAGATGTGTGTACTCAACTAAGAGAATTGAACCACCGTTTTGAAGGAGCAGTTTTGAAACACTCTTTTTCTGGAATCTGCAAGAGGATATTTGCCTAGCTTTGAGGATTTCGTTGGAAACGGGATTGTCTTCAGATCAAATCTAGACAGAAGCATTCTCAGAAACTTCTTTGGGATGTTTGCATTCAAGTCACAGAGTAGAACATTCCCTTTGGTAGAGCAGGTTTGAAACACCCTTTTTTTAGTATATGGAAGTGGACATTTGGAGCGCTTTCAGGTCTACGTTGGAAAAGGAAATATCTTCCCATAACAACTAGACAGAAGCATTCTCAGAAACTAGTTTCTGATGTGTGTCCTCAACTAACACAGTTGAACATTTCTTTAGACAGAACAGTTTTGAAACACTCTTTTTGTGGAATCTGCAAGTGGCTATTTGGCTAGATTTGAGGATTTCGTTGGAAACGGGATTACATATAAAAAGCAGACAGCGGCATTCTCAGAAAGTTCTTTGTGATGATTGCATTCAAGTCACAGAATTGAACATTCCCTTTCACAGAGCAGGTTTGAAACACTCTTTTTGTAGTGTGTGTAAGTGGACATTTGGAGCACTTACCGGCCTAAGGTGAAAAAGGAAATAATCTTCCCATAAAAACTAGACAGAAGTATTCTCAGAAACTTACTCTTGATGTGTGTCCTCAACTAAAGGAGTAGAACCTTTCTTTCATAGAGAAGTTTTGAAACGCTCTTTTTGTGGAATCTGCAAGTGGATATTTGGCTAGTTTGGAGGATTTCGTTGGAAGCGGGAATTCATACAAATTGCAGACTGCAGCGTTCTGAGAAACATCTTTGTGATGTTTGTATTCAGGACACAGGGTTGAACATTCCCTATCATAGAGCAGGTTGGAATCACTCCTTTTGTAGTATCTGGAAGTGGACATTTGGAGCGCTTTCAGGCCTATGTTGGAAAAGGAAATATCTTCCCATAACAACTAGACAGAAGCATTCTCAGAAACTTATTTGAGATGTGTGTACTCAACTAAGAGAATTGAACCACCGTTTTGAAGGAGCAGTTTTGAAACACTCTTTTTCTGGAATCTGCAAGTGGATATTTGGCTAGCTTTGGGGATTTCGCTGGAAGCGGGAATACATATAAAAAGCACACAGCAGCGTTCTGAGAAACTGCTTTCTGATGTTTGCATTCAAGTCAAAAGTTGAACACTCCCTTTCATAGAGCAGTCTTGAAACACCCCTTTTGTAGTATCTGGAACTGGACTTTTGGAGCGATTTCAGGGCTAAGGTGAAAAAGGAAATATCTTCCCATAAAAACTGGACAGAAGCATTCTCAGAAACTTGTTTATGCTGTATCTACTCAACTAACAAAGTTGAACCTTTCTTTTGATAGAGCAGTTTTGAAATGGTCTTTTTGTGGAATCTGCAAGTGGATATTTGGCTAGTTTTGAGGATTTCGTTGGAAGCGGGAATTCATACAAATTGCAGACTGCAGCGTTCTGAGAAACATCTTTGTGATGTTTGTATTCAGGACAGAGAGTTGAACATTCCCTATCATAGAGCAGGTTGGAATCACTCCTTTTGTAGTATCTGGAAGTGGACATTTGGAGCGCTTTCAGGCCTATGTTGAAAAAGGAAATATCTTCCCATAACAACTAGACACAAGCATTCTCAGAAACTTGTTTGTGATGTGTGCCCTCTACTGACAGAGTTGAACCTTTCTTTTCATAGAGCAGTTTTGAAACACTCTTTTTGTAGAATCTGCAAGAGGATATTTGCATAGCTTTGAGGATTTCGTGGGAAACGGGATTGTCTTCAGGTAAAATCTAGACAGAAGCATTCTCAGAAACTTCTTTGGGATGTTTGCATTCAAGTCACAGAGTAGAACATTCCCTTTGGTAGAGCAGGTTTGAAACACTCTTTTTGTAGTATCTGGAAGTGGACATTTGGAGCGCTTTCAGGCCTATGTTGGAAAGGGAAATATCTTCCCGTAACAACTAGGCAGAAGCATTCTCAGAAACTTATTTGAGATGTGTGTACTCAACTAAGAGAATTGAACCACCGTTTTGAAGGAGCAGTTTTGAAACACTCTTTTTCTGGAATCTGCAAGAGTATATTTGCCTAGCCTTGAGGATTTCGTTGGAAACGGGATTGTCTTCAGATAAAATCTAGACAGAAGCATTCTCAGAAACTTCTTTGGGATGTTTGCATTCAAGTCACAGAGTAGAACATTCCCTTTGGTAGAGCAGGTTTGAAACACTCTTTTTGTAGTGTGTGTAAGTGGACATTTGGAGCGCTTTCAGGCCTACGTTGGAAAAGGAAATATCTTCCCATAACAACTAGACAGAAGCATTCTCAGAAACTAGTTTCTGATGTGTGTCCTCAACTAACACAGTTGAACATTTCTTTAGACAGAACAGTTTTGAAACACTCTTTTTGTGGAATCTGCAAGTGGATATTTGGCTAGATTTGAGGATTTCGTTGGAAACGGGATTACATATAAAAAGCAGACAGCAGCATTCTCAGAAAGTTCTTTGTGATGATTGCATTCAAGTCACAGAATTGAACATTCCCTTTCACAGAGCAGGTTTGAAAGACTCTTTTTGTAGTGTGTGTAAGTGGACATTTGGAGCACTTACCGGCCTAAGGTGAAAAAGGAAATATCTTCCCATAAAAACTAGACAGAAGCACTCTCAGAAACTTACTCGTGATGTGTGTCCTCAACTAAAGGAGTAGAACCTTTCTTTTCATAGAGAAGTTTTGAAACGCTCTTTTTGTGGAATCTGCAAGTGGATATTTGGCTAGTTTGGAGGATTTCGTTGGAAGCGGGAATTCATACAAATTGCAGACTGCAGCGTTCTGAGAAACATCTTTGTGATGTTTGTATTCAGGACACAGAGTTGAACATTCCCTATCATAGAGCAGGTTTGAATCACTCCTTTTGTAGTATCTGGAAGTGGACATTTGGAGCGCTTTCAGGCCTATGTTGGAAAAGGAAATATCTTCCCATAACAACTAGACAGAAGCATTCTCAGAAACTTATTTGAGATGTGTGTACTCAACTAAGAGAATTGAACCACCGTTTTGAAGGAGCAGTTTTGAAACACTCTTTTTCTGGAATCTGCAAGTGGATATTTGGCTAGCTTTGGGGATTTCGCTGGAAGCGGGAATACATATAAAAAGCACACAGCAGCGTTCTGAGAAACTGCTTTCTGATGTTTGCATTCAAGTCAAAAGTTGAACACTCCCTTTCATAGAGCAGTCTTGAAACACCCCTTTTGTAGTATCTGGAACTGGACTTTTGGAGCGATTTCAGGGCTAAGGTGAAAAAGGAAATATCTTCCCATAAAAACTGGACAGAAGCATTCTCAGAAACTTGTTTATGCTGTATCTACTCAACTAACAAAGTTGAACCTTTCTTTTGATAGAGCAGTTTTGAAATGGTCTTTTTGTGGAATCTGCAAGTGGATATTTGGCTAGTTTTGAGGATTTCGTTGGAAGCGGGAATTCATACAAATTGCAGACTGCAAGCGTTCTGAGAAACATCTTTGTGATGTTTGTATTCAGGACACAGAGTTGAACATTCCCTATCATAGAGCAGGTTGGAATCACTCCTTTTGTAGTATCTGGAAGTGGACATTTGGAGCGCTTTCAGGCCTATTTTGGAAAGGGAAATATCTTCCCGTAACAACTATGCAGAAGCATTCTCAGAAACTTGTTTGTGATGTGTGCCCTCTACTGACAGAGTTGAACCTTTCTTTTCATAGAGTAGTTTTGAAACACTCTTTTTGTAGAATCTGCAAGAGGATATTTGCATAGCTTTGAGGATTTCGTGGGAAACGGGATTGTCTTCAGGTAAAATCTAGACAGAAGCATTCTCAGAAACTTCTTTGGGATGTTTGCATTCAAGTCACAGAGTAGAACATTCCCTTTGGTAGAGCAGGTTTGAAACCCTCTTTTTGTAGTATCTGGAAGTGGACATTTGGAGCGCTTTCAGGCCCATGTTGGAAAGGGAAATATCTTCCCGTAACAACGAGGCAGAAGCATTCTCAGAAACTTATTTGAGATGTGTGTACTCAACTAAGAGAATTGAACCACCGTTTTGAAGGAGCAGTTTTGAAACCCTCTTTTTCTGGAATCTGCAAGAGTATATTTGCCTAGCCTTGAGGATTTCGTTGGAAACGGGATTGTCTTCAGATAAAATCTAGACAGAAGCATTCTCAGAAACTTCTTTGGGATGTTTGCATTCAAGTCACAGAGTAGAACATTCCCTTTGGTAGAGCAGGTTTGAAACACTCTTTTTTTAGTATATGGAAGTGGACATTTGGAGCGCTTTCAGGCCTACGTTGGAAAAGGAAATATCTTCCCATAACAACTAGACAGAAGCATTCTCAGAAACTAGTTTCTGATGTGTGTCCTCAACTAACACAGTTGTACATTTCTTTAGACAGAACAGTTTTGAAACACTCTTTTTGTGGAATCTGCAAGTGGATACTGGGCTAGATTTGAGGATTTCGTTGGAAACGGGATTACATATAAAAAGCAGTCAGCAGCATTCTCAGAAAGTTCTTTGTGATGATTGCATTCAAGTCACAGAATTGAACATTCCCTTTCACAGAGCAGGTTTGAAAGACTCTTTTTGTAGTGTGTGTAAGTGGACATTTGGAGCACTTACCGGCCTAAGGTGAAAAAGGAAATATCTTCCCATAAAAACTAGACAGAAGCATTCTCAGAAACTTACTCGTGATGTGTGTCCTCAACTAAAGGAGTAGAACCTTTCTTTTCATAGAGAAGTTTTGAAACGCTCTTTTTGTGGAATCTGCAAGTGGATATTTGGCTAGTTTTGAGGATTTCGTTGGAAGCGGGAATTCATACAAATTGCAGACTGCAGCGTTCTGAGAAACATCTTTGTGATGTTTGTATTCAGGACACAGAGTTGAACATTCCCTATCATAGAGCAGGTTTGAATCACTCCTTTTGTAGTATCTGGAAGTGGACATTTGGAGCGCTTTCAGGCCTATGTTGGAAAAGGAAATATCTTCCCATAACAACTAGACAGAAGCATTCTCAGAAACTTATTTGAGATGTGTGTACTCAACTAAGAGAATTGAACCACCGTTTTGAAGGAGCAGTTTTGAAACACTCTTTTCCTGGAATCTGCAAGTGGATATTTGGCTAGCTTTGGGGATTTCGCTGGAAGCGGGAATACATATAAAAAGCACACAGCAGCGTTCTGAGAAACTGCTTTCTGATGTTTGCATTCAAGTCAAAAGTTGAACACTCCCTTTCATAGAGCAGTCTTGAAACACCCCTTTTGTAGTATCTGGAACTGGACTTTTGGAGCGATTTCAGGGCTAAGGTGAAAAAGGAAATATCTTCCCATAAAAACTGGACAGAAGCATTCTCAGAAACTTGTTTATGCTGTATCTACTCAACTAACAAAGTTGAACCTTTCTTTTGATAGAGCAGTTTTGAAATGCTCTTTTTGTGGAATCTGCAAGTGGATATTTGGCTAGTTTTGAGGATTTCGTTGGAAGCGGGAATTCATACAAATTGCAGACTGCAGCGTTCTGAGAAACATCTTTGTGATGTTTGTATTCAGGACAGAGAGTTGAACATTCCCTATCATAGAGCAGGTTGGAATCACTCCTTTTGTAGTATCTGGAAGTGGACATTTGGAGCGCTTTCAGGCCTATGTTGAAAAAGGAAATATCTTCCCATAACAACTAGACACAAGCATTCTCAGAAACTTGTTTGTGATGTGTGCCCTCTACTGACAGAGTTGAACCTTTCCTTTCATAGAGCAGTTTCGAAACACTCTTTGTGTAGAATCTGCAAGAGGATATTTGCATAAGTTTGAGGATTTCGTTGGAAACGGGATTGTCTTCAGGTAAAATCAAGACAGAAGCATTCTCAGAAACTTCTTTGGGATGTTTGCATTCAAGTCACAGAGTAGAACATTCCCTTTGGTAGAGCAGGTTTGAAACACTCTTTTTGTAGTATCTGGAAGTGGACATTTGGAGCGCTTTCAGGCCTATGTTGGAAAGGGAAATATCTTCCCGTAACAACTAGGCAGAAGCATTCTCAGAAACTTATTTGAGATGTGTGTACTCAACTAAGAGAATTGAACCACCGTTTTGAAGGAGCAGTTTTGAAACACTCTTTTTCTGGAATCTGCAAGAGGATATTTGCCTAGCCTTGAGGATTTCGTTGGAAACGGGATTGTCTTCAGAGAAAATCTAGACAGAAAGCATTCTCAGAAAACTTCTTTGGGATGTTTGCATTCAAGTCACAGAGTAGAACATTCCCTTTGGTAGAGCAGGTGTGAAACACTCTTTTTTTAGTATATGGAAGTGGACATTTGGAGCGCTTTCAGGCCTACGTTGGAAAAGGAAATATCTTCCCATAACAACTAGACAGAAGCATTCTCAGAAACTAGTTTCTGATGTGTGTCCTCAACTAACACAGTTGAACATTTCTTTAGACAGAACAGTTTTGAAACACTCTTTTTGTGGAATCTGCAAGTGGCTATTTGGCTAGATTTGAGGATTTCGTTGGAAACGGGATTACATATAAAAAGCAGTCAGCAGCATTCTCAGAAAGTTCTTTGTGATGATTGCATTCAAGTCACAGAATTGAACATTCCCTTTCACAGAGCAGGTTTGAAACACTCTTTTTGTAGTGTGTGTAAGTGGACATTTGGAGCACTTACCGGCCTAAGGTGAAAAAGGAAATATCTTCCCATAAAAACTAGACAGAAGCATTCTCAGAAACTTACTCGTGATGTGTGTCCTCAACTAAAGGAGTAGAACCTTTCTTTTCATAGAGAAGTTTTGAAACGCTCTTTTTGTGGAATCTGCAAGTGGATATTTGGCTAGTTTTGAGGATTTCGTTGGAAGCGGGAATTCATACAAATTGCAGACTGCAGCATTCTCAGAAACTTGTTTATGCTGTATCTACTCAACTAACAAAGTTGAACCTTTCTTTTGATAGAGCAGTTTTGAAATGCTCTTTTTGTGGAATCTGCAAGTGGATATTTGGCTAGTTTTGAGGATTTCGTTGGAAGCGGGAATTCATACAAATTGCAGACTGCAGCGTTCTGAGAAACATCTTTGTGATGTTTGTATGCAGGACAGAGAGTTGAACATTCCCTATCATAGAGCAGGTTGGAATCACTCCTTTTGTAGTATCTGGAAGTGGACATTTGGAGCGCTTTCTGGCCTATGTTGAAAAAGGAAATATCTTCCCATAACAACTAGACACAAGCATTCTCAGAAACTTGTTTGTGATGTGTGCCCTCTACTGACAGAGTTGAACCTTTCTTTTCATAGAGCAGTTTTGAAACACTCTTTTTGTAGAATCTGCAAGAGGATATTTGCATAGCTTTGAGGATTTCGTGGGAAACGGGATTGTCTTCAGGTAAAATCTAGACAGAAGCATTCTCAGAAACTTCTTTGGGATGTTTGCATTCAAGTCACAGAGTAGAACATTCCCTTTGGTAGAGCAGGTTTGAAACACTCTTTTTGTAGTATCTGGAAGTGGACATTTGGAGCGCTTTCAGACCCATGTTGGAAAGGGAAATATCTTCCCGTAACAACTAGGCAGAAGCATTCTCAGAAACTTATTTGAGATGTGTGTACTCAACTAAGAGAATTGAACCACCGTTTTGAAGGAGCAGTTTTGAAACCCTCTTTTTCTGGAATCTGCAAGAGTATATTTGCCTAGCCTTGAGGATTTCGTTGGAAACGGGATTGTCTTCAGATAAAATCTAGACAGAAGCATTCTCAGAAACTTCTTTGGGATGTTTGCATTCAAGTCACAGAGTAGAACATTCCCTTTGGTAGAGCAGGTTTGAAACACTCTTTTTTTAGTATATGGAAGTGGACATTTGGAGCGCTTTCAGGCCTACGTTGGAAAAGGAAATATCTTCCCATAACAACTAGACAGAAGCATTCTCAGAAACTAGTTTCTGATGTGTGTCCTCAACTAACACAGTTGTACATTTCTTTATACAGAACAGTTTTGAAACACTCTTTTTGTGGAATCTGCAAGTGGATATTGGGCTAGATTTGAGGATTTCGTTGGAAACGGGATTACATATAAAAAGCAGACAGCAGCATTCTCAGAAAGTTCTTTGTGATGATTGCATTCAAGTCACAGAATTGAACATTCCCTTTCACAGAGCAGGTTTGAAACACTCTTTTTGTAGTGTGTGTAAGTGGACATTTGGAGCGCTTTCCGGCCTAAGGTGAAAAAGGAAATATCTTCCCATAAAAACTAGACAGAAGCATTCTCAGAAACTTACTCGTGATGTGTGTCCTCAACTAAAGGAGTAGAACCTTTCTATTCATAGAGAAGTTTTGAAACCCTCTTTTTGTGGAATCTCCAAGTCGATATTTGTCTAGTTTTGAGGATTTCGTTGGAAGCGGGAATTCATACAAATTGCAGACTGCAGCGTTCTGAGAAACATCTTTGTGATGTTTGTATTCAGGACAGAGAGTTGAACATTCCCTATCATAGAGCAGGTTGGAATCACTCCTTTTGTAGTATCTGGAAGTGGACATTTGGAGCACTTTCCGGCCTAAGGTGAAAAAGGAAATATCTTCCCATAACAACTAGACAGAAGCATTCTCAGAAACTTATTTGAGATGTGTGTACTCAACTAAGAGAATTGAACCACCGTTTTGAAGGAGCAGTTTTGAAACACTCTTTTTCTGGAATCTGCAAGTGGATATTTGGCTAGCTTTGGGGATTTCGCTGGAAGCGGGAATACATATAAAAAGCACACAGCAGCGTTCTGAGAAACTGCTTTCTGATGTTTGCATTCAAGTCAAAAGTTGAACACTCCCTTTCATAGAGCAGTCTTGAAACACCCCTTTTGTAGTATCTGGAACTGGACTTTTGGAGCGATTTCAGGGCTAAGGTGAAAAAGGAAATATCTTCCCATAAAAACTGGACAGAAGCATTCTCAGAAACTTGTTTATGCTGTATCTACTCAACTAACAAAGTTGAACCTTTCTTTTGATAGAGCAGTTTTGAAATGGTCTTTTTGTGGAATCTGCAAGTGGATATTTGGCTAGTTTTGAGGATTTCGTTGGAAGCGGGAATTCATACAAATTGCAGACTGCAGCGTTCTGAGAAACATCTTTGTGATGTTTGTATTCAGGACACAGAGTTGAACATTCCCTATCATAGAGCAGGTTTGAATCACTCCTTTTGTAGTATCTGGAAGTGGACATTTGGAGCGCTTTCAGGCCTATGTTGGAAAAGGAAATATCTTCCCATAACAACTAGACAGAAGCATTCTCAGAAACTTATTTGAGATGTGTGTACTCAACTAAGAGAATTGAACCACCGTTTTGAAGGAGCAGTTTTGAAACACTCTTTTTCTGGAATCTGCAAGTGGATATTTGGCTAGCTTTGGGGATTTCGCTGGAGGCGGGAATACATATAAAAAGCACACAGCAGCGTTCTGAGAAACTGCTTTCTGATGTTTGCATTCAAGTCAAAAGTTGAACACTCCCTTTCATAGAGCAGTCCTGAAACACTCCTTTTGTAGTATCTGGAACTGGACTTTTGGAGCGATTTCAGGGCTAAGGTGAAAAAGGAAATATCTTCCCATAAAAACTGGACAGAAGCATTCTCAGAAACTTGTTTATGCTGTATCTACTCAACTAACAAAGTTGAACCTTTCTTTTGATAGAGCAGTTTTGAAATGCTCTTTTTGTGGAATCTGCAAGTGGATATTTGGCTAGTTTTGAGGATTTCGTTGGAAGCGGGAATTCATACAAATTGCAGACTGCAGCGTTCTGAGAAACATCTTTGTGATGTTTGTATTCAGGACAGAGAGTTGAACATTCCCTATCATAGAGCAGGTTGGAATCACTCCTTTTGTAGTATCTGGAAGTGGACATTTGGAGCGCTTTCAGGCCTATGTTGAAAAAGGAAATATCTTCCCATAACAACTAGACACAAGCATTCTCAGAAACTTGTTTGTGATGTGTGCCCTCTACTGACAGAGTTGAACCTTTCTTTTCATAGAGCAGTTTTGAACCACTCTTTTATAGAATCCGCAAGAGGATATTTGCATAGCTTTGAGGATTTCGTGGGAAACGGGATTGTCTTCAGGTAAAATCTAGACAGAAGCATTCTCAGAAACTTCTTTGGGATGTTTGCATTCAAGTCACAGAGTAGAACATTCCCTTTGGTAGAGCAGGTTTGAAACACTCTTTTTGTAGTATCTGGAAGTGGACATTTGGAGCGCTTTCAGGCCTATGTTGGAAAGGGAAATATCTTCCCGTAACAACTAGGCAGAAGCATTCTCAGAAACTTATTTGAGATGTGTGTACTCAACTAAGAGAATTGAACCACCGTTTTGAAGGAGCAGTTTTGAAACACTCTTTTTCTGGAATCTGCAAGAGGATATTTGCCTAGCTTTGAGGATTTCGTTGGAAACGGGATTGTGTTCAGATCAAATCTAGACAGAAGCATTCTCAGAAACTTCTTTGGGATGTTTGCATTCAAGTCACAGAGTAGAACATTCCCTTTGGTAGAGCAGGTTTGAAACACTCTTTTTTTAGTATATGGAAGTGGACATTTTGATCGCTTTCAGGCCTACGTTGGAAAAGGAAATATCTTCCCATAACAACTAGACAGAAGCATTCTCAGAAACTAGTTTCTGATGTGTGTCCTCAACTAACACAGTTGAACTTTTCTTTAGACAGAACAGTTTTGAAACACTCTTTTTGTGGAATCTGCAAGTGGATATTTGGCTAGATTTGAGGATTTCGTTGGAAACGGGATTACATATAAAAAGCAGACAGCAGCATTCTCAGAAAGTTCTTTGTGATGATTGCATTCAAGTCACAGAATTGAACATTCCCTTTCACAGAGCAGGTTTGAAACACTCTTTTTGTAGTGTGTGTAAGTGGACATTTGGAGCACTTACTGGCCTAAGGTGAAAAAGGAAATATCTTCCCATAAAAACTAGACAGAAGCATTCTCAGAAACTTACTCGTGATGTGTGTCCTCAACTAAAGGAGTAGAACCTTTCTATTGATAGAGAAGTTTTGAAACGCTCTTTTTGTGGAATCTCCAAGTGGATATTTGGCTAGTTTTGAGGATTTCGTTGGAAGCGGGAATTCATACAAATTGCAGACTGCAGCATTCTCAGAAACTTGTTTATGCTGTATCTACTCAACTAACAAAGTTGAACCTTTCTTTTGATAGAGCAGTTTTGAAATGCTCTTTTTGTGGAATCTGCAAGTGGATATTTGGCTAGTTTTGAGGATTTCGTTGGAAGCGGGAATTCATACAAATTGCAGACTGCAGCGTTCTGAGAAACACCTTTGTGATGTTTGTATTCAGGACAGAGAGTTGAACATTCCCTATCATAGAGCAGGTTGGAATCACTCCTTTTGTAGTATCTGGAAGTGGACATTTGGAGCGCTTTCAGGCCTATGTTGAAAAAGGAAATATCTTCCCATAACAACTAGACACAAGCATTCTCAGAAACTTGTTTGTGATGTGTGCCCTCTACTGACAGAGTTGAACCTTTCTTTTCATAGAGCAGTTTTGAAACACTCTTTTTGTAGAATCTGCAAGAGGATATTTGCATAGCTTTGAGGATTTCGTGGGAAACGGGATTGTCTTCAGGTAAAATCTAGACAGAAGCATTCTCAGAAACTTCTTTGGGATGTTTGCATTCAAGTCACAGAGTAGAACATTCCCTTTGGTAGAGCAGGTTTGAAACACTCTTTTTGTAGTATCTGGAAGTGGACATTTGGAGCGCTTTCAGGCCTATGTTGGAAAGGGAAATATCTTCCCGTAACAACTAGGCAGAAGCATTCTCAGAAACTTATTTGAGATGTGTGTACTCAACTAAGAGAATTGAACCACCGTTTTGAAGGAGCAGTTTGGAAACACTCTTTTTCTGGAATCTGCAAGAGGATATTTGCCTAGCTTTGAGGATTTCGTTGGAAAAGGGATTGTCTTCAGATCAAATCTAGACAGAAGCATTCTCAGAAACTTCTTTGGGATGTTTGCATTCAAGTCACAGAGTAGAACATTCCCTTTGGTAGAGCAGGTTTGAAACACTCTTTTTTTAGTATATGGAAGTGGACATTTGGAGCGCTTTCAGGCCTACGTTGGAAAAGGAAATATCTTCCCATAACAACTAGACAGAAGCATTCTCAGAAACTAGTTTCTGATGTGTGTCCTCAACTAACACAGTTGTACATTTCTTTAGACAGAACAGTTTTGAAACACTCTTTTTGTGGAATCTGCAAGTGGATATTGGGCTAGATTTGAGGATTTCGTTGGAAACGGGATTACATATAAAAAGCAGACAGCAGCATTCTCAGAAAGTTCTTTGTGATGATTGCATTCAAGTCACAGAATTGAACATTCCCTTTCACAGAGCAGGTTTGAAACACTCTTTTTGTAGTGTGTGTAAGTGGACATTTGGAGCGCTTTCCGGCCTAAGGTGAAAAAGGAAATATCTTCCCATAAAAACTAGACAGAAGCATTCTCAGAAACTTACTCGTGATGTGTGTCCTCAACTAAAGGGGTAGAACCTTTCTTTTCATAGAGAAGTTTTGAAACGCTCTTTTTGTGGAATCTGCAAGTGGATATTTGGCTAGTTTTGAGGATTTCGTTGGAAGCGGGAATTCATACAAATTGCAGACTGCAGCGTTCTGAGAAACATCTTTGTGATGTTTGTATTCAGGACACAGAGTTGAACATTCCCTATCATAGAGCAGGTTTGAATCACTCCTTTTGTAGTATCTGGAAGTGGACATTTGGAGCGCTTTCAGGCCTATGTTGGAAAAGGAAATATCTTCCCATAACAACTAGACAGAAGCATTCTCAGAAACTTATTTGAGATGTGTGTACTCAACTAAGAGAATTGAACCACCGTTTTGAAGGAGCAGTTTTGAAACTCTCTTTTTCTGGAATCTGCAAGTGGATATTTGGCTAGCTTTGGGGATTTCGCTGGAAGCTGGGAATACATATAAAAAGCACACAGCAGCGTTCTGAGAAACTGCTTTCTGATGTTTGCATTCAAGTCAAAAGTTGAACACTCCCTTTCATAGAGCAGTCTTGAAACACCCCTTTTGTAGTATCTGGAACTGGACTTTTGGAGCGATTTCAGGGCTAAGGTGAAAAAGGAAATATCTTCCCATAAAAACTGGACAGAAGCATTCTCAGAAACTTGTTTATGCTGTATCTACTCAACTAACAAAGTTGAACCTTTCTTTTGATAGAGCAGTTTTGAAATGGTCTTTTTGTGGAATCTGCAAGTGGATATTTGGCTAGTTTTTAGGATTTCGTTGGAAGCGGGAATTCATACAAATTGCAGACTGCAGCGTTCTGAGAAACATCTTTGTGATGTTTGTATTCAGGACAGAGAGTTGAACATTCCCTATCATAGAGCAGGTTGGAATCACTCCTTTTGTAGTATCTGGAAGTGGACATTTGGAGCGCTTTCAGGCCTATGTTGAAAAAGGAAATATCTTCCCATAACAACTAGACACAAGCATTCTCAGAAACTTGTTTGTGATGTGTGCCCTCTACTGACAGAGTTGAACCTTTCTTTTCATAGAGCAGTTTTGAAACACTCTTTTTGTAGAATCTGCAAGAGGATATTTGCATAGCTTTGAGGATTTCGTGGGAAACGGGATTGTCTCAGGTAAAATCTAGACAGAAGCATTCTCAGAAACTTCTTTGGGATGTTTGCATTCAAGTCACAGAGCAGAACATTCCCTTTGGTAGAGCAGGTTTGAAACACTCTTTTTGTAGTATCTGGAAGTGGACATTTGGAGCGCTTTCAGGCCTATGTTGGAAAGGGAAATATCTTCCCGTAACAACTAGGCAGAAGCATTCTCAGAAACTTATTTGAGATGTGTGTACTCAACTAAGAGAACTGAACCACTGTTTTGAAGGAGCAGTTTTGAAACCCTCTTTTTCTGGAATCTGCAAGAGTATATTTGCCTAGCCTTGAGGATTTCGTTGGAAACGGGATTGTCTTCAGATAAAATCTAGACAGAAGCATTCTCAGAAACTTCTTTGGGATGTTTGCATTCAAGTCACAGAGTAGAACATTCCCTTTGGTAGAGCAGGTTTGAAACACTCTTTTTTGAGTATCTGGAAGTGGACATTTGGAGCGCTTTCAGGCCTACGTTGGAAAAGGAAATATCTTCCCATAACAACTAGACAGAAGCATTCTCAGAAACTAGTTTCTGATGTGTGTCCTCAACTAACACAGTTGAACTTTTCTTTAGACAGAACAGTTTTGAAACACTCTTTTTGTGGAATCTGCAAGTGGATATTTGGCTAGATTTGAGGATTTCGTTGGAAACGGGATTACATATAAAAAGCAGACAGCCAGCATTCTCAGAAAGTTCTTTGTGATGATTGCATTCAAGTCACAGTAATTGAACATTCCCTTTCACAGTAGCAGGTTTGAAACACTCTTTTTGTAGTGTGTGTAAGTGGACATTTGGAGCACTTTCCGGCCTAAGGTGAAAAAGGAAATATCTTCCCATAAAAACTAGACAGAGCATTCTCAGAAACTTACTCGTGATGTGTGTCCTCAACTAAAGGAGTAGAACCTTTCTTTTCATAGAGAAGTTTTGAAACGCTCTTTTTGTGGAATCTGCAAGTGGATATTTGGCTAGTTTGGAGGATTTCGTTGGAAGCGGGAATTCATACAAATTGCAGACTGCAGCATTCTCAGAAACTTATTTGAGATGTGTGTACTCAACTAAGAGAATTGAACCACCGTTTTGAAGGAGCAGTTTTGAAACTCTCTTTTTCTGGAATCTGCAAGTGGATATTTGGCTAGCTTTGGGGATTTCGCTGGAAGCGGGAATACATATAAAAAGCACACAGCAGCGTTCTGAGAAACTGCTTTCTGATGTTTGCATTCAAGTCAAAAGTTGAACACTCCCTTTCATAGAGCAGTCTTGAAACACCCCTTTTGTAGTATCTGGAACTGGACTTTTGGAGCGATTTCAGGGCTAAGGTGAAAAAGGAAATATCTTCCCATAAAAACTGGACAGAAGCATTCTCAGAAACTTGGTTATGCTGTATCTACTCAACTAACAAAGTTGAACCTTTCTTTTGATAGAGCAGTTTTGAAATGGTCTTTTTGTGGAATCTGCAAGTGGATATTTGGCTAGTTTTGAGGATTTCGTTGGAAGCGGGAATTCATACAAATTGCAGACTGCAGCGTTCTGAGAAACATCTTTGTGATGTTTGTATTCAGGACACAGAGTTGAACATTCCCTATCATAGAGCAGGTTGGAATCACTCCTTTTGTAGTATCTGGAAGTGGACATTTGGAGCGCTTTCAGGCCTATGTTGGAAAAGGAAATATCTTCCCATAACAACTAGACAGAAGCATTCTCAGAAACTTACTCGTGATGTGTGTCCTCCACTAAATGAGTAGAACCTTTCTTTTCATAGAGAAGTTTTGAAACGCTCTTTTTGTAGAATCTGCAAGAGGATATTTGCATAGCTTTGAGGATTTCGTGGGAAACGGGATTGTCTTCAGGTAAAATCTAGACAGAAGCATTCTCAGAAACTTCTTTGGGATGTTTGCATTCAAGTCACAGAGTAGAACATTCCCTTTGGTAGAGCAGGTTTGAAACACTCTTTTTGTAGTATCTGGAAGTGGACATTTGGAGCGCTTTCAGGCCTATGTTGGAAAGGGAAATATCTTCCCGTAACAACTAGGCAGAAGCATTCTCAGAAACTTATTTGAGATGTGTGTACTCAACTAAGAGAATTGAACCACCGTTTTGAAGGAGCAGTTTTGAAACACTCTTTTTCTGGAATCTGCAAGAGTATATTTGCCTAGCCTTGAGGATTTCGTTGGAAACGGGATTGTCTTCAGATAAAATCTAGACAGAAGCATTCTCAGAAACTTCTTTGGGATGTTTGCATTCAAGTCACAGAGTAGAACATTCCCTTTGGTAGAGCAGGTTTGAAACACTCTTTTTTTAGTATATGGAAGTGGACATTTGGAGCGCTTTCAGGCCTACGTTGGAAAAGGAAATATCTTCCCATAACAACTAGACAGAAGCATTCTCAGAAACTAGTTTCTGATGTGTGTCCTCAACTAACACAGTTGAACATTTCTTTAGACAGAACAGTTTTGAAACACTCTTTTTGTGGAATCTGCAAGTGGCTATTTGGCTAGATTTGAGGATTTCGTTGGAAACGGGATTACATATAAAAAGCAGTCAGCGGCATTCTCAGAAAGTTCTTTGTGATGATTGCATTCAAGTCACAGAATTGAACATTCCCTTTCACAGAGCAGGTTTGAAACACTCTTTTTGTAGTGTGTGTAAGTGGACATTTGGAGCGCTTTCCGGCCTAAGGTGAAAAAGGAAATATCTTCCCATAAAAACTAGACAGAAGCATTCTCAGAAACTTACTCGTGATGTGTGTACTCAAGTAAAGGAGTAGAAACTTTCTTTTCATAGAGAAGTTTTGAAACGCTCTTTTTGTGGAATCTGCAAGTGGATATTTGGCTAGTTTTGAGGATTTCGTTGGAAGCGGGAATTCATACAAATTGCAGACTGCAGCGTTCTGAGAAACATCTTTGTGATGTTTGTATTCAGGACACAGAGTTGAACATTCCCTATCATAGAGCAGGTTGGAATCACTCCTTTTGTAGTATCTGGAAGTGGACATTTGGAGCGCTTTCAGGCCTATGTTGGAAAAGGAAATATCTTCCCATAACAACTAGACAGAAGCATTCTCAGAAACTTATTTGAGATGTGTGTACTCAACTAAGAGAATTGAACCACCGTTTTGAAGGAGCAGTTTTGAAACACTCTTTTTCTGGAATCTGCAAGTGGATATTTGGCTAGCTTTGGGGATTTCGCTGGAGGCGGGAATACATATAAAAAGCACACAGCAGCGTTCTGAGAAACTGCTTTCTGATGTTTGCATTCAAGTCAAAAGTTGAACACTCCCTTTCATAGAGCAGTCTTGAAACACCCCTTTTGTAGTATCTGGAACTGGACTTTTGGAGCGATTTCAGGGCTAAGGTGAAAAAGGAAATATCTTCCCATAAAAACTGGACAGAAGCATTCTCAGAAACTTGTTTATGCTGTATCTACTCAACTAACAAAGTTGAACCTTTCTTTTGATAGAGCAGTTTTGAAATGGTCTTTTTGTGGAATCTGCAAGTGGATATTTGGCTAGTTTTGAGGATTTCGTTGGAAGCGGGAATTCATACAAATTGCAGACTGCAGCGTTCTGAGAAACATCTTTGTGATGTTTGTATTCAGGACAGAGAGTTGAACATTCCCTATCATAGAGCAGGTTGGAATCACTCCTTTTGTAGTATCTGGAAGTGGACATTTGGAGCGCTTTCAGGCCTATGTTGAAAAAGGAAATATCTTCCCATAACAACTAGACACAAGCATTCTCAGAAACTTGTTTGTGATGTGTGCCCTCTACTGACAGAGTTGAACCTTTCTTTTCATAGAGCAGTTTTGAAACACTCTTTTTGTAGAATCTGCAAGAGGATATTTGCATAGCTTTGAGGATTTCGTGGGAAACGGGATTGTCTTCAGGTAAAATCTAGACAGAAGCATTCTCAGAAACTTCTTTGGGATGTTTGCATTCAAGTCACAGAGTAGAACATTCCCTTTGGTAGAGCAGGTTTGAAACCCTCTTTTTGTAGTATCTGGAAGTGGACATTTGGAGCGCTTTCAGGCCCATGTTGGAAAGGGAAATATCTTCCCGTAACAACTAGGCAGAAGCATTCTCAGAAACTTATTTGAGATGTGTGTACTCAACTAAGAGAATTGAACCACCGTTTTGAAGGAGCAGTTTGGAAACACTCTTTTTCTGGAATCTGCAAGAGGATATTTGCCTAGCTTTGAGGATTTCGTTGGAAAAGGGATTGTCTTCAGATCAAATCTAGACAGAAGCATTCTCAGAAACTTCTTTGGGATGTTTGCATTCAAGTCACAGAGTAGAACATTCCCTTTGGTAGAGCAGGTTTGAAACACTCTTTTTTTAGTATATGGAAGTGGACATTTGGAGCGCTTTCAGGCCTACGTTGGAAAAGGAAATATCTTCCCATAACAACTAGACAGAAGCATTCTCAGAAACTAGTTTCTGATGTGTGTCCTCAAGTAACACAGTTGAACATTTCTTTAGACAGAACAGTTTTGAAACACTCTTTTTGTGGAATCTGCAAGTGGCTATTTGGCTAGATTTGAGGATTTCTTTGGAAACGGGATTACATATAAAAAGCTGACAGCAGCATTCTCAGAAAGTTCTTTGTGATGATTGCATTCAAGTCACAGAATTGAACATTCCCTTTCACAGAGCAGGTTTGAAACACTCTTTTTGTAGTGTGTGTAAGTGGACATTTGGAGCACTTTCCAGCCTAAGGTGAAAAAGGAAATATCTTCCCATAAAAAATAGACAGAAGCATTCTCAGAAACTTACTCGTGATGTGTGTCCTCAACTAAAGGTGTAGAACCTTTCTTTTCATAGAGAAGTTTTGAAACGCTCTTTTTGTGGAATCTGCAAGTGGATATTTGGCTAGTTTTGAGGATTTCGTTGGAAGCGGGAATTCATACAAATTGCAGACTGCAGCGTTCTGAGAAACATCTTTGTGATGTTTGTATTCAGGACACAGAGTTGAACATTCCCTATCATAGAGCAGGTTGGAATCACTCCTTTTGTAGTATCTGGAAGTGGACATTTGGAGCGCTTTCAGGCCTATGTTGGAAAAGGAAATATCTTCCCATAACAACTAGACAGAAGCATTCTCAGAAACTTATTTGAGATGTGTGTACTCAACTAAGAGAATTGAACCACCGTTTTGAAGGAGCAGTTTTGAAACTCTCTTTTTCTGGAATCTGCAAGTGGATATTTGGCTAGCTTTGGGGATTTCGCTGGAAGCGGGAATACATATAAAAAGCACACAGCAGCGTTCTGAGAAACTGCTTTCTGATGTTTGCATTCAAGTCAAAAGTTGAACACTCCCTTTCATAGAGCAGTCTTGAAACACCCCTTTTGTAGTATCTGGAACTGGAAATTTGGAGCGCTTTCAGGGCTAAGGTGAAAAAGGAAATATCTTCCCATAAAAACTGGACAGAAGCATTCTCAGAAACTTGTTTATGCTGTATCTACTCAACTAACAAAGTTGAACCTTTCTTTTGATAGAGCAGTTTTGAAATGCTCTTTTTGTGGAATCTGCAAGTGGATATTTGGCTAGTTTTGAGGATTTCGCTGGAAGCGGGAATTCATACAAATTGCAGACTGCAGCTTTCTGAGAAACATCTTTGTGATGTTTGTATTCAGGACACAGAGTTGAACATTCCCTATCATAGAGCAGGTTTGAATCACTCCTTTTGTAGTATCTGGAAGTGGACATTTGGAGCGCTTTCAAGCCTATGTTGGAAAAGGAAATATCTTCCCATAACAACTAGACAGAAGCATTCTCAGAAACTTGTTTGTGATGTGTGCCCTCTACTGACAGAGTTGAACCTTTCTTTTCATAGAGCAGTTTTGAAACACTCTTTTTGTAGAATCTGCAAGAGGATATTTGCATAGCTTTGAGGATTTCGTGGGAAACGGGATTGTCTTCAGGTAAAATCTAGACAGAAGCATTCTCAGAAACTTCTTTGGGATGTTTGCATTCAAGTCACAGAGTAGAACATTCCCTTTGGTAGAGCAGGTTTGAAACACTCTTTTTGTAGTATCTGGAAGTGGACATTTGGAGCGCTTTCAGGCCCATGTTGGAAAGGGAAATATCTTCCCGTAACAACTAGGCAGAAGCATTCTCAGAAACTTATTTGAGATGTGTGTACTCAACTAAGAGAATTGAACCACCGTTTTGAAGGAGCAGTTTTGAAACACTCTTTTTCTGGAATCTGCAAGAGTATATTTGCCTAGCCTTGAGGATTTCGTTGGAAACGGGATTGTCTTCAGAGAAAATCTAGACAGAAGCATTCTCAGAAACTTCTTTGGGATGCTTGCATTCAAGTCACAGAGTAGAACATTCCCTTTGGTAGAGCAGGTTTGAAACACTCTTTTTGTAGTATCTGGAAGTGGACATTTGGAGCGCTTTCAGGCCTACGTTGGAAAAGGAAATATCTTCCCATAACAACTAGACAGAAGCATTCTCAGAAACTAGTTTCTGATGTGTGTCCTCAACTAACACAGTTGAACATTTCTTTAGACAGAACAGTTTTGAAACACTCTTTTTGTGGTATCTGCAAGTGGCTATTTGGCTAGATTTGAGGATTTCGTTGGAAACGGGATTACATATAAAAAGCAGACAGCAGCATTCTCAGAAAGTTCTTTGTGATGATTGCATTCAAGTCACAGAATTGAACATTCCCTTTCACAGAGCAGGTTTGAAACACTCTTTTTGTAGTGTGTGTAAGTGGACATTTGGAGCACTTTCCGGCCTAAGGTGAAAAAGGAAATATCTTCCCATAAAAACTAGACAGAAGCATTCTCAGAAACTTACTCGTGATGTGTGTCCTCAACTAAAGGAGTAGAACCTTTCTTTTCATAGAGAAGTTTTGAAACGCTCTTTTTGTGGAATCTGCAAGTGGATATTTGGCTAGTTTTGAGGATTTCGTTGGAAGCGGGAATTCATACAAATTGCAGACTGCAGCGTTCTGAGAAACATCTTTGTGATGTTTGTATTCAGGACACAGAGTTGAAAATTCCCTATCATAGAGCAGGTTGGAATCACTCCTTTTGTAGTATCTGGAAGTGGACATTTGGAGCGCTTTCAAGCCTATGTTGGAAAAGGAAATATCTTCCCATAACAACTAGACAGAAGCATTCTCAGTAAACTTATTTGAGATGTGTGTATTCAACTAAGAGAATTGAACCACCGTTTTGAAGGAGCAGTTTTGAAACACTCTTTTTCTGGAATCTGCAAGTGGATATTTGGCTAGATTTGAGGATTTCGTTGGAAACGGGATTACATATAAAAAGCAGACAGCAGCAGTCTCAGAAAGTTCTTTTTGATGATTGCATTTAAGTCACAGAATTGAACATTCCCTTTCACAGAGCAGGTTTGAAACACTCTTTTTGTAGTGTGTGTAAGTGGACATTTGGAGCGCTTTCCGGCCTAAGGTGAAAAAGGAAATATCTTCCCATAAAAACTAGACAGAAGCATTCTCAGAAACTTACTCGTGATGTGTGTCCTCAACTAAAGGAGTAGAACCTTTCTATTCATAGAGAAGTTTTGAAACGCTCTTTTTGTGGAATCTCCAAGTGGATATTTGGCTAGTTTTGAGGATTTCGTTGGAAGCGGGAATTCATACAAATTGCAGACTGCAGCGTTCTGAGAAACTGCTTTCTGATGTTTGCATTCAAGTCAAAAGTTGAACACTCCCTTTCATAGTGCAGTCCTGAAACACTCCTTTTGTAGTATCTGGAACTGGACTTTTGGAGCGCTTTCAGGGCTAAGGTGAAAAAGGAAATATCTTCCCATAAAAACTGGACAGAAGCATTCTCAGAAACTTGTTTATGCTGTATCTACTCAACTAACAAAGTTGAACCTTTCTTTTGATAGAGCAGTTTTGAAATGCTCTTTTTGTGGAATCTGCAAGTGGATATTTGGCTAGTTTTGAGGATTTCGTTGGAAGCGGGAATTCATACAAATTGCAGACTGCAGCGTTCTGAGAAACATCTTTGTGATGTTTGTATTCAGGACAGAGAGTTGAACATTCCCTATCATAGAGCAGGTTGGAATCACTCCTTTTGTAGTATCTGGAAGTGGACATTTGGAGCGCTTTCAGGCCTATGTTGAAAAAGGAAATATCTTCCCATAACAACTAGACACAAGCATTCTCAGAAACTTGTTTGTGATGTGTGCCCTCTACTGACAGAGTTGAACCTTTCTTTTCATAGAGCAGTTTTGAAACACTCTTTTTGTAGAATCTGCAAGAGGATATTTGCATAGCTTTGAGGATTTCGTGGGAAACGGGATTGTCTTCAGGTAAAATCTAGACAGA